>NC_000011.10:2181212-2484242 GCF_000001405.40 Homo sapiens | reverse complement strand
TCAGTGAGCCGAGATCATGCCACTGCACTCCAGCCTGTGCAAGAGTAAAACTCCGTCTCTAAATAAATAAATAAATGGAGGAAAATAAATAATAATAGCATTGGCTTATAGCCCATAACACAAAAGAAGTATCTATGAAACCATGCTGATATACATAAGCCACTGGATACATAACCAGAACAAAGGGGACAGCTCTTCCTGGAGAAGAATCCAAATTAACAAACATAGAAAGAAAGTGGGAAATAAACAAATCCCCATTTGGCAAGCACCACAGACTTTGCCTGTCACAAGCAAAACCAGCTGATGGGCACTAAAATCAGCGGGGCAAAATCTCAGGAGAAAAAAGGCAGCTGCAATGTCTCAATGTAGCTTCCTCAAGGTGTTTACTAATTATGAAGCGGAAAATGGTTAATTTACAGCTGAGAAGCCCAGCTGACACACTCCTACCTGAGTGGTCAAGGTCAAATGAACCCGCCCTAAGACATGCTGACCTCACACAGCCCTGCCACAGGGACTCCTCGGGACCCAACAACACTCCCGCGGTGTTCTTGCCAAAAATGCACAATCTTGATCTAATCATGAGAGCATATCAGAGAATCCAAACCGAGGGACGTTCTACAAAACAGCCGCCCAGTACTTATCTAAAACATCAAGGTCACGAAAGACAAAGAGAGACTGAGGAGCTGGCACAGGCTGCAGGACACGAAAGGAGACCTGGCAGCTGAAAGCAACGTGGGGATCACAGAACAGAAACCGGATGCTAGAAAAACGCGGGATTTGAATCAGATCTGCAGTTGAGTTCACGGTAATGTATCAGGTGTCGGTTTTGGTCAATACACCCCGTTATTAAGATGTTAATACTAGGAGTCCACAGGAACTCTCAGTACTGTCGTGGAACTTTTCTGTAGGTCTAAAATTGCTTCAAAACAAAATGATTTTTTTAAAGTACAGAAGCCAAGAGAGGACTGATGTTGTCCCTCATCACTCACACCCCCCGCATTGCTCTCAGGATCTTAACCCTCGTGGCCCTCCCGTCCTATCTCCAGCACCTTCCCTGCACAGTTCTTCACATGCACCAAGCACGTTCCCAACACAGGACCTTTGCATGTGCCATGCCCTCTGTCTGGGTGCTCTTCCTGCAGAAGCACACACCACCCACTCCCTCAATTCCATCAGGTCTCTGCTGAAATCCCATCTGTGTCCGACTCCCCTCCACAAAAGGCACTCCTTCACCCTCCCATTCCTCCCTGCCTGGCTCCTTCTCAAGGTCTTACTGCTAAGAGACACGCACCATGCATTACCACGCCATGCCGGTCCATGACTCTCTCCATTCTCTTGCAGGTCACTTCCTGGAGGGTGACCCTCGTGCTCCACTCACTCCTGGTTTCCCCAACAACCTAGATGACAGTCTTGCTGCTGCAGGTGCACCAGGGGCAGGTGGGCCAGTGAATGGGTGGCTAAAATACAAAGAGCTCAACAAACATAAACATACTCCCCTCACTAAGAGGAGGAAGGATATTCTATTTTTGCTTCATCATAATGGCAGTGTTTTTATGATAATACCCAGCTTTGTGGTGCAGTGTGGGGTGGGGGTTGGCGGGGGGAGTCAGTGATGTCCAGCAGCACAGTAGGAAGCTAAATTAGGAAAACACTCCCGGAAGGTGATTTGGCCAAAGGTGTCAGAGCCATAAAAATGCAGGAACCCTTTGATCCTGTCAGTCTTCTCCTGCAAATGTGACCCAAGGAAATAATCTTGAGTTCCAGGCAAAAATGAGTGTACAAGGATTTGCATCACAATGCTATTTACAGCAGTCAATTAGGAAATAACCCAGCCGTCAATAGAGAGTTGATTACGTTCAATAACACAGGGGAAATGCCAGGCAGCCATTGAAAGGTCACATTTGGAGGAAGAACAGATGTGAGACATGTCTGCCATGTGTCAAAAGGTAAGAAGATACAAATGAGTTGTCTAGTACCCTCTCAATTTTACCAAGTATTTGCACAGACACACATAGGCAAGTATGCACACACACACATATACACACACACACACGCAGTGATAGGGGTTACCCTGCTCAGCACTTCCTGAGCTGGCAAGAAGCTAAGGGTGCTGGACAATGAGTTCATTCAATCCTCAAACCACCATACGAGGTGAGGGCTCCCATCGTTCCCGTTTCAGAGATGAAGAAACTGAGGCACAAATTCATAAAGCAAACAGCCGATGGCCGTGGTCCCCAACCTTTTTGGGACCAGTGACTGGTTTCATGGAAAACAGTTTTTCCACAGACCAGTGGTGTGGGTGGTTCTGGGATGATTCAAGCACATTACTTGCATTGGGCACTTTATTTCTACTATTATTACATTGTAATATAGAATTAAATAATTATACAACTCACCATAATGTAGAATCAGTGAGAGCCCTGAGCTTGTTTTCCTGCAACTAGACAGTCCCATCTGGGGGTGATGGGAGACAGTGACAGATCATCAGGCATTAGATTCTTATAAAGAGGAGGCAACCTAGATCCCTCACATGCATAGTTTGCAACAGGGTACACACCCCTGTGAGAATCTAATGCCGCCACTGATCTGATAGGAGGCAGAGCTCACGCGGTAATGCGAGTGATGGGGAGTGACTGTAAATACAGATGAAGCTTCACTTGCTCACCTGCCACTCACCTCCTGCTGTGCAGCCTGGTTCCTAACAGGCCATGGACTGGTAGTGCTTCATGGCCTGGGGGTTGGGGACGCCTGGCTGATGGCCACACAGCCTCGGGGAAGCAGCCTAGCTGTAGACGTGCAACTCACTCCTGACTGCACTGTGTGTGTACACGCCCTTAACACACACACAAAGACCAAGTAGAAACATGTGCATGCACGCGCGCACACACACACGCCGAGAAAAAGACTAGCAGGAAACTAAAAGCTGGCATCTCTGGCTTTTGGTACGATGAGTCATTTTACTTTTCTTCTTTAAAAATTTCTGCACGTTCTCTGATTAACATTTCTGAACTTTACAATCAGAAAAACTGATCTACTAAAAGCATTTTCTTATGTCTGGTGAGGAGTAACTGGAATTGTCATCTGCTTTGGATGAGAACTAGTGACATCACACATCGCATCAGTTCACTGCAGAAGAGACCACCACCCGTTCTCGTGGCTATGAGTGAAATCCAACATGATGTGGTAATTCTCTTCTAACTTTCGATTTATATGATTTCATTTCAAACTTATAGAGAAGTTGCAAGAATAGCAGAAGGAACTCCCAAACGTGCTCTGCTTAGACTTGCCTGCGGTTTCTACACTGCCCCCGTCCTGCTCCATCCTGTCCCTCTCCAGACTTCCCTCTTTTGGTTGAATCTTTCTGAGCCCTTGGAGACACCATGCCTGTTTTCTGCTAAACGCCTCCTCATGGATTTCTTAGGAATAAGGGTGTTCTCTTCTGTAACCATGTGGTACTGTTGTCAAAATCGGGAAACAACACTGACATGCACACTACAGGTCTCTATTGCACACTACAGTTCTCTACCTCACACTCTCACATCATCAGCTGCCCAGACACTGGCTATTGCAGCCATCTCTTCCCAGACAGGATTCAACTCTGATATGGTTTGGCTGTGTCCCCACCCAAATCTCATCTTGAACTGTAGCTCCCATAATTCCCATGTGTTGTGGGAGGGACCCAGTGGGAGATAATTGAACCATGGGGGCAGTTTCTCCCATATTGTTCTCGTGGTAGTGAATTAAGTCTCATGAGATCTGATGGTTTTATAAGGGGGAACCCCTTGCACTCTGTTTTCATTCTCTCTTTGCCAGCTGCCACGTAAGATGTGCCTTTGCTCTTTCTTCATCTTCCGCCATGATTGTGAGACCTCCCCAGCCATGTGGAACTGTGAGTCAATTAAACCTCTTCCCTTTATAAATTACCCAGTCTCAGGTATGTCTTTATCAGCAGCATGAAAATGGACTAATACAGTAAATTGGTACTGGGAGTGGGGTGCGGCTGTAAAGATACCCAAAAATGTGGAAGCAACTTTGGAACTGGGTAAGAGGCAGAGGTTGGACAGTTTGGAGGGCTCAGAAGATGACAAGAAAATGTGGGAGAGTCTGGAACTTCCTAGAAACTTGTTGAAGGGCTTGACCAAAATTCTGATAATGATATGGACAATGAAATCCAGGCTGAGGTGGTCTCAGATGGAGATGAGAAACTTTTTGGGAAGTGGATTAAAGATGACTCTTGCTATGTTTTAGCAAAGAGACTGGCAGTATTTTACCACTGCCCTAGAGATTTGTGGAACTTTGAACTTGAGGGAGATGATTTAGGGTATTTGGTGGAAGAAATTTCTAAGCTGCAAAGCTTTCAAGAGGTGACTTGGGTGTTGTTAAAAGCATTCAGTTTTGAAAGGGAAACAGAGATAAAAGTTCAGAAAATTTGCAGTCTGAAAATGTGATAGAAAATAAAAACCCATTTTCTGAGGAGAAAGTCAAGCAGCCTGCAGAAATTTGCATAAGTAACAAGAAGCCAAATGTTAATCACTAAGACAATGGGGAAAATGTCTCCAGGGCATGTCAGAGACCTTAGGAGCAGCCCCTCCCATCCCAGGCCCAGAGGCCTAGGAGGCAAAAATGGTTTCCTGGACTGGGCCCAGGGCCTCCATGCTGTGTGCAGCCTAGGGACTTGGTGCCCTGTGTCCCAGCCGCTCTAGCCATAGCTAAAAGGTGTCAAGGTACAGCTTGGGCTGTGGCTTCAGAGGGTGCAAGCCCCAACTCTTGGTAGCTTCCATGTGGTGTTGAGCCTGTGGGTGCACAGAAGTCAAGAATTGAGGTATGGAAAGCTCTGCCTAGATTTCAGAGATGTATGGAAATGCCTGGATGTCCAGGCAGAAGTTTGCTGCAGGGGTGGGGTCCTCATGGAGAACCTCTGCTAGGGCAGTGAGGAAGGGAAAAGTGGGGTTGGAGCCCCCATGCAAAGTCCCCACTGGGGCACTGCCTAGTGGAGCTGTGAGAAGAGGGCCACTGTCCTCCAGATCCCAGAATGATAGATCCATCAACAGCTTGCACCATGTGCCTGGAAAAGCTGCAGACACTCAATGCCAGCCTGTGAAAGCAGCCAGGAGGGAGGCTGTACCCTGCAAAGCCAGAGGGGCAGAGCTGCTCAAGACTATGGGAACCCACCTCTTGCATCAGCATGACCTAGATGTGAGACATGGAGTCAATGGAGATCATTTTGGAGCATTAAGATTTAACTGCCCCACTGGATTTCGAACTTGCATGGGGCCTTTAGCCCCTTCGTTTTGGCCAATTACTCCCATTTCAAATGGGTGTATTTATCCAAGGCCTGTACCCTAATTGTGTCTAGGAATTAACTAACTTGCTTTTGATTTTACAGGCTCATAGGTGGAAGGGACTTGCCTGGTCTCAGATGAGACTTTGGACTGCAGATTTTTGAGTTAATGCTGAAATGAGTTAAGACTTTGGGGCACCGTTGGGAAGGCATGATTGGTTTTGAAATGTGAGGACATGAGATTAGGGAGGGGCCGGGGTGGAATGATATGGTTTGGCTGTGTCCCCACCCAAATCTCATCGTGAATTGTAGCTCCCATAATTCCCACGTGTCATGGGAGGGACCTCGTGGGAGATAATTGAATCATGGGGGTGGTTTCCTCCATGCTGTTCTCATGGTAATGAATAAGTCTCACGAGATCTGATGGTTTTATAAGGGGAAACCCTTTGTGCTCAGTTTTCATTATCTCTTTGCCTGTCATCATGTAAGATGTTCCTTTGTTCTTCCTTCATCTTCTGCTGTGATTGTGAGGCCTCCCCAGCCATGTGGAACTGTGAGTCAATTAAACCTCTTCCCTTTATAAATTATCCAGTCTCAGGTATGTCTTTATCAGTAATTTGAAAATGGACTAATACATAACATAGTGGAATCATAGACTCCCACTTAGGCATCACATTTCTTCCTTCCCCTTCACCCTGAACGGTACTTTATTTAGCCTTCTACGTTTTTTGGCCCTGGCATTTTCAAAGTATTCAGGCCACTGTGTGTGTCTCCCTCCATGTGGGTTTGCCCTGTGTCTCCGGATGATTCGACCCTGGACAGCTGTGTCTTTGGCAGGAGTTCTGCTACCGAGGCTGTCCATCCGGAGGGTGGTGAAGCTGGCCTGTCCCATTCCTGGTGATGTTAACTTGGATCACTTGGCTCGGGTGGTGTCGCCAGCTTTGCCTCTAGAAAGTGATTCTTTTTCCTTTGTAACTAGTAAGTGGTGGTGGGAGACACTGAGACTACAACCACCAGCTCTTTGAACCCCTGCCCCTGCCACGGGGTTTCCTTGATGGCCTTCCAGCCCTGTTGATTCTAACGTGAGAACTGGATTCCTTTCTTCCACTTATTTGTTTATATACATGGGTGTGTCCCTGTGGATGCATAGATTCTTTTTTCATGAATTATAATCCATTACCACTGTTGTGTGTGCATGTGTGTATGTATGGTCTTTTTTTTTTTTTTAATAAAAAGAGATGGGGTCTCACTATGTCACCCAGGCTGGTCTCCTGAGCTCAGGCAATCCTCCCACCTTAGCCTCCCAAAGTGGTGGGATTACAGGCATGAACTACTGTGCCTAGCCTACATGTGTGGTCATTTTTAACACACTATGGGTTTAGTCTGCCATCATAATGAGGATTTTCATTGCTCTCTGTGTACATATCACTGGTCTGTAGTTTTCTTTTCTCTCTGCTAGTGAGGCAGCAGAGAGATCACTTTGTTCACAGCTAACCTGGGCACCCTGCCCATTGAGCCACTAACATGACTGGCTCTCTCAGTAGCAGACGGCATCCTAATTCAATGGTGGGAAGAACCTAGGTCACCGTGGGCTGGAGGCTTTTCCAGAAAAAACTTTTTGATGACTTTGTAAAGAGCATTTCCTACCTTTGATCCCACATTAAAAATTGTTCAAACATACGGGATGAAAACACTGTCCAGTGAATGCCCATACGGTATCTCCATCCTGCCTTGAACACTTTGCCAAGCATTTTCACCACGTGCCATGTCTCCACATATCTCACCTGCCAATGTGTTCACCGTCAGCTGTGGACGTTCTGATGAGGGTTCAGATTCATCTCACACATACTGAGATTGTCTCCACTTCTTCCTAATTTTGACTTAACATTTTTTCCCAAAGAATAAGCCATCTCACAACATTTTTCAAATTCACTGGAGTACAATTTTACAAAGTACTGTCACATTAAAAACTGGGCTGGGTGCAGTGGCTCATGCCTGTGATCCCAGCACTTTGGGAGGCCGAGGTGGGTGGATCACTTGTGCTCAGGAGTTCAATACCAGCCTGGCCAACATAATGAAACCTTTGTCTCTACTAAAAATACAAAAAGTTAGCCAGGGGTGGTGGCACATGCCCGTAAACCCAGCTACTTGGGAGGCTGAGGGGGGAGGAGCGCTTGAACCCGGGAGGTAGACGTTGCTGTAAGCCAAGATTGCACCACTGCACTCCAGCCTGGGTGATTGAGTGAGACTCTGTCTTAAAAACACAAACAAAACTTTTCTAAATCGATTGCCAAAGAGCCTTCTCATGTCTAAATTTAGATATATACTTGGGGTTTTTCCATGATTGAAATTATAAGATATATATTGTTTTCCTCAAAGAACCAAGAATCACCTCCCAAAAAGAACCCTCAAGTCTGTTTTCCTGTTTCCTATTATTTTCTATTCTTATCTCTTATTTACATTCACTTTTCTTACTGTGAACTTTTTAACTTACATATTTACTTTTTTCAAAAAAGGAAAATGCCTGTAGCTATAAATTTGCCTCGGTGTACAGATATGCATATATGCCCCTTTAATGTTCAGATCTATTACACAGTAATATTGCTGATGTTTTTACTTCTAAGTAGACTTTTCTTCTTTAGACTTTCATTAATTAAACTTGTAATTAATAACATATATTTTAAACATACGTTGAAATCAGAGATATCCAGCATAGGTTCTTAATTTTAGAATGTCTTGAAGTTTTTGCAGTCTAGTATATGATCAATGTTTGTGAGTGTTCCAGGAACACTGTAAAAGGTACATCTTTTGCTTTTAAGTTACAAAGTTTGATATATCTATTAATTTAACTATATCAATAATTCAGATTATTTTTGTTTTCTTGATCTACCAGAGACTCGAAGAGGTGATTTAAATTTATATTTTCCTTTGCATTTTAAATAGTTTTTAATTTATTGTCAGTATTAGTCCGTTTTCACACTGCTGATAAAGACATACCCAAGACTGAGCAAATGTACAAAAGAAAGAGGTTTAATTGGACTTACAGTTCCATGTGGCTGGGGAAGCCTCACAATCATGGCGGAAGGCAAGGAGGACCAAGTCCCATCTTACGTGGATGGTGGCAGGCAAAACATGAGAGAGCTTGTGTAGCGGAATGCCTCTTTTTAAAACCATCAGATCTTATGAGACGTATTCACTATTACGAGAACAGCACAGGAAAGACTCGTCCCCGTGATTCAATTACCCCCCACCAGGTCCCTCCCACAACACAGGGAATTCAAGATGAGATCCGGGCAGTGACAAACCACGTCACTGTCTTCATGAAAGTTACAGCTTCACAGCTGACTATGTCTCCAGCCATTTAGAATCGCCCTCCTTGCCCTAATTCTTTGAGATGAAGGTTGAATGGAATGTCTGCTATCTTTAGGTGTGTGTGCTTGAAAATCTTTAGCCATTTTTTCATTTTGATGGCATCATACTTAATTTTGTGATTTTCATAAGCAACACACATTTGAATTTGTTTTTAAATCCATTCTAAGTATCAGGCTTTCAGGAAGGAGCCTCTAGCCACAACAGCCAAAGGCAGAGACAGCTGCACGTAGTCCATCCACACCACAGACCACTACTCAGCTCAGAAAGGAAGGGAATTCCCTTGCGTGTTATAACACGGCGGACAGTGAAGACAGGACGCTCGGTGAAGGAAACCAGACACACAGGGCCACGTTTGCCATGATTTCAGGCACATGAAACATCCAGAATAGCTAAATCCAGGGGCAGAAAGTGGGCTTGTGGTTGTCAGGAGCTGGGGGCATGGGGGAAAGGGGTGACTGCTAATTTCCTCTTGCGGATGATGGAAATGTTCAGGAATTAGAAAGACGTGTCGGACGCCTAGCACTGCGAGTAAACCGAAGACCATGAAACATGGGTTAAAAAGGTCAATTTTACGTTACGTGTATTTTATCACAACACAAACAATGCACAAATGCACAAAGGTCAGCTCTGAAGTCGACGCCTGGTTCCCATCTGGCTCTGCTCCTCACTAGCTATGCACCCCATGCCTCAGTTTTCCCATCTGTAAAAGGGCCCGATGTGGGGCTGTGATGAGGTTCCCATAGGCAAGTCCCCCACCGTGAGCACCACCACACCATCACAATCTGCACTAATCCACCTGGCCATGGACACCTCCTTCTCGCCTTAACCTAGTCCCACCAGCAGCATTCCCAGCAGGTGTGGCCACCCCAGCTCTGGGCCTCTCTGGGAGCAGGGGCCCAAGCTCTCAGCCCAAGCTCCCGCCCCACATGGAACACTCTGACGCAAGGGCCTTTTGTCTGGGCGGTGAAAGAGCCTCCAGCTGACGCATGAAGTCATAAATGTTTCAGAGACCTGGGCTCCACCGCTGCCCCTCCCTAAGGGCACCAAAGCCACCTGTGCTGAGCCTGCAGCCTCAGATGGCCTCTGCATTTAATGGTGCCTGCTATCTGCAGCCACTTAGGGCCCATCATCTGGCGGCTGCTGTTTTGCTCAGCTGCAGACCCAGGAGGCTTCCCACAGGGCTCGGGTGCCCACTGCAGCCTGGACACCGGCACATCAGGCAAAGAGACCCACGTGAGCCTCACTGCCCTGGCATCTGCCCTAGGCTCACCCTCGCCCTCTTCCCTCCTAGGAGGTGAACAAAGTAGCTGTGGCCCGGGCGCCACAAGAGTCACCACTGGTCACCACCAGGAGACTCGAGGACAGCAGAGTGGTCCCTGAGACCCTGACTACCCCCAACGCTTCTTGACGGACCCTGGACACATCCAGTGTCCCCAGCACAGCCCCATGGTGAGCCCTCAGTGAGGAAAGCCTGTTTCGAAAGAAAGACAAAAAACCACTCCACACTGGGTGATGTGTGGAGAGACCACTGGGCCAGCGGTAGGAGGCTGGGGCCAGCCACAGCCCTTCCCCAAGCAGCAGGTTGGCCCGGCTGCCCGCTTACCTCCCTCCCAAGGGCCCTGCAGTGCCCCGTTCCTGGCATCAGGCCTATTTTGCGGATTTGGTGAAGGAGGATGTCCGTTCCGGGAGGCAGGGCTCTCCCAGGCTCCCATCTGTGGAGGGCGAGTGGTGAGCGCATGCGGCTGTCTGCCCAGCTGGTGCCACTGAGCAATGGCCACCCTGGCCAGCGGGCCCCATGGCCCTACCTGTGCAGAGCAATGCCTCCCCCAGCTGTCGGGGGCTTCAACCTGCAGGCTGCCATCTCCAGGACCTGCCCTGGCTCTCAATGGGATGGAGGAAGGCTCTTGGCTGGCAGCCCCGCGCCAGGCCAGGCCAACTGAGGCCCAGTCCCTCCAGAGTTCCCTGAGGATGATGCCGGCCGCACACCCTCGCTCTACAAGCCACATGACACGGCTGAGCGTCTGTGCCATGCTGAGCGCTGTCCCACGGCAGGGGACTCAACGACGGACCAGGACGGGAAACGGCCTTGCCCCTTGGATTTCCCAGCACAGACCCTTTCCTTTCCCAACCCGCTCACCTGGGAGGGCCCAGCCCCTCACATCTCCAAACACCAGCTCTCCTGCCTCCTGCTGGACGGGACTCCAGGCAGGACTCACTGCACCATGGGCCTCAGGTCGAATGGAAGCCCTGGAGGTCCCCAACCCTCCCTGAGTCCCCAGCAAGCCCCCAACCACTATTTTCTTCCATTTATTATACAAATATAGGAACAGCAATAAATGACATCAGAATTAATGGAGCCCCCTCCCTGCCAGCCCCACCCCTTCTCTTGCCTGCTCTCCTTGGCCCGTCCTGGCCTCTCCTCAGCCACAGGCAGCAGCTCCTGCAGCTTCCAGCACAGGGGAGTTAATCCCATGGACTTGAGATGGGTGGGACCCTGTGTGCCACTCTGCCCAGAAGGCGCTCCCCACTCAGGGACATGATCTGGAGGGACATGGGACAGTCTCCTCCAATGACAGAGGCCTTCATATGCAGGCTTCTCCCAGCCACGCCCACCCCATCACCATGAGCCCCTCTGCTCATGCCCATCTCGGTGCTGGGGTGATGGGGGGCCCTGGAGTATCAAGAAGGGCCCCAGAGCTGCAACTTGGCTCAGAGCCATGGAGTCACCCCCATGCCTCTGAGGACAGAATCACATCTGCCTCCACCCACAGCATGGTTGCACTTTTTCCTCAAACAAGCTGGAGTGGCAGGGCTGGGCAGCTCTACTGGGTACCCCTAGACAGGGAAGGAGCCTGACAATGGGCAGGGGCTGACTGAGGTCATAGCAGGCAGGGAGCTCAAGTCCCTGGCCAGCTCCCTATCCCACAGACCTACTCACATCTCACGCAGCCAGTGACTCAGAAAGCCCCGCATGACACCCCTCCCAGACGCTCTGCCTTGCTTTTTTCAGTGACAGAGACCAGGACTCCAGCCCACAAAGTAGCCCAGGCCACGACCCTCCTTCTCTGGGTAAAGGTGCTTCACCCTGAGATGAAGGGACCAGCCTCAGCCTCTCCAGTTCTTTCCAGCTCTGCCCTGTGAGGGACATGCACACATGCATACACACACACACCCATAGGTGCACACACACCCAGACACAAACACACACACCTATACAGACATAGGTACACACACACCCACAAACACACACAGACATGCACGTATACACACAAAGGTGCACACACACCCACACATAAAACACACACCTATACACATGTGCACATACACTTATACACATGGGTGCACACACACCCATATATACATGAACACACACACCTACACACATGTGCACACATAGACATGCACATATACACACAAAGGTGCACACACACCCATACATAAAACACACACACCTATACGCATGTGCACATACACTTATACACATAGGTGCACACACACCCATATATACATGAACACACACACCTACACACATGTGCACACATACATACCTATACACACACAACCATACATACACCTATACACATGTGCACACACACTTATACACATAGGTGCACACACACCCATATATATGAACACACACCTACACACGCGCACACATACACGCCTATACACACATAGGTGCACGCATACACACACCTATACACATGTGCACACACACCCATACATAAACACACACACCTATACACACATAGGTGCACACGCACCCATACACGTGCACACACACCTATATACACATGCACACACCCAATCACATGCACACACCCATACACAAGTACACACACGCCCATGCACACATACACACGCCCATGCACACATACACACACCTATACACACATGCACACCCATACACATGTGCACACCCATGCACACACCCATACACATGTGTACACACATCCGTGCATACGTGCACACACCCATATACACAGGTGCACACGCACCCATACACACGTGCACACACACACATACACATGTGCCTGTGAGGCTGTGATACTGCCATGCTTAGGACCCAGAGCTGGGCCATCAGCATCCTCCAAGTCCTGGGGACCTGGTGGTGTGTGGGGCGAGATGGATCTCGCAGGTCCCCTGGGTCTCTTGACACTTTAGTGCCGTGGAGTGTCAGAGGCTGTGGCGTTGCTGAGCGTGAAGGACACTTGGGTCAGGGTTGGGGGTGCAGCCAAGAGCAGATGGGGAGAGGGAGGAGGGCGGGAGAAGCAAGCAGCATTTGGGGTACAGCCCTGCTGATCCCCACTTGCAGAGCAACACAGAGGTGGGGTCTGAAAAGTTGGGGACCCTGAAGCCACACCAGTTGGAGGTTCAGAGTCCTAGGTCCCCGAGTCTGGCTGCAGGATGATTGCAGCCGAGTCAGCCCTTGTTCCCCAGCCGTTGGGAGATATCGATGAGATGAGTTGATACAGGGTGGTGAGGGCGGGTAGAACTCTGCTGTGGAGGGAGGAGGGCCATCCCAGCAAATGTGCTGGAACCCGCGGGCAGAAAGGGAGCCTCCACCGACACCTCCCAGCTGGTCAGACATTAACTCAAAAGGAATATCCACCTCAGTGTGAAACCTGACACTACAAAATTTCTGGAAGAAAACAGAAAATCTGTGCCCTTGGTTTAGGGAAAGATTTCTGAGAGCACCAAAAAACACAATCCATAAGGGAACAAGTTGATAAACTGGACTTCATCAAAGTCAAAACGTTTGCTCTCTAAAAGGGCACTATTAAGAGAATGGGAGGCTGAGGTGGGAGGATTGATCGAGACCAGGGTTTTGAGACCAGTCTGGGCAATGAGAAATAAAAATAAAATTCTAAGCACCCCCCCCCCCACCTAACTGAGTGGATCCCCACTTGGCCGAGGGAACCCCAGAGAAACCCTGGAAGCTGAGTTCAGGGCCATGATGGATGTGCGGTTGGATACGTATCATCACACCCCCTCCCTTGATAACTGTCATTGGGTTTTCTTCCCAAAGGGCTGAACAGAAACCAGCCTTTTCATAAGACGCCGGCTTGTCTTCCTTCCCAGGCACAGAACAAAGGCGAGACGAGATAACGAGATGTTCTTCCGCCTCCCTGGGATATACGCTTCCATGCTCCCTCTTTCCTCCAATATACGTCTTCTGTAAAATGTAGATTTACTGGGCTCTAACTAAAGTCTCGCAAGTATATAATCATTTGTCTCACTTGATGCCCCTCCCCTTTTCAAGAAAACATATAAATATGAATGAAACCTCCTACGCACCTCTTTGGAAAAAGCAGCCACAGATGCTTCTGTGACTGGAGTTTTTCCTGGGCGTGCCCTCACGTTGGCTCAATAAACCTCGATGATTTGAGGAGTATGCTTCAAGTCCTCATTTTGATTGTCAGCGACATAGCCAGACCCCAGCTCTACAAAAAATTTAACAATCAGCCGGGCGTGGTGACATGCGCCTGTGGTCCCAGCTACTTAGGAGGCTGAGACGGGAGGATGGCTTGAGCCCAGGAGTTGGAACTGCAGTGAGCCGTCATAGCACCAAGCACTTCAACCTGGGCGACAGAGTGAGACCGCAGCTCTAAAAACAAGTTGTTTAAAAGGGCCGGGCGTGGTGGCTCATGCCTGTAATCCCAGCACTTTGGGAGGCTGAGGCGGGCGGATCACGAGGTCAGGAGATGGAGACCACGGTGAAACCCTGTCTCTATAAAAATACAAAAAATCAGCTGGATACAGTGGCGGGCGCCTGTAGTCCCAGCTACTCGGGAGGCTGAGGCAGGAGAATGGCATGAACCCGGAAGGCGGAGCTTGCAGTGAGCCGAGATCGCGCCACTGCACTCCAGCCTGGGTGACAGAGCGAGACTCCGTCTCAAAAAAAGAAAAAAAAAATTGTTTAAAAGAACTGAAGGACTAGCAAGGGATAAGGGAAGGCTTCACAGAGCAGGTATCTGATAGAGGACTTGGTCCAGAATATAGAAACATGTAACATCTCGGCCGGGAGCCGTAGCTCATGCCTGTAATCCCAGCACTTTGGGAGGCCGAGGCAGGTGGATCACGAGGTCAGGAGTTAGAGACCAGCCTGGCCAACGTGGTGAAACCCTGTCTCTACTAAAATACAAATATTAGCCAGTCATGGTGGCGGGCATCTGTAGTCCCAACTACTTGGGAGGCTGAGGCAGGAGAATCACTTGAACCCGGGAGGCAGAGGTTGCAGTGAGCCAAGCAAGATCACGCCACCACACTACAACCTGGGAGACGGAGAGTGAGATTCTCTCTCAAAATAAAGAAAAAAAAAAAAACTCTTGAATTCAATGAAAAACCACCCACGTTTTCTTAACAGACAATTTGACAGACACTTTACCAAAGAAGATATGTGGACAACAACTAAGCAGCTGAAAAGATGACCCCACACAGTGAGTCACCAGGAATGCCAGGGAGGGCCCCGACACACCTGTTAGATTGGCTAAAATTAAAGACCGACCACACCAAGTGTTGACAAGGAGACAGAGGAACTAGAGCTGTCGCACGGAGCTGCTGGACTGCAAAAGGGGATTGCTGCTTTAGAAAACGGTTTGTCAGTGTCCTAGAAAGTGAAGCCCTCACCCACCCCATGACACAGCCGTTCCACTTCCCAGCGGGCTGCAGAGCAGTTCAACCACTTGCTTGCACAAGAGAAGCAAAAGCATTTGCTCGCACAGAGACTCCAGCTATTCCTAGCAGTATCATTTGTGAGAGCCCAAATGGGATACAGCCGCCCACATGTCCATCAACAGGTGCATGGATCGGCAAAGTAGGCTCTACCCAAACAACAGGCCGACACACACAACAGACACACAGCTCAAAATCATGACGCTGAATAAAAGAAGCCAGACGAAACCAGCGTTGGCTGCCAGAGTCCATCCAAATAAAATTCCACAAGGCACAAGCCCATCCATCGTGCCTGATGGTAGGGCAGCAGTGGCCTGGTCGTGGGGACAGGGGGACGCTGTGAGGGTGATGGGTGTGCCCACTCTGCTGATGCTGGCTTCACAGGGCCTCCAAATGTCAGGACTCATGGAACTGTCTGCTTTAAACTGGGGCAGTTTACCGTATGCCAAGCACGCCTCCGTAAAGCTACTTAGAAAAAAAAAGTGCATGCCTGTAATCCCAGCACTTTGGGAGGCTGAGGCAGGCAGATCGCTTGAGCTCAGGAGCTTGAGACTAGACTGGGCAATATAGCAAGACCCCATCTCTACAAAAAATACAAAAATTAGCCAGGCGTGGTGGTGTGCATCTGTAGTCCCAGCTACTCAGGAGGCTGAGGCGGGAGGATCTCTTGAGCCAGGGAGGTCGAGGCTGCAGTGAACCAAGATCACACCACTGCACTCTTAGCCTAAGTGACAGAGGGAGACCCTGTCTCGAAAAATAAAAAATAAACTTCTGGGAATGGGCCTGTGGCCTGTGAAAGGTTGGGAGCCCAGGAGAGACAGTGCATTTTCCGGGCACAGTCTAAGCACGTGGCTAACAGCCCTTTAAGAAGCTGCTGTTATCCCTATTTTACAGATGGGGTAAAGGAAATGCAGAGGCACATGGCCTGCACCCACAGGGCCACTGGGCAGGTCCCCACGCTGGGCCAGCCCATCAGCCTCCCTGCCCTGTCCCTAACCAGGTGGAAGGCAGTGCCTGGACTCGGAGGTCACAGCAGCCCCAGTGCGGGTGGCCCATGCCATCCAGCAGTGCCCAGCTCCTACCCTGCCCCACACCTTGAATCCACCTGGCCTGGGTCTGCAGGGAAGGGATCAGGGGAGCAAAGGGGTCCCCACAGCCCCCATTGCAAGACGCACGCCTGCTGGCTGTGTGCACTGGGCCCGTGTGCCCAGGCATTGACGTGGGGGGCAGGTGTCTCTCACCTCACCTGGGCCAGGCCCGGTGGGCAGCAGCCTGTCCAGCACAAGAGCACCCCAACGCCTTTGCCAAACCCCAGCTCCCAGCCTTCCCCAGCCTGCACCCTGACGTGATCTCAATGGTCCCATGTGACTCGGATTGTGGTTCTCAGCAGAGATACAAAACCACTTCCTGAGGCTGTATCTGTCTCCTGGTGGCTTCTCAGCTGAGCCCCCGGCCACACCATATCCTCTGCAGAAGCCTATATCAAGCCAGGGGACCAGGGCCCCACACCATCCCTGGCTGCTCCAGGGAAGAGGGAGCAGCCTCCTCCGTGAGGACCAAAAGGGTAGAGGCCGACACCGTTGAAGCCAGTCCTGCCCTCCTCCTGGGCCCCTGCCTCCCTGCCGGACACCAAGGTGCCACGAAGGGCGCTCATGGCTCAGCCCACCCCATGGAGCCCTGTGCAATGGGGAGATAAACCCAGACCCCCTCACAGCCCACTTCCACCCCTGCAGAGGCACCCTGGCCCTCACCCCAGGGAGGCCCAGGCCCTCGGACCTGCTGACCAACCCTGCCCGGCTCTCCAGCCACAGCTTGCTCCTCCGACCTCCAGGTCACCTCCTGCCCCTGCCTGGAGTGCCCCCATCTGTCGGGCTTCCCCTGGAAGGCACTCCCTCAGGCTCCCACAGCCCCCTGCAGCCCAGCTGCCCACAAACCCACCCCAAAGCCCCTAGACTGTGGCCAGGTCATGCTCACTGCTGCAACCCAGGGCTGGCCCTCAGAGCAGGAGGCCAGGTGTTCTGGGAGCGGGCAGAGGAGACCACAGAGGAAGAGCGCAGGGGCCAGGCCCTCGCTCTCTATAAACTAAAACTATTATGATCCCTGTTTCCAGATAGGATGACTGAGGCCAAGGGAGGCTAAGGAACATGGAGCTCAGCCCTGTTCTCATGAGGACAGGAAGGCCCTCTCCCTCTGCCCACCTGGCAGGAGGCCCCCTGGACAAGGCTGGCCAGCATATCTGAAGCCTGGCCCCAGGCAGCAGCCTGGCAGCAAGCTCTCCTGAGGACTTCTGGCCTGCTGATGGCTGTGCCCCCGGGCAAGGCTGGCACCACACAGAAGCCCCCGAGCCTGGGCAGATGTCAGTGATAGCATCTTGAACCCCACTCCACGACAGGCCAGCAAGGGTCAGAAGGCTGTGGCTGCCACAGCCAGCAACAGGGGCCAGCCCCTTGCCCCTCTAAGAACCACAGCCCCAGGCCCAGGAGGGGACCCCCAGCACTGTGTTCCCTCAAAACTCACTCTCTTCTGGGAGCCCCCCTCCTCCTGCAAAGTAGGGGACAAACCCCAGCCTGGGGAGGGGAAGTCCCAGCCAGGACTTCTCCCCCCAGCAAGCACCCATCAGGCGGGGCTCAGCCATGTGTCACCTCCCCTTTGGAGATCGCTTCTCCACTCTGGGCCTCAGTTTCCCCAGCTACAAAATGGGGCAGCTGGGCCACAGCCTGCCTGCATCTCCTCCCCCAACAACGAAGGTCACTGTTCCAGCTTCCTCAGCGACACTCCCTAGGCAAAGCCTCAGGAAAACTCAAAAACGTCCCTGAGCCCCCTGGGTGGATGGGCAGGTCCCGGCTAGGACAGGAAGAAGCAATGCCCCCATAGCCAGCCCGAGAACACTCATGCAGGCCCTGAAGGGCGGGCCCCTGGGAGTCGACCTGAGCCGTCACCAAGCTCCCCAAGGAAAGGACAGGGCAGGTCATGAGCCCGGCAGGTGCAGCCAGGAACCAACCACATCTAGACCCGCCTGGCAGCACACAGCTCCTGCCTGCCAGCCAGGCTCCAAATGGCCTTCCAGGAGGCATGGCTGGAGCCCACCAAGGCCCAAGGGGAGCCGTGGATCTGTACCATTCATTGTTCCCAGCCTGCCCGGAACACAGGCTCTACCCAGAGGGACACCAGACAAGGCCACTCCTCCGTAAACCTTCTCCCAGGAAGCTCTGGGAAGCATGCTGGTGGGAGGCAGAGCTCGGCGCCCACCCCTCCCCTCTCCAATTCCACCCCCAAGCAGGCACTGGTACAAGGCACCTAGCGTGAGCAAGGTGTGAGAGGGGCCAGCACGGGGCAGGGGCCGGACAGGGAGCTCTGCTACGCACAAGCTGTGTGACCCTGGGCAAGTGTCCACCCTCTCAGGCCTCTACCCAACCAAGACAAGTGACGAGCTCAGAGGAGTCTCAGCCCTGGTGGGGGCCGTGGTTCCTCCTGACTCAGATCCTGGCTGGCTGGACCTTGGAGGATCACCTAAGGCCACCTGGCTGCAGGAGGCAGTCCGCTGTGGGGACAGTGCACTGCCCAAGAGCTTCCAGCTGCAGCCAGGGCCTCAGGGCCTCACACCTGGACTGGAGGCCAGCCTGGCAGGCCTTGGAGAAGGGGTCACGGTGCCAGCTTGAGCCCAGGAGGTCGCACTGCAGTGAGTGATGACTGTGCCACTGCACTCTAACCTAGGCGACAGAGTGAGACCCTGCTTCAAAAAAAAATAAAAAATAAAAAAACTTCTGGGAAGGGGCCTGTGGCCCATGGAAGGTTAGGAGCTCTGGAGGGACTGCATTTTCTCGGTGCGGTCTAAGCATGTGGCTAACAGCCCCTGAAGGAGCGGCCGTTACCCATTTTACAGATGGGGGAAAGGAAACAAGAGCCCATGGCCTGCACCCACGGGGGCGGCCGGGGCAGCTCCCTGCACTGGACCAGCCCATCAGTGCCCAGAGTTGGTGCCCAGGACCCCAGAGATTGCTGTCTTACTTCCTCGGGCAGGAGGACTTTGAACTACCTTAACACACAGGAAAAGAGAAGAGAAGCGCCCTGTGGACTCCAGCTCCTTCCATCTCTGGGCAGCTCCCCACAGTGGGATCCGCCTCAGCCCCAGCCCACCTAGGAGGGGTCAGCAGAGCCACCCTTTCCTCCTCGCCCAGACTGTTCTTCCCACCAGCATCCCAGAGTCCAACACGGACCATGTAATCCTGGCCCCTGAGAGAAGCTGGAATCTGCCACACAGAGGCACTGCCCACCCCCCCAACTCCTGTCCCCCAGGCCTCCCCAAGGACAGGACATGGGACTCATGCCTGGTGCAGGGCCCAATGTGGGGGCAGCAGCCAGGGGCCAGGAGCCCATGGGACCCTAGCACCATGTGGACCCAGGACCACAGTGCACCTGCCCCCACCCCGGCACTCTCCTAGGTCAAATCACACTCAATTCATTCAGAGTTCTCATCCATGCGATGCCAGAAGACACTCCAGGGACTCCAGAATCCTCTTACCAGCCTCTCCTCACTTATATATTTTAATTTAAATGATCTTTTATTATTTTTAAAAAGCAATATATTTTTAATTAGAAAATTCAGATGAGCAAAAATGAAAAGATTAAAACCCACAGCCCACACCCAGGGGTGACCACGACGAAGGCTTGTTATCTGCTGTCCGGGCCATTCCACACCTGGACGTCCATGTGTTCCGGCCCAGGGAGCGCCTGCGGCCCACTGCGTACAGCTTGTATCTGCTGATGGCAAGCACCGTAGTCCACATCCCTGTGCCAGTCAGGCCCAGTCGTTCTAATTGTCCCGTGGGTCCTGCAAACATCCCGGCCCTGCCTGGATCCACCGGGCAGCATCAGTGTCCATTTTCCACAGTCCTGCTCTGCAGAGTCAGGGCCTGTCACCCCGGTCCACGGTTATCAAACCAGACCCAACTGCCGACAGTGAGCCTGCTGGGCACGGAGCCCTCGGTGCTGCCTCACACCGTGGGGAGAACCTTCCCCCTGATCCATCAGCCAAACAAGTCCCCGCACGGGGGCATCTACACAAGCACCTACAGGGAGCCTCCACGTGGTAGCGGGGGCCGGGCCATCCGGCTTCAGGGCTGACCCCCTCGCAGGGCAATGTCTTGTGAGGAGCAGAGGCCGCCACTCTGAAACTCGAGTTGCACAAACTCAGGGTTCACATCTCGGCCTGGGCACCCACAGACCTCCCCGAGCCCCTGTGTGTTGAGCTCAGCGCAGTGCCCAGCACAGGGAGTACACCCATAAACACAGCTGCCCCAGCCCCAGCCCCAGTCCCCGGAAGAGGCAGGGTGCCCAGGGCAGCGTGACTTTGAGGTGGCAGGCAGCCTGCCAAAGGGGCCACGATAAGAGGGAGGTGGAGCCTGTCCAGGGGACCGAAGCCAGGAAGGCTACAGAGCCCCCCAGCCCCGCCCGCCACCTGCACCAAGGACAACCAGAACATTCCACCACTTGTCCTGTGGGTGCTGCGCCTCCGTGCAGCTGTACCAGGCTCCTTGAGCAGCCGCCGATCTGGGGGATAGAGGGGGCAAATGTATCCTCAGCAGAAAACAGCCTCTACCTTGCAGGCCAGTGAGAACTTCTGAAAGGCCTTCTGCATTCCTGCCTTCTGTGTCACCCACTGGCAGGTAGGGATTAGGCTCTCCAGGCACACAGTAAAGTCAATGGTCCCCCAAGGTCACAGCCGGGAGAGGCTGAGCCAGGGACGGAGCGTCCAGTTCCCCACTCTGACCAAGCACAACCCGGAATCCTGGAATCCACCCCGTCCCCCACTTCCCACTCCCCACACCCTGACAGCAGGTATATCCCTGAAGGACCCCTGAGGACCCCCGACTGGCCCCACTTCCCTGGGCCCCCTGCCGCCGCTGCCCCGCTTACCAGTTCAGGGGCCTCACCCAAGACTCTTCCACCCAAGGGCCCACAGCCTTCCCCCAAGACCCTCCCTGTCTGCTCAGCTCACGGGGAAGAAACCTGAACCCCAGGCTGGGCACGGCACATGGACCCAGGTTTGGTCCCTGTCACTCTGGGCTGGGCCCCGACTCACCAGCCCAGGGAGGGTCAAGGGTCTACTTTCTGCTCCTCAAACCTCCAGGCCTTCCCTGCCCCCGGCACCCTCTTTGCCTGTGGTTCTTGCCAGCAGCGCCCACCCTCCCCTTCACTCCACCGCCCCCTCCCCTCAGTCCTGGCCCTCCAAGCTGTCTAAGTCACAGGCAGGGTCAACCCCTACCAAGAGAGCAGGCCCCAGGGCACACAGAAGTCAGCAGAAAGCACCTGCAGGATGGCGCATGGGGGTGTGGGAGCACGTCCCTGCCACTCAGTAACAGGTGGGGGCCTCACGGGGGGCACATGGTGGGATCATGACAGCTGCTGCCCAGATTACAGCGAGGTGGTGGCAATGTCACAGGTGGTTCCCGTCATGCCAGGAAGAGATGGTGCATTCTAGAAACCAGCGGCCTTCGCCGGGAGCCCCCAGGCAGGTGTCAAGCTCAGGAGCAGGCCCGTCAGAGAGAGGAGGCAAGTCAGAAGGAGGAGGAGGCAAGTCAGAGGGGGTGGCCCTAGACATCGCCTCTGATGGCGACGCTGCCCTCGTCCACAGCCACACTCAAGTCCAGAGGCCTGTCTACCTTGCAGGCCTGGCAGCCCCAAGAACAGCCATGAAGACCCACCCAGCACCCACCAATCCAGAACCCAAACCACCAGAAGGCTCCTCCCTGGCTCCTTGGGGCTCTCCATGAGATACACCCACAGCAACGCCCCCTCAGCCCAGGGAAGGATTCTTGTGAATCCCAGAAAGACACAGTGGGGCTGGGTCTCATCTCTGGACAGCTGCTGGGATGGCGGAAGGAGCAGCAATGCATCCCAGCTGTATTGGGACTAGGCTGGCTGAGTCCACACTCACCGAGAGGCCCTCTCCAGACCTTCCCCCAGGACAGCAGACAGCAGACAGCTGCACCCAGTGGGTGCTGGAAGCAGCATGCCCCATCCATTTCTCTCCCTGCCCATCCCTCCGTCCACCCACCCCTTTCTCTCTCCACCCACCCAGTACTTCATCTATCCAGCTGTCCACCCATCTACCCGCCACCCATAACTGACCACAATTCAGCCCCCCATCCACCTGCCCATCCCTTCCTCTGCCTATCTGTCCACCCCCGGGGTACCTACTCCATGCCAGGCCCCGCACTGGCTCAGGAAGCACAGGCTCTTTCCCAGGGTCCACAGCAGCCACAGGCCTCAAATTCCCGAGAGCCAGAAACCTGGAGTTGTGGGTGAGAGCAGGGGCCACGTAAACAAAAGCAGCCGTGATCTGGGCTGAGTAAATCCAGGCCCGGCACCAGTGCCATCCTACACTCCAGACACACACATGTGCAGGCGCAAAGACAGTGCCTTCCCGGGCCTCTCACAGCCCCAGGCCATGGAAGCTGCAGGGGAGGAAGGGAAGAGGGGCCACCCCCGCCCCGGCCGGCTCACCCAGTCAGCAGGCTTATCTCCTCCACACTCAAGGTTCCCTTCCCGGACAGAGCTTCAGAGGCTATTTCAGGAACGACAGCAACCAGACTACAAATCTGCTGCGAGGCGGCCTGAGAAGCCATCCTCTCCAAGGCTGAAGAAAAGGGGGGCATCAGATGGCCCCACAGGCCTTCAAACAGCCCTGCACATGCAGACCGAGCCCCACACACCTGATCACACCTGACCCATCACCAGGTCGGACACCGAGTTCCAGCCCCAGAGACACATGAGGACAAACTCAGAGAGGCAAGGTGGCTGCCCAGGGCCTCTCAACACCCCAGGCTGCCCCCAGCCACGGCCATTGGCTCACAGATCGCCACTCCTGGACCCAGTGGAGGCCAGGAGAGTGAGGCCCATCCGACTCCCGGACACCCCCGGAAACCCAGGTCCTGCAGCAGTACCACCCAGGACAGGGGCCATCCACAGGAGGCCACACCCCCATGCAGCAGACAAGACCGACAAGAGGGCCACCTGCACAGGCAGCAACCCTCAACCAGAAGCAGTCACGCCCCAGCCTGGGGCAAAGTGCTCCTCCAGAGGCTTGAAGCAGTCTTTGGGGCCAGAGAGAGATCTGGTCCCCCACTGTGGAGACACACCTACCACCCTCTCATAAGGGCCTCGGCCACAGCCACCCGGATGGGGGGTTGCTCCCACCCAGCCCCACTGCCCCACAAGAGCGGAGTCCCCAGCGTTCCCCAGCAGTGGGCACAGGGCTTTGGCAAAGGGGCCCATGCAAATTTGCGGTCCAAGGTCCACTTACAGCTGGGCTGACAGTCCCTGTACCTGAGAGGCCTCCAAAACACATGGACACAGACTGGAGCCTTTCTACTGTGGGCCTTGGAGCCACAGGAAAAAAGGGAAGGAGGGAGGGAGGGAGGGAGGGAGGAGGCCTGTGGAGGCCAGGGCCTTGAGCTGGGAAGCAGGACTGATGCCACAGAGTAAACAAGTACCTGTACCCGCAGGGCCACCTGGGGGCTTGGGCACCTGCTCCTCCCTTGGGGCATTGCTGCCCTCCACCAGCCACAGAGCCCTTTGAAAGACCAGGGATATGGGCGCAGTATCTGTCCAGCCAGAGAAATGCAGGCCAGCAGCACAGGCTCCGCCGCCCTGCAGCCACCCTGCCCGGCCTGCCCACAGAGAATCAGGTCACGCAGGGACTCACCCTGCCCCGGAGTCCTGCCCCCAGCTGGGCCACAGGCTGGTAGGGGTCTGGGCCCTGTTGCATCTCCGGACACCTCTGCTGCCCATGGGCACTGCAAGCAAGGACTCGAGTGAGGGGCCCCCTGGGGGTGGCAGTCAGGACACCAAGGCCTGTCTGGGTTTTGGAGGAACTGAGCTTCCACACCTGCACTGGGGTGCGGCTCTGGAGCCTAGAGGAGAAACAGGGGTTCACGTCAGCTACTATTAAATTCAGTTTGTCTGAAAGACTGCGAAACCACACACCTTTTCTGGCTAGCAGATAACCACATTTAAAAAAAAAAAAATTCTTACTAAACCAGTCCTCTGACCCAGCCGCAGGTTTTGGCCACCTGTGCTGCATGGGAAGGAGAGTGGGTTTTAAGCAGAAGGGAATCCCTGCCTGATTTCACGACTCCATTCATCTACCTCTGAGACCCAGGCCTCTCAACACAAAGGGGGAACTCTTTGTAGGCAGGAGGGCGGAGGGGGCCTCCGGGGTGGTCTGGGGGGAGGGACCACGCCCTCACGGTCAGCCGTTCACCCCCAGGGCCGCCCTCTACTGTGGACGGAACAACAAGCTGACTTGTCCCTGCCCGGTTGGCTTAGAGGAAGTCAGTACTGCCAGTCGCCACAGTGCCACAGCCTGCCCCCACAGAGGGAGCTACAGACTGGCAGTGACCCCTACATACCCTTAAAGGAACCAGAGCTGTCTCAGACCCGCACAGCTCCTCATTACCTAAGACAGGTAAGCCTTCACCTGCTCCCTCCAAGCCCTGCAGTGAGGAACTACATGGGGTTGTCCTCTAGGAACCCTGATTGCCCCCCACCCCTGCCCCTGTTATGGCCTGAAGTCAGGGAGTGTCACATGCATGCTTTGTCTCTGCCCAGCTCCAGGCAGGCCACACAGTCCCTGGACACCACGCCCCACATCCTAACCTCACACCACCGGGCGCCACGGGGCGCCCAGAGGAGACAGACCACAGTGTCCCCACCACCGCGTCCCAAGGAAGTCCGTCTCTCGTTTTGCAGTTGAGGTAACATGGCCAGCTGGGAGCTGGGTGCAAACTCTGGTCTGTCTGCTCCAGAGCCCCATAAAGCCCCTGTGCCTGGGAAGGAAGGAAGCCATTCACAAAAGCATCCCAACAACCCCAAAGCCTCCCAACTGGGCACGGGAATCAGAAATGCACCATGGCAGGTGCGGCATGGGCAAAAATGGAACATGCAGCAAACCAGAAGTAATTTAATCCAATATTTGTCATCATTTATTGAGGACCTAACTAAGGCCATATGTCACAATTGGTGGATAGGTGATTCTTTCCTCCTTCTCTCCGTTATTTCTTGGTCATTGACTTACTGAGGAAATCAGGTCATGTGTCCTACAGAGCCATCCCCCACCACTGGGATTCTGCAAGTGGCCTCCTGTAGTATCATTTAGCGCGTTCCTCTGGCCCGAGTATTTCCAGTAAACTTGTACTTAGAGCACGAGGCTTGGTGAGATCGATCGATCCATCCATCCATCCATCCATCCATCCATCCATCCATCCATCCATCCATCCAGGCAAGGAAGCATTGTGGATGGGAGCACTTTCTGTGCACTGTCCGAAGGCCTTTACTGCTTTGGAGAGGTTGGCAGCTGTGACGCTGCATGCGGAATCCCTGACCTCACCAGGAGCTGGAGCCTGGCAGGACTTCAGCAGCACTGCCGCCTCAGGCATCTGCGGGAGTCCCAAAGAAGGACGCAACCCCATCAGCTACTGGGTTTCCCCGAGTTACAGTTCACAGGTTAATCACGACTGGGACACATGTCAGATTCTCTCCGTTTGCTTGCCAGGATTCAACATCATGAGCGGTCTCCCTATTGACCTCCACAGATCTTTAGAGAAATGCAAATCAAAGTCCACTGGTTTTGCCCCTCAGTATCAGGATGAACTTGGGATCTGAACCCCATCAATGCAGCTCATCCACTTCCTCTGTTATTTTCAGTGAGGCTTACCCACTGCATCTTCAGCTTGGGGAGAAGGGGGAAGACAAGGACCCCTTCAAGTTCCAGTGACATGGCCCTAGGGGGCCTCTGATAACTTCCCTGCCTTCTGCTGTGATGAATACTCCAGGCTTAGCTTGCACATCTTCTGCCACAGACCTGGAATCCGCCAGGGGCCCTGGTTTCTTTCAGGGGGAAATGGTACCTAGAGGCCACAGTCTGGGGTCTAGAGATGCTCTTAGCTGCTGAGTGGTCCTTGGTCCTGGGCCTTTCCAGGAAACAGAGATATTTAAGTAAACGTCATCCTGGATGCATACTGATAGTCCTCATTCAAATGCAGGGATGGAGGATTTTTGCGTAACCTCTTCTAACTTACATCTGTTTTTTTTTTTTTTCTCCCATGCCAAAAGTTTCCATTTTATTCAACTTTTTTAATAGGTTCAGGAGGTACAAGTGCAGGTTTGTCACAAAGGTATATTGCATGATGCTGAGGTTTGGAGTACAAACGATCCGGTCTCCCACGTAGTGCGCACAGCACCCACAGGTAACTTTTCAAACCTTGCTCCCCTTCCCCCCTCCCCACTCTTGTATTCCCCAGTGTCTCTTGTTCTCATCATTATGTCCACATGGATTTGATGTTTAGCCCTCACTTATAATCCATGAGACCACGCAGTATTTGGTTTTCAGTTTCTGCATTAATTCACTTAGGATAACGACCTCCAGCTGCATCCATGTTGCTGCAAAGGACATGATTTTCACGTCTGCATAGTATTCCATGGTGTATATATATCACATTTGCTTTATTCGATCTACCATTGACAGGCACCTGAGTTGACTCATGTCTTTCTGCCATGAATGTTTAGGTGCATATGTCTTTTTGGTAGAACGACTAATTTTTCTTTGGGTATAAACTCAGCACACGGGACTGCTGGATCGAATGGTAGTTCAACTCTTGGTTCTTTGGGAAATCTCCAAACTGCCTTCCATGGTGGCTGGACTCATTTACACTCCCGTCAACAGGGTGTAAGTGTTCCCCTTTCTCTACTGCCTCTCCAGCATCTGTTGTTTTGAGACTTTTTAAACAAAGGCCATTCTGACTGGCGTGAGATGGTATCTCATTGTGACTTTGATTTGCATTTCTCTGATGATCAGTGATGAGCATTTTTTCATGTGTTTGACTGTTTGTATGTCTTCTTTTTAAGAACTGTCTACCATATCTTTTGCCCACTTTTTGTTTTTTTGGGTTTTTTTTTTTTTTTTTTTTTTTTTTTGAGACCGAGTCTTGCTCTGTCACCCAGGCTGGAGTGCAGTGGCGTGATCTCGGCTTACTGCAAGCTCCGTCTCCTGGGTTCACGCCATTCTCCTGCCTCAGCCTCCCGAGTAGCTGGGACTACAGGCGCCCACCCCCACGCCCGGCTAATTTTTTTTTTTTTTTTTTTTTTTTGGATTTTTAGTAGAGACAGGGTTTCACCATGTTAGCCAGGATGGTCTCGATCTCCTGACCTGGTGATCTGCCCACCTTGGCCTCCCAACGTGCTGGGATTACAGGCGTGAGCCACCGCGCCCGGCCCTTTTGCCCACTTTTTAATGGGGTTGTTTTTTTGCTTGTTGATTTGTTAATTCTTTGTAGACTTTGAATATTAGGCCTTTGTCAGTTCAAAGTTTGCTAATATTTTCTCCCATTCTGTAGGTTATCTGTTTATTCCCTTGGCAGTCTCTCTTGCTGTGCAGCAGCTCTTTAATTAGGTCCCACTTGTGAATTTTTAGTTTTGTTGCAATTGCTTTTGAGGACTTATTAGCTATATATTATTTGCCAAGGCCAATATTGAGAAGACTATTTTCTTCCAGGATTTTTTCAGTTTGTAATCTAATGTTTACATCTAATCTTTTTTAATTTTTTTTTTTTTGTTTTGAGATAGAGTTTTGCTCTTGTCACCCAGGCTGGAGCGCAGTGGTGCAATCTCCTGCCTCAGCTTCCCGGGTAGCTGGGACCACAGGTGCGTACCACCACACCCAGCTAATTTTTGTATTTTTAGTAGAGATGGGGTTTCACCACCTTGGCCAAGCTGGTCTCAAACTCCTGACCCCATGATCCACCCACCTTGGCCTCCCAAAGTGCTAGGATTACAGGCATGAGCCACTGTGCCTGGCCACGTCTAATCTGTCTTTAATTTTTGTATATGGTGATAGATAGGAGTCTGACTTCATTCCTCTGCATATGGGGAGCCAGTTATCCCTGTGCCATTATTGAATATGAAGTCTTTTCCCCATGGCATATTTTTGTTGATTTTATTGATGATCAGATGGCTGTAGGTGTGTGGCTTTATTTCTGAGTTCTCTATTCTGTTCCATTGGTCTATATGTCTATGTACCAATACCATGCTGTTTTGGCTACTGTAGCCTTGAAGTATAGTTTGAAGTCAGGTAATGTGATGCCTCTGGCTTAGTTCCTTTTTTGCTATTTCGGCTCTTTTTTGGTTCTACATGAATGTTAGAATAGTTTTTTCTAATTCTATGAAAAGTGGCATTGGTAGTTTGATAGGAATAGCATTGAATCTGTAGATTGCTTTGGGCCGTATGGCCATTTTAACAATATTGATTCTTCCAACCCATCAGCATGGAATGTTTTTCCATTTCTGTCATCTATGATTTCTTTCAGCAGTGTTTTGTAACTCTTGTGTAGAGATCTTTCACCTCCTTGGTTAGATGTATTCCTGGGTATTTTATTCTTTTTGTGTCTATTATAAATGGAATTGCATTCTTGATTTGGCTCTGAGTTTGAACATCATTGGTGTATAAGAATGCTGCTGATTGGCCAGGCACGGTGGCTCAAGCCTGAATCCCAGCACTTTGGGAGGCCAAGGCGGGTGGATCACAAGGTCAGGAGATCAAGACCATCCTGGCTAACACGGTGAAACCCCGTCTCTACTAAAAAATACAAAAAATTAGCCGGGCGTGGTGGCAGACGCCTGTTGTCCCAGCTACTTGGGAGGCTGAGGCAGGAGAATGGTGTGAACCTGGGAGGCAGAGCTTGCAGTGAGCCAAGATCTCATCACTGCACTCCAGCCTGGGTGACAGAGTGAGACTCCATCTCAAAAAAAAAAAAAAAGCTGCTGATTTTTGTACATGGATTTTGTATCCTGAGACTTCACTTACAGTTCCAGAAGGCTTTTGGCAGACTCTTTAGGGTTTTCTAGGTATAGAATCTTATCATCATCGGTGAAGGGAGATGATTTGAGTTCCTCTTTTCCTATTTGGATCCCCTTTTATTTCTTTCTCTTGCCTGATTTTTCTGACTAGGACCTCCAGTATTATTTTGAATAGGAGTGGTGAAAGTGGGCATCCTTGTCTTGTTCCTATTCTTAAGGGGAATGTGTCTCGCTTTTACCCATTCAGTACCACATTTACCATGGGTTTGTCATAGATGGCTCTTATTGAGATATGTTCCTTTGATGCCTATTTTTGTTGAGGGTTTTTTAATGAAGGGATGATGAATTTTATCAAAAGTTTTTTTCTACATCTATTGAGATGATCATACGGTTTTTGTTTTTAATTCTGTTTACATGTGAATCATATTTTGTAAAACCTCCATTCTTGGTGATACCAACACAATTACTTACCTTAACCTGCAATTCCCATGCAGCACTCTTAGAATAATATAACAAATAGTATCACAACAATTATGTGGCCACTGCATGCAGCTCTATTTGTCTTCAGCAGTAACCCGCTAGAAATATGTCACCTGAAATCAGTCCTTCTGGGTGGTTAAGCCACTAATTCAGCACACATTTTTAGGCTCATTTGTTTCATTTCAATTTTGAGGGACTACTTTTTCTGGTTAAGATTTATTTAGGGATTTTTCACCAAGCGATTACGAACAGCTTTTTAAAAATTACGCAAGCTATTGATTTACATGGCTTCAAAGTGAAATCTATAAAACCAGGTACATTCAGAGGCATCTTGATTCCATATGCCACCTCCCCCCCCGCCACCCTTTTGAGGTAAACTTTTAAGATTTGGAGGCTTCCATTGCTTTCGTTTTTAATATACATCCAGACTTGCATCCTCCCCTTTATCAGATGAAGAATAGCTGCTATATTTTTATTCACTGTGCTTTTTCACTTAAAAAGCATCCTGATACGCCAGGTGTGGTGGCTCATACCTGTAATCTAAGCACTTTGGGAGGCTGAGGTGGGAGGACTGCTTGAGGCCAAGATTTCAAGACCACCCTTGCCAACACAGCAAGACCCTGCCTGAAAAAAATAATTAAATAAATCCTGATAATCACTTCATAATAAGAGAGATCTATGCATTCCTTTTTTACAGCTGCATAATATTCCACAAATCTCTGATTCAACCAGTCTCCTACAATGGGCATTTGCAGTTTTCCAAACAGTACTTTCACAAGCAGCCCTGCACACGCAGCTTCTCCTGCCTTTGCCAGTGCCTTCAGGTAGGTTCTGGGGAGGGGGTTGCTGGGTCACAGGTCAGTGAAGACAGTTTTGCTAGATGTTGCCAAATCCCTTCCTCACAGAGTCTACCCTCTTGCATGCCTACCAGCAAATGCCAAAGGATTTCTGCCAGCCAGAAGGGACCTCAGTGACATTTTCCTCGACACCCCTCTCGCCAGGAGTGAAGGCGGCACCTTCTCACATGTTCAAGGTCCCCCTGTGGGTCACTGTCCTGTGAGTGGTATTCACATCTCCTGCTGGCTGTGGGTTTTCTTCTGTTTTCAGAAACTCTTTCTGTAGTAAACAGATTAACCCTTCGTGAAACATCACATCTTCCCCCAGCCTGGCAATTGGCTGTTTCCCATTAAGATTTTTTTTTTTCCCTGAGATGGAATTTCACTCTTATTGCCCAGGCTGGAGTGCAACGGCGTGATCTCGGCTCACTGCAACCTCCACCTCCCGGGTTCAAGTGATTCTCCTGCCTCAGCCTCCCAAGTAGCTGGGATTACAGGCATGCACCACCACGCCCGGCTAATTCTGTATTTTTAGTAGAGACAGGGTTTCACCACGTTGGTCAGGCTGGTCTCGAACTCCCGACCTAAGGTGATCCGCCCGCCTTGGCCTCCCAAAGTGCTGGGATTACAGGCGTGAGCCACCGCACCCAGCCAAGGTTGCTTCTTTCTTATGTGGTCAAACACATAAATCTCCTCCACGCATCTAGCATTCAAGTCATAGAAAAGTTTCTTCGCTCTCAGGGTAAAGAATTCCAGGCGCTTTCTTTAGGTACCCAAGTGGTTTTCTGACCCACTGGGAGTCTATCCTGGTGTGTGATGTGACAAGTGGGTGCAGTCTGGTCACTTTCCACATGGCCACCCACCCACCCCGCAGCACGCATGAAGCCGCCCATCTGTTCCCCACTGGTTGGAGATGCTGCCTCTTTTACGAAACTTCATATACAATGGAGTTACATGCGGTTTTTAAAAAGCTGTTCCATTGGTGATCTGCCTGCCTATAAGGCAATGTCATGCTGTTTTAATTAGCAAAGCTGTATGTTTTATAATATTTGAGCCATCCTAGCCAAGAGCACAGACGTGACTCTTCACAAGAGAACAGCTGGAGACGTCACGGAATAGAATGCCAAGCCCAGGGCCCGTCAAGATCAAACGCTTGAAGCGCATGGTTCCCGGGGCTGCTTAGATATAGCCAGAGGAGGTTCCCGCCCCGTCTCCAGCTGCTCCCCTCTTTGGGGCAGGGTGGGGATGCCTCTGGGAGGGGTCTACCCCTCTCAGTCAGAGCTCCTTCTGCTCCCTCCTCTAAGCTGCCCGGGCTGCTCTGCGTGGAAGTCGAGGACACAGCCCCTGGCCCCAGGGTGGGGTGAGGGGTCCCAGTGCAGCTGGGCTGTCTCCATGCAGAGGAGCATTCCAGGGCCGAAGGGAGTACAGGGGTGGGGGTCCCTGTCCAGCTGCTCTGCCTGTGGTTCCTGCTTTCTGAATCTCTTCAAATCTCTGCCTGGAGCAAGTTCAGCCAGGAGCCGGGGAGAGCTACTCAGAGCACCCTTTCAGTGCGCCCCAGAGTATGATTTTGGAAGGCAGCAGAGAAAGGTGTGCACCTTAGCAGATATGGAGGGAAAGCTAAGAGCCCCCGCCCCCAGGGAACCTGCACTCTCTGGGTGAGGGCAGCCGTAGCTCACCCGCTGCCAGGACGCAGGCACAGACCAAGGCTTTGAGAGCCAACTCTCAAAGGGGACAGTCCTCAGGGTGCTTCCTGGTGGCAAGTGCTAGGTGGGAGTGGGGGTGCCCATGGATACAAACTGGGCCTGAGGCCAGGAATAGTGCACCACCTCACTTGAGACCACAGCATCCTAAGGGCTTCTGGGCATCCTAAGGGCTTCTGGGTGTCCTGAGGGCTTTCTGGGTGTGGCATGAGCAAAGTGGCCAGGCCTAGTTGTCTCATCTGTAAGGCGACCCAAATGTCCTCATCTGTGAGTGGAGGAGCGAAATGGGGAGCAGAGCCCAGGCCCCAGGTCCCAGAGCGGGCAGGGGCCTGTCCTGGAGTCAGCTCCCCAGCCCGGCTCTTCCATCAGGAGAAGTTCCTGCCAGAGGCGGCCAGGCAGATGCCAACAGACTCCAGGCGGCTCATCCTGAGAGTCCGGTGCCGATGAGGGAGCCACGACCCTCCTGGGAGCCTTTCTGCTGGTCCATCCACCCAGTGCCTGGGACCACAGCCAGGTCCTTCCAGTGCTCAGAACCCTCCAAGGGCAATGACAGTGCCGATCCCATGGCCCCGAGCCTCAATCCTCTAAGACAGGGTTCTCCAACCCCGGGTCCGTGGCCTGTTAGGGAGCAGGCCGCACAGCAGTGAGTGAGCGTCAGGTGAATGTGCACGGCCACCTGAGCTCTACCTCCTGTTGGATCAGCGGTGGCATTAGATTCTCACAGGAGCACAAATCCTATTGTGAACTGCGCACACAAGGGATCTAGGTTGCACGCTTCTTATGAGAATCTAATACCTGATGATCTGAGATGGAACAGTTTCATCCCAAGATCACCACTGCCCGGGTGGAAAAATCTTTCTTCCATAAAACAGGTCTCTGGTACTAAAAAGGTTGGGGACTGCTGCTCTACGGGGAACGGTGTTTCTGCAGAAGGGCTCAGGCACCCCCTTGGACCCACCACCCTTAACCTGGATCCTTCTGGAAGCACCATGCCTGCTCAGATGGACCCCACACCCTGAACCAAACATTAGAACTTCCCAGGAGATGGTCGAGAAGTGGGAAGACACCTGGGTCCCATCATGGATCTTCCCCACCTCCAGCCAGGGCCTGCTCCCCAGAGAGAAGCCCCTCCCCAGCCAGCACCCACCCACGTGGGGCTCCCAGAAGAGGGCTGGGCCAGGCAGCAGAAGCCACACCCTATCACATGGTCAGATGCCTCGTGTAAAAGCGGCCCCCTGGACTAGGGTCACGCGGCATCCCTGTGGTCACCCAGCCAGTACCAGAGACACCAGCCGCCTCCCTTTGTCAACCACGATAATTTTGCATCTGTGAGGTCTGGGGTTTCTCATGGTGGTTGGAGGAGCTGCTGGAGAGAGACAGCTACCCACCAGGAAGGGGTGTGGAGGCCAGGACGGTCTCACCGACGTGCCCGCAGGGACCCCAGATGCAAGCAGAGCATGGTGTAGGAGCATCCGGGGCTGGAGTGACCCACAGTGACAGCAATCCCATACTGGCCAGCCCCAAGGCACCTCCCGAGAGTGAAGCCAGACGCTGCCGCCCTCCCCTCTGTAACCAAATCCTTGGGGTCTGGGTCAAAGTGGCCCAGGATGGTGATATTCATTGCCTCATTCTCCCCTCCAGCAGCAGATGTTGGGCTTCTGGAAGCTTCTCTGCGGCATCTCCCCGGGCCGACACCATGCTCTCCCAGCACTGGCCACACACCAGCAACTCGTCTTGGGCATCTGCTGTCTCTCAGCTCTTCCTGGGCCTGGAATGTTCTCCTGGCATCACCGCCCTTGGGAGCTGTCTCCTCCCACAGATGCCTGAGATGAGATTGTCCCAGCCTTGTTGTTCTTGCCCGTGGACAGAGTCTTGAATCACAGCAAGATATCGCAGGGGCCAAAAGCCAGTTTGGAATGTCAGGGCTACGGAGGGCTCGTCCACCTCCCAGACAAGGCGGGTGGAATGCAGGGAACTGGGGGCCCTGCCTAGGGCCGAGCAGGGGCTCAGGACCAGGACGTGTGCATCTGCACCTTGGCTACAGGGACCGGTGGCATTCCCATCGCTGGAAGGCATGAGCTCCCTGGACCCGCTGCATCAGGACCCCTGCGTCAGGACCAGCTCCCTGGACCCGCTGCCCTGTTAACAGCATCCCTAGGACTCGAGGACGCTTGCTCGTGTGAGCAGCTCTGGATCACACTGGCAAGGACGTCAAGTGCAGAAGGAGCAGACTTGAAACCAGCCTAGCAGCAGGAGGGGAATTCTCGGCACCCAACGCCTTTAAAAACGGGGGCATCAGCCACCCGGGTGGAGTTGCCTGGCAACCCCTGTCACTCTGACACCCTCGGTGGGCACGGTGCTCCTGCCCATCTCAGCTGCCCCCAAAGGCACTCAGCTCCGCACAGCCTGTTTCCAGCTCTGGAGCACACATAGGGTGGGTTTGGAGCTGTTCACCCTTCCTGTCCTCTGCAAGACGTGCCACATGCCAGGATGGCACGTGGCAGAACTCATAGCAGCAGCTGACGTGCCAGCTCCCTGGCTCCAACCACCTGACCCCGCACTGGCCGGCCCAAAAGCATCCCAGGCCTTCAGGCCCAGCGGAAGTTCATCCCATCGGTACCCAGGAGTGTCCCCGCAAAGCCCCTCCCTCAGACCCGGCCCTGTGACACAACGCAGCCCGCACGTTATATGCAAAGGTTCCAGTACCTCGCAACTGCCAAGCAAAAAGGGACCCTCCTGCCCCCAGTACCCCAGGGTTGTAGGCTCAAGCTGCGGGCACCATGCCCACAGGGAGCTGTGGCTTCAGTGCCAGGCACGGGTGAATGTTCCCTCCAACCGAGGCACCCTGCACTGAAGGTGCCAGCACCAGGAGCCTGCCACAGAGAATGAGACGCAGACTCAGAAGGCCCAGGACCCTGGCCAAGGCAGCCCAGCCACAGGGCCATGCCCAGACACAAAGCCCTGCCACCTGATCCATGCCCACCAGGCACTGCCCAGGCCACCTGCAAGGACCCAAGTCCCTACCACCCTCCTGATCCCCTGTCCCCACACAGGCTGGGGAGGCCCTTTCTCCCAGGCTCTAGGCTCTTGCCACCTGGACTACCCCCTCCCCAGCTGACGGCCAGGGGTAAGGGATGCCTGTGTTCCCCCCAACTAGTACGAAGCCACAGTTAGGCACTCGACATGTTGGCAAGAGCGGATCTAGAAACACTGGGCCGGGTCTGCGATGTAGGTGAGGGGACCCCAGACAGCCAGGGGATGAGACCAAGGGCTCATGCCCCACAGAAGGTAGCACTGGGAAAAGCCCCAAAAGGAATTCCCAGTTTTCCTGGGAATCTAGGGCTGAGGAGTGGGTGGACAGATCTTAAAGAAGATGGAGAGAAAGAGACCTGATGGCTCAGAGAGCCCCGTCCTCCTCTGTGCCCAGCCCCACCACCTGCCTTGGCCTCTGGCCTCCCTGCCCAGCTGCAGAACAACTGCCCAGCAGCTGCTTCAGACTCCAATGCCAGAGCCTGGAGATAGGAGGGCACTGGAGTCCACAAAGTTGGGTGCTGCACCCTGAGAGCTGGCTCTGCATGGCCTTGTCTTTTGGGGAGGCAGCCAGATCAGCCCCATCCACCTCTGGGACCTGCTTCTGGCTCCATTGTTGATTAACACGCACCCGCGAGGGTTCTGCCAACACCCCTGGAAAGTTCTTGGGAAACAGGGAAAGCCAAGGCTGTAGGAGCGGGGAACAGGGGCTGCTGAGCCAGACTTAGGTTTGAGAGCCTACAGGGGCAGTCTCCATGCACTGCAGGTCCCCCCTCAAATCCCTCTCCTTGGCCACAACCAGGATCTCCAAGCATCTCAGCAACCAGAGTAGATGCCACCTGGATGTCCACACCCCTGGCTAAGGCTCACAGCAAGGGAGCTAGGACCGCTGGGTGCAGCAGGGCTGTATGGACCCCCATCCCCTCAGCTAAGATGGGAGCTGCCCCCAGTGGGGGCGCAAGCAACCACAGATAACTGGGGGTGTTGGGGGCAGGAAGCCTAAGCGGGCAAGAGTTGTGGCCCAGGTGCCGTGTCCACCCCGGCCAGCCCAGGGAGGCCAGAAGGAACACAGGAAGAGCTGCTCTCCTGGGGAGGGGGGGTTCCCCGAGGAGGGGACAGGATATCCTGGCTGGCTTCCCCAGGCGCACACAGGAGAGTTCGCCCTAGCCCTGTAGGGTCAGCGGAACACCGGCTCCTGCCTCAACCCCCCTGCACACATGCCTGGGCCCTGGCTCTTCAAGGCCAGGCTTGTCGTCTTCAGGCCAGAAACCACAATATTTCTCATTTCACAATCCACCTAAGGACAGGGCCCTGTCTCCGCCACCATTGCCAAGACTTCTTACAGCAACACAAGGCTGGACTGGCGCAAGGCTGGACCTGATTTCGTGAGGCTGCAGGTGGCCTCCAGCTACTCTGCCATCCTGGTTCTATGACCAGGTCTCCCCTCAAGAGACTGGTCCTGCCAACCTCCTAGGGCACTGAGGGTGGGAGCGCATCTCCCAGGCCCCCACCAAGCCACATGTCCTGCCCAGTCAGGGTCCACCTCCAGTCCCACCCCACATGGAGGTACCTGGGTTGGAGGCTGTTCATGACAACTTCCCAGGGCCAGGCACACGTCTTACAAGGACAGGACCCAGAACTGGAAAGGACCAGCCCCAGATCTGGCCACTTCACAGAAGCATCCCTTTCCTGGCCACCCCTTCACAGAAGCCATCCTGCCCCTGTCCCCAGAAGCCACCCCTGCCTTGCCAGCTCTGCGGAGGCTGGGCGAAGGTAGACTCTTGCTGAGCAAACTTCCGAGACCTAAACAATCCAAATGAGGAAGAAAACACAAGTGCAAGCAGAGACTTCCTCTGGGGCGTGGCGAGCCCTCTTCCTCCTCTTCCTCCACACGGGTGGCTGCAGTGAGCCCGGAGGCATGTGTCCACAAACCTGAATACAAGTGAGAATTGAGGGGGTCTGCGGGCACTTTGCCTTGGCCTCTGGCTGAGGAGGTCTTCCCACCCTTGGACATCTCAGAGAGTCTGGGGTCCGGGAGGCAGGTGGCCACCAGCACACAGCACCTGTGAACCTGGCATCTGCTAGACATTTGCACAGTGGCATCGGACTGGGTTCCCCTGGGGTCACTGCACACAAATATCTCCCAAACCCCAAGCCGAGCCCCCGCTGTTGCAGCCACGAGCAGAGCCAGCTCCTCTCACAGACCAGCAGCGGCTGTGGCTCAGGCACCCACTGACATGTCAGGAGACAGGGGCTTGGGAGCTGGGGTGGGGAAAAGTCTCCAAGATCACCCCCCAACCACATCTTTGAGGAGGGAGGTGGGTAAGACTTCCCCTTCCTGATGTGGAAGGCCACCTCTTAGCAAGGAAGGCAGTAGCCCTGCGACCCCTACCCCACCCCCTCACCTGAGACGATGCTTGAAGCCATTTGGGGCCTGGCTCCTGCTGTCACCCGCCCTGAGGCCCTGGTGGCAGCTGCCAGCAGGCATGGACAGGCCTCTGGATGCCCTCCAGCCAGTTCTCTACTGAGCCTGCCCGAGGCAGAGGAGATGCTTCCACCTGAGGACGCTCAGGGAGACCACCCTTCAGCCCTCAGGTGAGCCCCACAGCCATCAGCCATGGGATGTCTGGGTAGAGGCTCCCAGGCCAGAGGCTGGCACCACACCAAAAGGCCGCTGGCTGGGCAGCCAGGAAGTAGGGCCACTGGGGCAGCGGGGGAAGGCCCCAGGCAGGCATGGAGGAGAGCAGCCTGGACCTTCCCGGAGGTGACTTCCCAGGCCTGTCCCTGAGAAATCCAGTGCCCAGCCCTGCTCAGGCACGCTGTACCGGGAATTGGAACCACCTGGTAACAGGGGGGCCAGGTGCCTCTGCTACCAGCGCTGCTTTCTCCGGGAGCACAGCTGCCTCTTAGTGAGAGCTGCAAACGTGCCTCTCCGCTCTCTGCATCAAGCCAGGTTTTCATGAGCTTGGTTCAATTAGTTAATGTGGGGCCCGTGGGGACGGCCCGTGGCATGCTGAGCCCTCAGGGAGCACCGCCACCGTCACCTTCCTATCCTGGACAGCCCCCTGCCCCAGAGTCCACCTGGGCCTCAGGGGGTCTGAGATGCGGCACCGGACATCAGGGGCCTTCTCTCTTGGGGGCTCCTGAGCCTCGAGTCTCAGCCGACCTTGAGGAGTTATCTTACTGCACCCAAGGGTGCGCTCCCCAGCACGCTTCTCTTCCCAGAAGGATTCACACCTGGACTACCCTCCCGGAGGTGTGGAGCCAAATTCTGGGCTCCAGGTGGTCCCCTCCCCAGCCGGCTCCCTCCCCACGCCGGGCCTGCGAGAAGATGCGCACCCCCAGACACAGCAGCGCCTCTGAACTTCAAGGGAGAGTGCAGAGTTTGTGTTTCTGCGTTTCCCCACTTCCTTCCCTCCTCTGCTCCGGGGTCGCAGCTCCGACGGGGCAGGTGGCGCTGGGACAGAGCTCCCCCACACCAGCTCTCAGGAAGCACCTTCGTGCCGGCCGTCGCCGGTGGCGATACTCACACGGCGAAGTGGTAAACGAAGCATTTCCAGCCGGTGGGACGCTCGAGGAAGTTGTAGACGCGGCCCTGGACGTGGGTGCGCGCCAACACCGGGCGGCGCGTGCTGTAGATGGAGACGCGCGGGTCTAGGCTCACCGGCGGCCGCGGGCCAAGGTCGGAGGCAACTGGGGGCGCGGCGGGCGCGGCCGGGGACGCAGGGGGCGCGGGACCTGGGGCGCCGGGCGCGATGGGCGCGTAGAGCGCGCCGCCCGCCGGGCCGCCCTCCGCCAGCTCCAGCGAGAAGGGGCACTTCTTGGCCAGGCCCGCGCTGCCCCGCCGGGCGCCTGGCAGGCGGCCCCAACCCCAGCGCTTCCTCTCGGCCCTGGGCGGGGAGGAGGCCGCGGCCATAACGAGGAGGGCCTGCCGGGGGGCCGGCCCGAGCGGCGGCACCGGGAGCTGCAGCGAAGGCGAGCGCCCGGGCGCAGTGCGGGCAGCCACTGCTGCCAGCCCCGCCGCGGGGGGCCGCTGCCGGCCCAGCCCGGGCGCTCGGGGCGGGGCCGGAGGGGGCAGTGGCCGAGGGCCGGTCCCATGGGACGGCGTGCCCCGCCCCCGCCTGCACGCCCCGCCCCCGCCGGTCCGGCGCGCACAGGGCGTCCCTGCCCGCGCCCACCGGCTTGGCCCGCCCTCTCCCCACGGACCGGCCTGGCCCTGCCTCCGCCTCACCCCCTGGCTTGGCCTGTCCGCGCCCCCGCCCCCGCCTGCGCCCCCGCCCCCACCCCCACCCCCGCCCGAGCCCACCTGCTTAGCCCCGCTCGTGTCATCTATCCCGCTTGGCCCCGCCCCCTCCTCGCCCACCTGTTTGGCCCCGTTCCAGTGTGCATTTACCCCGCCTGGCCCCGCCCCCTCCCCGCCCACCTGCTTGGCCCCGCCCTCACCCACCTGCTTGGCCCCGCCCCGTCTGCATCTCCCCTGCTTGCTCCTGCCCTGCCCTCACCCACCTGCTTGGCCCCCACTTCTGATGCCCGCCTGCTCTGCCTGGCCCGGAGGAGGACCCCAGCTGCGCCAGGGAGGAAGGGGTAAGGCCTGGCCGATACCACGACCGAGAACGGCACAGCGGGGGCAGGAGGGGCGGGGTAGGGTGCCGGCATCTACTTTCCCTCCCTCTGAGCCACTCCGGAGTTGGGGTTGGGGGGAGGAAAGGGATGTCCTGGGTGAGGGTGTGCTGGCCCCGCGATCACTGTGAGCGCCCCCGGGTGCCCAGGCGCGCGAGCTGCGGGCGGCGAATACGCTCGGGTCGCTTCCCACCAGGGCCCTTGGACCGGGAGGGTGAGATGGGACCACCACTGTCAGGTACCTCCCAGTGGGAGCTGTGTGGGTGGGGAGCCGGCAGGGCTGCTGGGGGGTGGGGGCGGCACAGCCGGGGTCTGGACCTGGTTTGACTGCCGGGCATAGCAGGCGGGGCTGCCTGGGCAGTTAAAGGGAGAGGCGCTTGCGCCACCCTAGTAACTTGGAGAATGGGCGCCTTGTCCTCCCCACCGTCGAGACCGCGCTGCCGCTGCGCCCCGTGGATTCCCCTGGGTGGGGGTGGGTTGGTCACATCGGAAGATTTTCACAGGTCTCTGCACTGCCTCCCGCCCGCTACTGGCATTTGGGTCTCAGCACGTCTCAGGCTTGGGGGGGGGGTGGGGGGCAGCCAACAGAAGAGACCGGCTTTTTTCAGGATACTGCACACAGCCCTGAGGCAGGGACTAAAGGTGGAGCTCAGCGGTGACTCTCCGCCCCGCCAGGAGACCCATAACTCATGTGACACTTCCAGGTCGTCCCTGAGCACCCTGGGTCAATTTGATGTATCTACCACCCCCTGCCAAAAGTCTGCTCTTTTATCGTGGACGGAGTCCAGCCCAGGCCCTTGACGCCTGACTCCCCACCCTAGTGAGGTGCCACACAGGAGTGCACAGTCTGTATTTGCAGCAAGAGTGGATGGAGTGGGTCCCAGCTTGTGCTGGGCGCTGTGATAACACAAGGGAGGCCGAGGAGAGGGTACCTTCCTGGGAAGCATATCAGTGAAGGTGCAGAAGGGCAGCGGGTCAGAAGATGGGGGCAGTCAGTCAGCTCTGCAGGGCACACAGCACGCATTCAGCAGTTACTTTCCGGGTGAACATACATACACCTGCATGGAGTCTCTGCCTTCCCCTCCCACCTCAGCAGGAGGAAGGTGAGCTTTGAATAAGCAGCGTTTGGACAACTGGACAGTCATAAAGAAAGAAAAAGCATACCTTGGGTCCATCTCACCGCACACGAGAATAAATCTCAAATGAATCAGAGGCTCAAGTGTAAAGGGTGAGATGAAGCCATGCAAATTCTACAAGAATGTACAGGTCAATTCCTCAAGAACCTGTGAATCGGGAAAACATTTCCAACTATGACTTGAAATCCAAAAGCAACAGATAAAATAAGAAAAATTAAAATAGAAGCACCATTAGCAAAGTAAAGGAGACAAATGACCAAATGGGAAAAGTATTTGCAGTTTCGATCACAAAGGATTAATATCACTGATACATAAAGAACATCAAAACTGAGGTGAGGAACCTGCCAGACAGTCCTATAGAAAAGGGAGCAGAAGACATGAGCAGTTCATAGGAAATGGGGTTCATGACCTTTGCACTTATGAAAAAATGTTCAACCTCATTTATAACAAGAAAAATGCAAATGAAAAGTACACTCTGATACCACTGCTTGCTTATCAGATTGGCAAAAATCCAGACTTTTGATGGCAACTCTGTGGGAGAGGCAGCAGGCACAGGTGCACTCCTCATCACTGGTAGAAAAGAGACCTAGCGATATTACTAAATGTATCATTTGACACAGAAACCCCACTTCTAGGAAATAACCCAAAGATATGTAGGAAAAATAGAAAAGTACATATACATAATGATAGTCAAAACAGCATTTTTTATATTAGCAAAAGTCTAGAGACAATCACAATGTCCTTCAATCGCTTCAGCTGTGCTGTGGTACAGTCACACGATGGAGTGCCATGATCAATATGATCACTAATACTCAACCAAAGGATCCCAAAGAACTCTGTGTGTGTGTGTGTGTGTGTGTGTGTGTGTGTGTGTGTGTGTGTATCAAAGAATGATGCTAAATTCCTTTGGAACCAAGATTTTCAGTATAAAAGTGATACAGATTTAAAAAATCAAAGAAGTACAAACCAGTCCTTAAATTGAATGGACTATATTAGCATAGACTCCTCAGCTATTTTATCTTAGGAAAAAGGTATATCCTACTATTGTTCATTGTCAAGTTTGAGAAGGGGCTGATCAACAATGGGACAATTTGAGCATCAGAAAGAGTCATGGATGAAAACACATCAAATAGCTGAAAAGCCCATGCATTCATGATAATACTGAAAAATCCTATTTGATCTTCTGCAGGTTGCTTTGCTCATTATTCTGAAAACGAGTGAAAAGGCAGGGCGGTCAGGCAGGTCAAGCCTCCATATTTTAAAAATTCTAGGCCGGATGCAGTGGCTCACACCTGTAATCCCAGCACTTTGGGAGGCCGAGGCAGGCTGATCGCTTGAGGTCAGGAGTTTGAGACCAGCCTGGTCAACATGGTAAAACCCCGCCTCTACTGAAAATCCAAAATTAGCTGGGTGTGGTGGCACACACCTGTAATCCCACCTACTCAGGAGGCTGAGGCAGGAGAATCACTTGGACCCGGGAGGCAGAGGCTGCAGTGAGCTGAGATCGCACCACTGCACTCCAGCCTGGGTGACAAGAGCGAAACTCCATCTAAAAAAAAAAAATTCTAATAACTCACTAGGGAGGCTTCTTGGAGGCCCCCAGGGCTGTCTCCTGGGCCCTGAGCTGTGCCACAGCCTGCTGCTCTGGGGGTATGGGGTCCCATTGGCTTGGGGACACTGAGGCAGGAGAGAGACTGGACAAGGGATTGTCTTCAAGCTCCCTGCAAGCTCCAAGGAGCTGAAGGGGGATGGGTGGGGAACTGAGAGGAGGGAGTAAGGCCAGGTGCGCAGGTGAGGTAAGGTGGGGCTGGGCTGGGCTGGGTGTGGGCTCAGGTGAGGCCAAGGGCTGAGGGTGGGGGAGTAAGGGTGGATGGCCTGGTAGGACAGACAATACAAGTGGGGCCTGACCGAGCCCAGTGGCCACTCTCTGTGTGAGCAAGGAGGTGAGGAGGGCCCCCATCAGCTGAGGGAGCAGGACCGCAGGGTTGTAGCCTCCCAGCTGCCACCTGCTCTCTCCAGGACACACCCTCCACTGAGGAAAGCCCCTCCTCTATCATTCCGGTGGGTGCACATGTCCAGCCCTGGCTGTCCTAGATGCAAAGACTGACAGACCTATCAGCCAGCATGAACAGGAAGGCAACCCTCTCCCAGCCTCTCAGGCTCTCAGGCTGTCCCAGAGCCTCAGAACCTTCTGGAAACATGGCACTCAATCTACCTCACACCAACCTTCCAGGGCTGTTTGCCGACATCCCTCAGCTCACCAGGCTCACCTCATGTTCCTCCAGCAGGGTCAGAGGCCCACAGTGGGAGGAGCCTCAGAAGTCACCAAGAATGCATGAGGAATGGGGAAGCTGAGGCTGACCAAGGGAAGGGTGTGTGGCTGCTGTGAGATCAGCATCTGCGGGCCAGGGCTGGGCTGCTAGAACAGCCAGGCCACCACAGGCTTCCTGGCCAACATCCTCCTTCAGGTAGTCTTCCTACCTATTCATTCATTCAATCATTCGTTCATTCCCCCAGATCCTCGCAGAGCACCGGCTGAGTGCCAGGCGCTGTTCTAGGCGCAGGTTACAGAGCTGTCTCACCACCAGGTAGTGGTGGGACAAAAAAAACGAAGGGGGCACAGGATGGGGGTGCAGATTGTGGAGGGTGGTCAGCAAGGGTCCCAGGGGCGTCTCCACAGAGACCCTGGAGCAGGCCCTTCAGCAAATCTGGGAGGCATTTGCTGTTGGAGGAGGACTCTGCATGCAGGAGGCACCCAATGCAGAATGGATGGGAGGGTAGGAGATGGGGCAGGGTGGCTGGACAGAGCCACCACCCTGTATTCCTCAAGCTGATGTGTCTCTCCAGAGGATCCTTATGCCTGGCGAATGTCTCCTATGGATATGATGCCCTACATCTGTAAGGCATCACCCCATTTAAGGCCCTGCTGTTCTTTTTTAGATTCAGAGGGTATGTGTGCAGGTTTGTTACATAGGTATATTGCGTGATGCTGAGGTTTGGGGTATGGATGATCCCATCACCCAGATAGTGACAATGGTAGCCAATAGTTTTTCAACGCTTGCTCCCCCACCATCTACCAGTCCCCAGTGTCTATTGTTGTCCCTCTATGTCTATGAGCACCCATCATTTAGTTCCCACTTTCCCACTTATAAGTGAGAACATGTGGTATTTGGTTTTCCGTTCCTCAGTTAATTTGCTTAGGATAATGGTGTCCAGCTGGACCCATGTTGCTGCAGATGACATGGTTTTATTCTTTTTCATGGCTGCATAGTATTCCATGGTGTGTATATACCACATTTTCTTTACCCAGTCTACCACTGTTGGGCACCTTGGGTTAATTCCAGGTCTTTGTTATTGTGAATAGTGCTGCGATGAACATGGAAGTGCAGGTGTCTTTTTGGTAGAATGATTTTTCTTTTGTATATGTATCCAGGAATTAATGGAATTGCTGGGTCAAATGGAACTTCTGTTTTGAGTTCTTTGGGAAATCTCCAAACTGCTTTCCACAGTGGCTGGACTAATTTACATTCCCACCCACAGTGTATAAGCGTTCCCTGTTCTGCTCACTCTTGCCAGCATGTATTGTTTTTTGATATTTTAACAAAGGCCATTCTGACTGGTGTGAGATGGTATCTCACTATGGTTTTGATTTGCATTTCTCTAATGATTAGTGATGTTGAGCTTTCTTTTATATGCTTGTTGACCGCATGGATGTCTTCCTTTGAGAAGCATCTGTTCATCTCCTTTGAGCAATTTTTACGGGGTTATTTATTTTTTTCTTGTTGAATTGTTTGAGTTCCTTATAGATTCTGGATATTAGACCTTTGTCAGATGCATAGATGCAAATATTTTCTCCCATTCTGTAGGTTGTCTGTTTACTCTGTTGATAGTTTCTTTTGCTGTGCAGAAGCTCTTTAGCTTAATTAGGTCCCACTTGTCAATGTATATTTTTGTGGCAATGGCTTTTGAGAAATTAATCATAAATTCTTTCCCAGCGCTGATGTCCAGAATGGTATTTCCGATGTTTTCTCTTAGTAGTCTTATAGTTTGAGGTCTCGCATTTAAATCTTTAATCCATCTTGTGTCACTTGTGCATATGGTGAAAATTAGGGGTCCAGTTTCATTCTTCTGCATATGGCAAGCCAGCTGTCTCAGCACCATTTATTGAATATGGAGTCTTTTCCCCATTTCCTATTTTTGTTGACTTTGTTGAAGATCAGATTACTGTAGGTGTGTGGCTTTACTTCTGGGCTCTCTATTCTGTTCCATTGGTCTATGTGTCTATTTTTGTACCAGTACTATGCTGGTTTGGTTATAGTCGCCTTGAACATTAGTTTGAAGTCAGGTAATGTGATGCCTCTGGCTTTGTTCTTTTTGCTTAGGATTGCCTTGGCTATTCTGGCTCTTTTTTGGTTCCATATGAATTTTAGAGTAGTTTTTCTAATTCTGTGAAAAATGACGTTGGTAGTTTAATAGGAATAGCGCTTAATCTGTAGATTGCTTTGGACAATGTGACCATCTTAATGATGCTGATTCTTCCTATCCATGAGCATGGAATGTGTTTCCATTTGTGTCATCTGTAATTTTTTTTTAAGACAGGGTCTCACTCTGTCACCCAGGCTGGAGTGCAGTGACACAGTCCTGGTTCACTGCAGCCTCAACCTCCCAGGCTTAGGTGATCCTCCCACCTTAACCGCCCCAGTAGCTAGGACTACAGGCATATGCCACCATGCCTGGCTAATTTTTGTATTTTTTTGTAGAGTTGGGGTTTTCACCATATTGGCCAGGCTGGTCTCGAACTCCTGGATTCAAGTGATCCGCTCGCTTCAGCCTCCCAAAATGCTAGGATTACTGGTGTGAGCCACTGCATCCAGCCAATTTCTTTCAGGAGTGTTTCTCCTTGTGGAGATGCGTCATCTCCTGGGTTAGATGTATTCCTAGGTAATTTTTTTGTGTGGTGAGAGTGTACATCCTTGTCTTATTCCTATTCTTAAGGGGAATGCTTTTGCCAGCTTTTGCCCGTTCAATATGATGTTGACTGTGGGTTTGTCATAGACAGCTCTTATTATTTTGAGGTATGTTCCTTTGATGGCTAGTTTGTTGCAGGTTTTTATCATGAAGGGATGTTTGGATTTTTTCAAAGACTTTTTCTGAATCTATTGAGAGGACCATATGGTTTTTTTGTTCTGTTTATGTGACAAACCACATTTATTGATTTGCATATGTTGAACCAACCTTGCATCCCAGGAATGAAGTCTATTTGACTGTGGTGAATTAATTTTTTGATGTGTTTCTGGATTTGGTTTGCTAGTATTTGTTGAGGATTTTTATATTTACGTTCATCAGCAAGCCCCTGTTCTTGATCCTAACCCCACAGGCGGTTCCTGGTTCATCACTGCCTCACCTATTCCCTAACTACCTGCCCCCGCATGCTCATAAAGACCGGTCAGCTCAGACCCACCCCTACCAGCAGGTCTGGGAGGGGACCCCAGGGCAGTTGCCTGGGGGCTCTGTAAACAGCCTCTAATGCAGACCCAGTACAGTGGGGCTGGGTCGGCCCCAGGAATCTGCATTTTAGTGTACTCCCCTCTCTCCTGTGCAGGAGACCCTGAGGTTTGGAATGTCCTGAGGGTCCCCAAGTTTGGGCACCACAGCAGGACAGAGCCAGAACTAGCTCAGGGTCCTTCAGTTCTGCCTTGACATGGTCCTTCCTGATTGCAGGCTATGTCAGATGGTCACTCCACAGTCAGCACCGGCATTGACTGTGCCCCACACACTGCACAAGAGGCCTTGCCTTCCTGAATCCCACAGTGGTGCAGGACAGACACACCTTCATAGAGAAAGGCACCCCCCACCCAGAAGCAGGTCCACATGCACACTGAAGCCAGGGCTCCCCACCAAGGCAATTTTCTCACCTGTGAAATCAGGAGATGTAGGAGATGGGTGTGTCATGACCTGTCTCCCAATTCACAGCTTGGGTGTACCCCACCTCCTCCTCTTCCAAGACGACAAGCTGGGAACCAGCCAGGGAAGACTGAGGCTGTATGTGTGTCTGCCCACATGTGTGCAAGTATGTGTAGGTGTGCATGTGTGAAAGAGCCTTTTTGTCACCATGAAGGACCTGGGGATCCCCCATCCCTTCTCCTAAGACAGGCAGCCTTAAAGCAGCAGGATCCAGCAGGCTGGGAAAGGTGCACCCAGGACAGAAAGCAGTGGGGCAGAGTAGAGAGGTGGGGAGCTACACCCTGTGGGCTCATGGCTGGTGGCGGGGCCCTCCCTGAAGGTCACACACCCACACTCACTCCTCCCAGCCCAGGACCCAGGGTCTCGGCCCAGTGCCCAGGTGGGCGAGCGGGGTGCTTCTGGCTGCGTTCACTTTGATCTGAGGTTAGGTCATCTGATGTCACTGCAGACTCTCTGAGCTGGTCTCATGCTCCCTGTTCTGGGGAAGCTCCCAGATTCCCACCTGGGCCCAGCCCATCTGGCGGAAATCACTTCCGGAGACTGCTCCTGACACAGCATCGATTCTTGGAGTTGTCGGCATCACCTTGTGTGGGAGGTTGGCTTCAGCCAGGAGCACGGGCCCCTCTGCTGACCCTCCCGTCACTGGCCGCCAAGCTTCCCACCCCCAGTGGGAGTGCTGGGGACCAGCCCCACAATCTAAAGGTCTGAGGCCTCCCCAGCCCTGGCGGGGCCCCTGCCCAGGGCAGCAGCCTGCCACCTACACACATAGCCCTTTCCTGGGCCCAGGCAGGCCTGTCCGGGACGTGTGACAGGCCAGCCCCTCCCCTCCCTGGAGAGTGGTGGTGGCTGTCCTAGCCACTCAGAGAAGGAGGGCAAATGGGGGTGGGCAGCCTGTCCCTACATCCTTCCAGGCCAAGGTGGGCCACTACTGACCAGGGCACTCATCCGTCTTGCCAGACTGGTACAATGGTGTGGGGGGCTCACCCTCTGAAGCCCACCATGGCCCATCACGGGCTGGAGCCCAGAGCTGGCCCCGAGCTGAGAGTGGATGTGAGGTGGCGGCTGAGCAGATCACCCAAAGGCTGGCAGGGTTTGGGCAATGGGGCCAGGAGCTGAATGGGTGATCAGTAGGGGAGGAGGAGGTGGGATGACTCAGCCAGCCTGCCGGGATTTATTGGGCACCTACTGAATTCCCAGCCTTGCTGGGTTACGGTGTGGGGGAGGTCAGGGGAGCGGAAGGTGAGGCTCCTGGCCTCGAGGATAGTGACCTCTTCTGGGAGATACGCTGGCTGGGGAGAAACCACGAGAACTGCCTACGCTCTTGGGGTGCTCTGGCCAATCCCCCATGGCTACCTGCTGCCTGTTCCCCAGAGTGTGGGCATCCTGAGACCAGAGACTGACTCGCCATCCTGGAGAGACTAGGCACTGTGGAGAAGTTAGTAAGTGGTGAGTGGGTAACTGGAGAGAGGAGAAAACAGGTGGGTGAAGTGATGGACAGACGGGTAGAGAGATGGACAGATGGATGGATGGGTGGGTGGGTGGACAGATGGACAGTTTGATACATGGATACACAGATTGGTGGATGGATGGATGGATAGATGGACAGATGGACAGATGCACATGGACAGATGGATGAACAGACAGATGGATGCATGGATAGATTGGTGGATGGGTGGATGGATGGATGGATGGATGGATGGATGGATGGATGGACAGACAGATGGACGGATAGATGGATGAATCGACAGACAGACGGGTGGATGGATGGACAGACGAATGGACAGATGGACGGATGGAGGGATGGATTGCCATGGGTGCATGGGTGAATGACAGGTGGGCAGGCTGGTGGAAGGCTGGATGGCTGGGTGGGTGGTGATGGGTGAGGAGGTGCATATGTGCTGGTGGATGTGTGCATGAGTGGGTGGGTGAGTGAGTGGGTGGATAGACCAGCAGATGGGCCGCCCTTCGTCCAGTTATTTGCACAGATGGCAGCCTCTCCATGAATTCTTCCTCGACCCGCCCATTTAAAAATAAAATCTTGCAGCCGCTGGGCCTCCCCTGCTTTATTTTTCTCCATAGCCATCTTAATCATCGATTGATCTTCCTTCTTTCTCACGTATCCCCTTGCTTGTTGTCTGTGTCTCCCCCTGACACAGTGCCTGGCACATAGAAGTCGCTCAATAAATCTCTCCCCAGGCCGGCTGTGGTGGCTCATGCCTGTAATCCAGTGCTGTGGGAGGCCGAGGTGGGAGGATTGCTCAAGTCCAAGTGTTTGAGGCCAGTCTGGGCAGCATAGTGAGACCACATCTCTACAAAAGTAAGTAGATAAATGAATAGCAAAAATCTGTATCCAATGACTGCATGAACTGATGGGTGATCGGATGGTTGAGTTCATGGATGAGTGGCGGTGTGGTGCTTCCCAATGGCTGTCATTTCCAGAACCTCAGAAACGACTTCTCTCCCCTGGATCAGCCAGGCTGTGGTCCTCCTGGCCCAATGCTCACACTTTGAAGCTCCAGCTGCACCTGCAGAGCCTGCCTTCCAGCACCTGCACACCACAGACACACACACACAGTGTCCACACAGACACACAGACACACACACAGTGCAGCTACACATACATGCACTCACAGTTTCCACACAGACACACATGCAGTGTCCACACACACACAGTGCACCTACACACACACACATACACTTTCACATACAGCGTCCACACAGACACAGCGTACCTACACATACACTCACACACACTCATACACAGCATTCTCACAGACACAGCATCCACACACACACACACAGTGCGGCTATACACACATGCACTCACACAGTGTCCACACACACACACACAGCCGGACACACAGTGTCCGCACACAGTGCACCTACACACACACACACTCTCACAAACAGCATCCACACAGACACACACGGTGTACCTACACACATTCACACACACACAGCATTTGCACACACAGTGTCCACACACACACAGTGCAGCCACACACATGCAGTCACACAGTGTCCACACAGACGCACACACAGTGTCCACGCACACACATGCACTCACAGCGTCCACACAGACACACATGGTGCACATACACACACATACACCGTCCACACAGACACATGGTACACCTACACACACAGCCTCCACACACACAGCCACACACAGTGTCTACATACACTCACACACAGCATCCACACAGACACACACAGTGCACCTACACAAACATGCACGCGCACACTGCGTCCACACACACAGCCACACACAGTGTCTACATACACACACACAGCATCCACACAGATCCACACAGACACATACAGTCCACCTACACACACATATACACTCACACACTGTGTCCACACACAGCCACACACAATGTCTACATACACTCATATACAGTGTCACACAGACACACCCACAGGCACACCTGCTGTCCGCACACACAGTGCAGCTACACACACACAACATCCACACAGAAATGCCCACGGTGTCCACACATATGCATGCACACACACACACCATGTGCGCACAGTGACACACACAGGCACACGCTGGTCCTTGCTTCTCGCAATTACCCAGGCCCTGTCCAGGTCTTGGCCCCGGCCCCGCTGGTCCTCAGGACGTTCCAGGCACACTGGCTCAGGCCTTACGCACCCTTCAGTGGAAGGAATTCTCATGATCCCCATTTCCAGACAGGATCTGGAATCACTGAAAGTCCTACTGCAGCCTTGACCACTGGCCCAGTGCCCGCTCCACACACAGCACACTCACACAGGTGCACATATGCCAGATGGACATGCCCTCATGGACAGTGCATGGAGCCCCCTACCCCAGCCACTGGGCCCGGGCAGCGCTCGGCCTCTCCACAGCCAGCATCTGCCCTCAATGGTGGAGTTGGCCGGGCAGCCCTTGCGCACACTAAGAAGGCTACACCTTCCTTTGCAGATCTGCTGTCTGATCGCCAAGCACCCTCTGCGGGGAGCAGGGTAGGGGGACGTCTTCCTGCAGCTGTGGAAGCTCCAGGACAGGACAGCAGGGGAGAGGGCGTGGGCCTTGCCTCATGGCGGCATTGCTATGGGCAGGTCATTTGGCCTCGCTGGCCCCTACGGCCTCTACCTCTGTTCACATCTTGTGATGGGGTCAAGGTTGCCCTCCCAGAGTAGAAGGACAGGCAAAAGGTGATGCTGCAAGGATGGTGCCGAGACAGCAGTGGCACGCTGCAGGCGCTGCCCGGGCCAGGGAACTTAATGGAGTGGGGACGGACGTGCGGCTCCACTGGTTCCCGGACTCCTGGTCTCCACTGCTGGGCACTCAGGATCTGCCCGGAGGCCTTGGACACAGGCACCACTGGCAGAGCTTGCCCATGGCCCTGCTGCCCCACTGCATGGCTTCGGGCTGCCCCCCGAGGGGTCAGACCTGACGCCCCCACCATCAGCTTTCCTGTCTGAGGGGCTCCGGGCTGCTTCCCTCCCACCTGGGGCTAGACTGTGTGTGGTTCAGAGGGAGATGCTGGGTTGGGGGCGCCCACCACACTGGCATGGGGACCCTGGGCCAGCGGGCCCTACTCTGGGTGGTGGTTTCTCCCCTCTAAGACAAAGAAGAAGTGGGTTGCAAATCTTTCTGTAAATAAAATGCCACATGGCACCCAAGGATGTGCCTGGGGGGAGGCTGCCTGTGGTGCAGGTGGGGAGCCAGCCTGCAGCTCCTTCTCTCTCAGCAGAGGCCCGAGGACCCCGGTCAGGGACGGCTCACGCTCTCCTGGACACTGGGGTCAGCTTCTGAGCCTGTGGGCCCAGCCTCGCATGGCAGGGCTTGGCAGGAGAGAGCTGAGCCTCTGCAGTCAGCCATTGGGGTTGCTGGAGATCCAAAGGGGATCTGCTGTCCCAGGGATAGAGGCCCCGTGGGGGCAGGGGCTGGGCCCTGTTGGAGTCCTGCTCTACTGGCGTGGCCTCTCCTCCAAAGGAAGTTCCAACGTAAAGCCTGCCCGGGGCCAACTGTAGCAAAGAAGACAGAGGCCGCTGGAGGAAACCCGCTGTAGAGGGCAGGCAGAGGCTGCTCTGTCGGCAGCTGGGATGTCCCTCATGACAGCACGCATGGACGCAGGTGAGCGCCTGGGCACCTCCTCCCCTGGCAGCAGTGCCCATGGCTAGAGCGGGCAGACAGTGGAGCCCCGGCCCAGTGTCTGCCCTTCCACCCAGGGCGTGAGTGTGGGCCAGGAAGTTGCTCCTTGCAAAAATGCAGCCTCCCCTAGACACCTCCGTCTCTGCCTTGATGGCAGTGCTCACACAGAGACACGCCTGGACACTCACCCATTGATTCACTCATTCATTCATTGACTTTAGAACATGTGGTCTGTACCTGCGTGTTCTGGGCCCCAGGGAGGTGGCAGGGAATGCTCAGGCCATAGTCTCATGCAGGGGACACAGACAAGCAAAAAAGTAAATGAAAGACCTTTCAGAGGGTGAGGCATACTGAAAACTAACACCAGATCACAGGGGAAGAGACCGAGGGAGGCACCCTGTGCTGATGTGGTCTAGGGTGAGGGGGTCTCTGAGGAAGGACATGAGAGCTGAGATCTGAGTGGGAAGAGGGGGCCAGCAGGAGCTCCAAGGAAGAGTGCTCCTGGTAGAGCACCAGAAGCCAAGGTTCCAAGGCTTCTTTGGGTTTTATTGTCAGGGTAATAGGGAGCCATGGAAGGTTGTAGGCAGGGAGGAACATGACCTGGTACTGAACCAGGGGTGGCTGGGGAAGAACTTCTGTAGTCTTTTGGGTGTCCAGGAGATGGAGGTGGAGGGCAGGACCAGGATAGAGGAAGGACTGTGCCTCCCAACCCCATAGGCTTAGAGGATCTGGGGGAACCTCCTCATTATTCACATACCACAGACACTGGCAGAACCTGCTGTAGGGCAACGACACAGGCTAGAGGAGTGGATGTGAGCTTAGGCTGGACTTTCAGGGTCTAGTGGACCCTCCGCCTTGCCCAGGGCCCCCAAGATAGGCCCCTCGCTCTCAGAACTAGGATTTTAGGGTCTCAGGCCTGAGGGCTTGTGGGGTCCCTGGTCTGAGTCCCATTTGCTCAGAGCCAAGTTCTGGGTTTCTGAGCTCAACACCAACCTGCATTTACTGAGGAAGCTGATATCTGCTTCTCCTCTCAGGATGAGGGTTTCAGCCATGCTAGGGGACAAAGGGACATTTACAGAGCAGCCCATAGGTGCCTACTTTGGGAGTACCTGGAGCCTTCCCATCCAGAGCAAAGCTGCTAGCGTTATAACATGGCCTGCTACCATAACCACTATTACCACGACCAGCATCATCCCTGTCATCACTACCATAAACATGACCACCATCATCACTACCACCTCCATCACCACCACCAAAACCACCACCACCAATACCGTCACCATCACCAAAACCACCACCACCAACACCACCTCCATCACCACCACCAAAACCACCACCACCATCAACACCATCACCATCACCGCCACCAAAACCACCACCACCATCAACACCACCATCACCACCACCAAAACCACCACCACCAACACCATCACCATCACCGCCACCAAAACCACCACCAACACCAACACCGCCTCCATCACCACCACCAAAACCACCACCACCATCAACACTGTCACCATCACTGCCACCACCCTCATCACTGCCACCAACATCACCACCACCAAAACCACCACCACCATCAACACCGTCACCATCACCGCCACCACCCTCACCGCTGCCACCAACATCACCACCAGCACTATCATCATCATTACTACCACCATCACCACTACCACTGTAATTACCACAACCAGCCACCACCACCACCACCACCACCACTAGTATCACCACTGTATTAGAACTGCCTGAGACTGAGTAATTTACCGAGGAAAGAGGTTGAGTTGACTCACAGTTCAGTATGGCTGGGGTGGCCTCAGCAAACTTACAATCATGACGGAGATGAAGGGGAAGCAAGTCACCTTCTTCACAGGGCAGCAGGATGGAGTGAGTGCAAGCCAGCACCCACTCCAGGTTCTGCCAGTATCTGAGTGGCAAGAGGGAGCCAGCAGGAGTTCCAAGGAAAAGTGATCCTAGCAGATCACCAGAAGCCAAGGCTCCAAGGCTTCTTTGGGTTTTATTGTCAGGGTAATAGGGAGCCATGGAAGGTTGTAGGCGGGGAGGAACATGACCTGGCACTGAACCAGAGTTGGCTGGGGAAGAACTTCTGCAGTTTTTTTGGGTGTCCAGGAGACAGAGGTGGAGGGAAGGACCAGGATAGATGAAGGACTGTGCCCCCCAACTCCATAGACTTAGAGGCACCTTCTTCACAGGGCAGCAGGATGGAGTGAGGGGAAATGCCAGATGCTTATAAAACCATCAGATCTCATGAGAACTCACTCACTATCATGAGAACAGCATGGAGGAAACCACCCCCATGATCCGATTACCTCCACCTGGTCCCGCCTTTGACACATGGGGATTATGGTGATTACAACTTGGAAGGGAACACAGAGCCAAACCATATCAAGCACCCATGCCATCATCATCATCACCATCATCCTAACTATCACTGCCATCACCACCACCATCACCAACATCTGAACCATCCCCACCACTACATCACCCACACTGATATCACCATCACCATGACCACCATTATCACCACCACAATCACCACCATCTCCAACATTATCACGTTATCAAAAACACCACCATGGCCACCACCAGGATCATTATCACCCCCACCACCATCATGACCATCAGCACCACCATCGTACCACACCATCACCAACACCACCAGTACAATCATCACCATCATCGTCTCCATCACCACCATCACCAACATCACCACAATTATTAACACTATCATCATCACCGCCACAATAAACACCACCATCAACACACCACAACCACGATCATCACCACCACCATCATCATACTCATTGTCATCATCACCCTCATCATCACCACCACCATCAGCAGCAGCACTGCCACAACCACCACCACTATCATCATCACCATCACCATGAACACCAGCATCACCAGTGACTATAGTCACCACCACCATGATCATCACTACCACCATAACAACCAACACCACCATAACCACCACTACCCCATCACCATCACCACAATCATCACCATCACCACCACTGCCACCACTACCAGCTACCACCACCATCATCATTACTACCACCTCCACTATCATCACCACCACCACAACCATCATCACCACCACCAGTACCAACACTATCACCATCACCACCACAATCATTATCACCACCACCATCCCCTCCACTGTCACCATTGTCACTACCACCATGACTACTATCATCATCCCATGATTATTACCACCACCATCACCATCACCAACACCAATACCAACACCAACACCACCAACATCATGACCACCATCACTACCACCACCATGATCAACACTACCACTGCAATAACCACCATCACCACCATTATCCCCACCACAATCATCACCACCACCACCTTCGTCACCCACCACCATCATCATCATCACCACCTTTATCAGCACTAATACCATCAACAACACCACAGTCACTACCACCACCACTGCCATTTGCACCACTATCATCATCATCTTCGTCATCATTCCCACCACCATCACCATCACTATCATCACCACCCTCATCAACGGTAATGCCATCACCACCCCAACTACCCTCATGCCCACCACCATCACCACCACCGCCACCATCATCACAAACACCGCCATCAGCACGGTCCCCATGATCATTGTCACCACCACCATCATGACCATCAATATCATCATCACCACCACCACCACTACTGCCACCATCATCACCACCACCACCATCACCTTCACCCGTTACCACCACTGCCTCAGACTCTGCCCATGGTCCTTTAGCGCCCTCTGGTGGCTGACAGGCCAGACTAGAGAGGCCACCAGGGTCCCAGAGAGCAAGTCCCAGATACTGTCCCCCACCATTCCTGGAGTTTATGGTTTGAGGGGCCCCGAACAGGGGGTCCTTGGAGTCTCTTTGGGAAGGGGCACACAGAGGTATCCCCCAGGCTCTGTTCTCCTCATGTGTTACCTGCAACCTCCCAGAAGCCAGGCTATTAGAGTCCCTGTTTGACACTCCAAGGTACTGAGGCCCAAGTGGCTAAGTAGCTCAACAGCTATGCAGGATCCAATCCCAGGACTGCGGGATTCCAGAGGCACACTCTGTCCCACTGGCACCCTGTCCTGACTCCGGATGCAGGGACAGTCCTCACAGAGCATCCCTGGTGCTGACCGGTGAATGGACATCACTCACAGCTGGCCCACGGCTGTGCAGCCTTTCCAGCACAGATGAGACACCATGGGGGCCGATGCCCCACGGCCTCGCAGGGCCACAGCAGGGAGGAGACAGTCCCTCTGCCTCCCTGTCCTCCACAGGACAGCTGGGCCCAGCACCCCGGCATGAGACGTGTGCTCTTGAGGCAGCTCCTGTTCCTACTTACTGTGGAAACTGAGGTGAAGAGCCCTGTCCCATCACATTTCAGGGTGGATTTCAGCTGCATCGGTCCCGGGCCACCCCGCCAGACATCGCCAAAGGAGGCAACGACAGCAATCTAAGTGGCCTAGAAGCCACGTCCACACAGGGTCTCCTCTCCCAGTCAAATCGGACATGCCCCCAGGGCCTTGGTGCCAATCACACCTGAGGACGGCCAGCCCTTGGTGTCTGGGTGGCTTTGGAGACAGCAGGCCTGTGGGCTCGGCCGTGTGGAGCAGGTGAGGTGGTGCCCTGTGTTGGTTCATGGCCAGCTCCCTAGGGCTGGCATTGGCTGCCCAGGTGCCAGGAGTTGTGGGCGGGGAAGAGGAGGAGGAGAGGCTTGAGAGTTGGGCCCACAGGCACACCCTGCAAGGTAGGCAGACGGCTCCACCCGCGCCTTGGCCAGCAGCCGCGTGTCAGGGTGCTGGGGAGAAGGCAGACAGGTAGGGACCCTCACACCGCTGACAGCCCAGGTGGGGAGAAGGAGCAGGATTGTACCTCCTCCTCCCAGGTGGGAAGGGCAGGTGGGCATGAGAGGAGTGGGGACCAGGACAGTGCGGCTTTGGCCACACCCCTGCCTCTTGCCTCAGTTTCCTTATCTTTAGCAGGGAGGATCCCCGCTTCCCTGGGCTGTGAAGGGCCGGCCCCACTGGGGTGAGGTGGGGCATTCTGGAAGGGGCTGCCCAGTGCTGGAAGAGGGTCTGGGCAGGAGGGCCAGCCCCACGGGCTCTGGATCTGAGACTTCAGGGGCAGTGTCTGGCCAGCAGCCTGCAAAGGCAGGTGCGGCTCAGAAGCTGAGGGCGAAGGGAGTGGGGCAGTGGGAGGGGTCTGGGGTCACCAGGTCACTACTGTGTCCTCTTGCCACCACTTCCCTGAGCCGTGTCCTCCACTGCAGCCCAGGGAGATGGGGCATCCTCATAGGGAGGACACAAGGACACACAGCTGACTTCCAGCCTGCTGCACGCAGGGACCTTTCTGGCACCCTCCCCTTGTGACTGGCCGTTCCCCCAAATCTCACAAATGAGGCAGGCCCAGGGAGGCTGAGGGACCTGCCCAAAGTTACACAGCCTGGTGGGGATGAGCGGGGCTGGGACCCCAGGGCCTGGTCATCCAGCTCTGCCCTGAGCTGGTCTTGGGGAGCCCAGGAAGCCACATTTGGCTCTTGGCTGCGGCTACAGGTGCCCCGCTGCCCTGGGAGCCCCAGCGCCTTCACCGTCTGGGGGGCTGCCTCAGTTTTGCCTCTTGGGAGTTCTGGGGTGGACTTCTGGCCAGGGGTCACGATGGCCCCTGGCTGTCCCGGGCTCCCTGCCCCACCCTGGGATGCACAGGGAGGGGTGCAGAAGACCTGGGCACCTGCTCATGCAAATCCCAGCTGTTTGCATCACCTCCCTCTGGGCCCATTTGCCTGGTGCCTAGCACCTGGCCAAATGCCTCCTTAGTCCCTGGGCTGGCCGGCGGGGGCGGGGGGCACCGAGCCTGGGCATGGGGCAAGGGGTGGTTGCGGCCACCAGGAAGGTGAGGCTGCCCCACGCTGCTACTCGGCTTCCCTGACCTCAGCTGCTGGGTGCCCAGCTCTGTCCCGTCCTCGGGAGGAAGGAGGTGCTGTGGGCCCTGGGAAGGGCCAGAGCTTTGGTTGTGGCTGCTTCCACCTCTGATGGCTGCTGGTCGTCCCGGGGGTCTTGCATAGAGTCAGGGAGGCACTGCCGAGCTCCAGGCTGAAGGGTACTCCCGGATGTCCTATCCCAGAACTTCCAAGAGGCAAAGCTGAGGCTCACTGGAAAGCAATTCAAGGGCCAGGGAGCCCTGTAGGACCCCTCCCAAGGCCCAGGCCCTCCATTAGCTTCCCCACCAGGGACGAAGGGAAGAGAAGAAGGAGTCCCCCATCTATGGCCTAAGAGTCATGGGGAAGGCGAGGATAACAGTGTTGTCCAGCCCAGTCCCGTCCCCCAGGCTGAGGGTCATGGCCAAACCCCAAGCCCCCTACACCCTGTGCTGGGGACACGCCTGGCCATGCATCCCCAGCTGCAGGGCACATGTCCACACGTAGCCAGGATTGACCCCAGCGGGTGACCAGGTGTGGCAGGGCCTGGTGGGAGTGAAGGCCAGCCTGAGGACCCCCGCCCAGGGTGAGGACTCCCGCCCAGGGCTACAAGCACACATCCCACCTCCCTGCCTGTTCTGCATTAAGTGGTGTCCTCCCAGATGGGGCGACACTAATGGTTGGATACTGTCCACTGGGAACCTTAGAATATGACCTCGTTTGGAAGTGGGGTCCTTGCAGATGGCGCACCATGAAGATGAAGCCACGCTGGGGTAGGGCGGGCCTGGGCAATCAATGATTGCAGAGGACACAGACAGGCGAGGCAGACCATGCGGCAACCAAGGCAGAAGCTGGAGCCACGCGGCCACAGCCAGGAACACCTGGCGCCTCAGGAACCTGGAAAGGGTGGGAAGGACCCGCTCTGAGAGCTTCCAGGGGGAGCACGGCCCTGCCGATGCCTGGATTTGGGACGTCTGGGCTCTAGAACTATGAGATCATCCATTTGTTGTTTTGAGCCCCCGAGAGTGTGGCCCTTTGTTTTGGCAGCCCCGGGACACAACAGCAATGCCAAGCCTTGTCCCAGCCTCCAGCCCCCACCTGGGGCCTGGCCACAGACACCAGCTCCCAACACAGAAAACCACCAGGCGTCTCCACCAGCGCGGGAGGCCGTATTCAAATCCTGCCTCTCTGCGGTCCGCGGGCTGGTTCCTGCTCTGGAGGCAGAAGTGCGGGAGGATTTGCATCACCCTGCAGGGACAGCTGAGGCCCACGTGGTGCTGAGGGCATCAGGGCGCCTCCACAGGCCTGGCCGGAGGAGGGGGCTGAGGCCCGTGGGTGGGTCCTGCCTGGGGCTGGCAGTCACCAGAAGTCGTGCCGGGGTTGACTTGGGCCTCACAGGGGGGCCCTGGGCAGCCAAGACAACCAGCCTGAGCTGGGCATCTTAAAACAATGGCAATTGATTCTCTCATGGTTCTGGAGGCCACCAGTGCTGAGTCCTAAGTCAAACTGTCGGCAAGGCCAAGCCCTCGAGGGGGATCCTTCCTGCCTCTTCCAGCTTCGGGGCTCCAGGTGTCCCTTGGCTTGTGGCCACATCACCCAACCACTGCCTTCACCCCTCCCCTGTGTCTTAAAGGGTGTTTTTCCCTGCGCGTCTGTCTCTACGTCCAAATGTCCCCTTTCTCTATCAGAACCTGGGAATCAGGGCTCCCCCTGCTCCAGCATGGCCTCATCTTTACTTACATCTTAATACATCTGCAAAGGGCCTGTTTCCAAAGGTCACATTCCCAGGTCCTGGGGTTTGGGACTTGGACATACCTGTTTGGGGATGCAGTAACTGTGCTGGCTCCAGAGGCCTAATGGGGAGGGCCTTGGCCTTAGCCTCTGCCCCAAAGCCAGCCCCAGGGGTCCCAGGACACACTCCCTCTCATCTCTGAAGTTCCCCCCAACTCCTGTATCCCCTCCTGGGGTCACAGGTGGGCCCCTCTCTAGGAAATGAAGGTTTTTACAGAACGGTCCATTGTCTTCTCACAAAGGGCTTCTGTGGTGGACACAGCCCAGAGCGCCTGGGTACAAGGTGGGCACAGGAGAACCAAGGGACAGCCCTGTGGGATCAGGAGCTGCCAGGTAGCCCCAGGTCGGACAGGGTAGGGTGGCTGGGGGCCCACGGAGACCTCTGCCCAGCGGCCTGTGACCCGACGCGTGGTTCCAGGAGGGCAGACAGAGGAGCAGGTGCCCTCGGCCTGCCAGGGCTTGTCCTCAAGCACCAGCTTCCAATATTGAGTTTTCAGAGGAGCAATCGGAGGGAGGTGGGACCAAGCCAGACCGAGGTCAGCCAGGCTGGGGCTGGGCAGCTGACAGATGAGGCTGTGGGCAGGGGCGGAGCCAGGGCGCTGAGGGGCCAGTGCCGATCCTTGGATCCCTGCCACATAGAGAGGGGCTGAGATGCCCGACCTCACCGGGCAGCTGGGAGACATGAGCCCCATGAGGGTTGAGGGAATAGGGCTGAGGCGCACGCGGCCTCTTCTACCCCCGCTTGCTGATGTGGGAGCGCCACGGGAATAGCTCTGCTGCTGATGCTGTGTGGGCCGGGGCAAGGCCTCCTCTCTCTGTGTGTCCTGGGCCTCCTGGACCTCCTGGGCAAGGAAGGTGGTCTCTCGTCCACACCGCCTCCTGCACTTGAGCTGAGGGCACCTGTCTCACCTTTTCACCTCTACCCAGGTGCACCCAGGGTCTCCACATCCCTGTCCTGGGAGCGGGTGGGCTGTGTGGCCAGGGGACTGCAAGGCCTCTGCTGAGTCTTTCGGAGTTTCCAGGTCATCCCCACAAAAGGCCTCTGGAGAAATGTCTGCAGGTGTGGCCAACCTGAGGTGCCCTGAGTGGGGTGAGTAGAGGAACCAGGCGCTGACAGCGGAGCCCCACACATCCCATCCTCACCTGGGAAGGAGCTTGGTTGGGGCGGTGCTACAGCGAGTGTCGGAGCTGCAGGGGGTCGCTGGGCAGGGCCTGGCTGGAGAGAAGGTCCCTGGGGCAGAGATGCCTGGGGGCAGTCCCCAGGTCTCCTTGTGCATGTTGGCTGGAGAGGGGCTTCCCAGGGGAAAGCAGAGCCAGCCCCCTGAGGGGAGGGAGGTGGGGATGGGCCTTCTCAGCCCTCAAGGGCCAGGGTATCCCTGCAGCTCTAGAGGCCACCATGCAGGATGTCCAAGGCCCCCGTCCCGGAAGCCCCGGGGATGCTGAAGACCGGCGGGAGCTGGGCTTGCACAGGGGCGAGGTCAACTTTGGAGGGTCTGGGAAGAAGCGAGGCAAGGTAAGGGCAGGCCCCAGGCCTCAGGTGATGTCCGCCTTGACCTGGAACCCATGAGGCCCCATTTCCTTCCCTGGAAGCTGAGTGCCAGGGTCCTCCTCACCCCTGGGGTCTGCTCCCCTGGGGCCATATTCAGAGCCCCCAGACAGGCAGAGTTCCAGAGCTGGAAGGAGTGGCTCTGGCCGGCCTCCTACCTCCCTGCAATAACCGGGACCCCTGAAGTCCCCCCGAGAGATTTGGAGGTGCAAGGTCAAGTGCATCCAGGGCCCCACCTCTGTCCAGCGCCCTCGGCTCACTGAGGGGGATGCCAGCCCAGAGAGGGGTCAGGACTGCCCAGGTCACACAGCAGGTCAAGGGAGGACTGGCCCTGTCCCAGAAGGGATATTGGGGGCCACTCTCCTCCTGCTACCTGCCCCCAATGCCCAGCACCTCCCCGGTACCCCCTGTGTCCAGCCCCCTTGATGCCCAGCACCTCCCAGTGCCCAGTGTCCCCCCATGCTCAGCACCTCCCCAGTGCCCCCTTGTGTCCAGCCCCCCCCAATGCCCAGCAGCTCCCATGCCCCGTGCCCCGAAAGCCCTGAGCTGCAGACCTGCCTTGCAGTTTGTACGGGTGCCGAGCGGAGTGGCCCCGTCTGTGCTCTTTGACCTGCTGCTTGCTGAGTGGCACCTGCCGGCCCCCAACCTGGTGGTGTCCCTGGTGGGTGAGGAGCAGCCTTTCGCCATGAAGTCCTGGCTGCGGGATGTGCTGCGCAAGGGGCTGGTGAAGGCGGCTCAGAGCACAGGTGAGGCCCCACCCGGCACAGGCAGCGCTCCCACCCCACAGGGCAGCCCGACCCCCTGACTGTCCCCGCAACCCGGCACAGGCAGTGCTCCCACCCCACAGGGCAGCCAGACCCCCTGACTGTCCCCCCACCCGGCACAGGCAATGCTCCCACCCCACACGGCAGCCAGACCCCCTGACTCTCCAGGCCATCACGAGAACATTTCCCGAAACTCTCAGCCCGTCCTCTGCAGTACCCACAGGTGCAGCAGTGCCTACGTACTGGACCAGGACCTCCCCCAGCTGGGCCTGGCCCTTCCTTAGAGCTGCCCCCTCCACTAGCAGGGCCCATGGGCCGCCATGAGATGTCCCTGCTCCCACTCACCTGGGACCAGAGCACCCGGGTGTATACAGGGTGGGACCCCTTGGGGAAGCAGTCGGGCCGCCAGCTGCAGGGGCCAGAGTCCAATGGCTGGGCTGTTTTTTGAGGCAGCTTGGCCTATACAACACCCAGGAGAAAAGGACTTGAGGTTTCAGGATCCCTCACTAAATGACTGTGGCAAACCCAAAGAGATCTTCCAGCCAGACAAGGGCCGAGGGCTTTGTCATTTGGGAAAACATCCTGGGATTCTCACCCAGCAGAGGCAGCTGGACAGAGTTGTGTCGGATGTGTCCCGGAGGGAGCACGGTGGGGGGACTGGACCCCAGTTTGTGCGCTCCAGGTGGGGTGGGGGTGCCACTTCACAGGTTCTGGGCCCAGCCAGTTCTGCTGCTGAGCAGCCTTGGGTGGGTGCCTTGCCCTCTCTGGGCCTCGGCTTCCCCACCCCACCGTGAGGCATTCCCCAGCACCCACCCCTGGCTCCCAGGTAACTGGCTGCTGATTGGGCCTAGGGGTTAGGGCGTGGGGCCAGCTAGGGAAGACCTGGGGCGTGCGGCACAACGAGGCCCTCTTCCATCCCCACAGGAGCCTGGATCCTGACCAGTGCCCTCCGCGTGGGCCTGGCCAGGCATGTCGGGCAGGCCGTGCGCGACCACTCGCTGGCCAGCACGTCCACCAAGGTCCGTGTGGTTGCTGTCGGCATGGCCTCGCTGGGCCGCGTCCTGCACCGCCGCATTCTGGAGGAGGCCCAGGTGCACGTCCAGCTCCCAGCACCACGACCGCTGGGGGCCTGGAGGCAGGGGCTCAGAAGGGTTTGGGCAGCGGGCAGAGCTCTGGGAGGACAGGACTCGAGCTGGAGGAAGAGCAGGGAGCGGGCAGAGCCAGCACACGGCCGGCAGGTGGCAGTACCGCATAGGGAACGGCCAGCGTAGACTGTGGCGCGGGCCCTCACCCCCTCCTGTACCACACGGGCCCAGGCCCCGAGCCCTTTCCAAGCCTGGGCAAGCAGCTTCCGTCCCCCATGCTGGGGTCTGTCTAAGGCACTACCGAGGGAGGCCCGGGCAGCCCCTGGTGGATGTTTGGACGCCAGCCCTAGAGTCGGGAAGGAGGTGCTCCCGGCAGCCTGGGCTGTCTCCATGGTTCTGTCTAAAAGAACCCGCTCCCCACCGCCCCTGCCCCTGACTGTCGAAGGAGGGTCCCCGGGCCCCAGCTGTTCGTCCCTCCTTTTGTCTGAAGGGTGGGGAAACCAAGGCTCGGGCAGAAGCCTTGTGCGGGGCCCCATGGCGTGGTGTGCACGGCCTGGCAGGGAGGATCCCGCAGCGGGACCAGCCCAAGCTGCCTCTCGAGGGCTCAGCCTCGTCTCCCTGCATGGGCGCAGGAGGATTTTCCTGTCCACTACCCTGAGGATGACGGCGGCAGCCAGGGCCCCCTCTGTTCACTGGACAGCAACCTCTCCCACTTCATCCTGGTGGAGCCAGGCCCCCCGGGGAAGGGCGATGGGCTGACGGAGCTGCGGCTGAGGCTGGAGAAGCACATCTCGGAGCAGAGGGCGGGCTACGGGGGTGAGACCCGCCCCAGCCACCCAGGGAAGCCTTGGGACCCAGTGGGGATCCAGGGACCCGCCTGTGGGAGAGTGGGGGTGACCGCCAGGGAGAAGGGGGAGGGCTTCCCAGGCAGAACGCACCCCGCATGCCTGAGCACCGAGACCTGGGCCGTGGGGGCCTGGGCCGTGGGGGCCTGGGAGGAGGAGCTGTCTGGGCAGAGTGGTGAAGGAGGCACAGCTGGACAGAGTGGCTCTGACTGGACAGTGACATTCCCACCAGAGCAGGTGCAGTTCTGTTTTCACTGGGCCTTGCCGTGGTCAGAGGCTCCGGGACTCTAAGAGGCAAAATGAGATCGTGAGTTGAAAGAGGGCTACTTCCCGCCGCCAGGCGTGAGGTATGCTGCCGCCAGAGGGCAGCGTCACCCGAGAAATGGGCACCTCTGGCCAGTCGCACGTTCAAAAGCTGGACTTACTAAGAAAACGCTAGTGTGTAAATAATATTCATAAACAAAGCATATAATTATTTATAACATCTATGAACAATATACAATATTTAGAAACAGAATTGTAATTTCTTGGCAAGGCCAACTGAGCCCTCTGTTTTTTTTTTTTTTTTTTGAGGCAGAATCTCACTCTGTCCCCCATCCCCCAGGCTGGAGTGCAGGAGTGCAATCTCGGCTCACTGCAGCCTCCACCTCCCAGGTTCCAACAATTCTCCTGCCTCAGCCTCCCGGGTAGCTGGGATTATAGGCATGTGCCACCATGCCCGGCTCTTTTTTTTTTTTTTTTTTTCCCAGTAGAGACGGGGTTGCACCATGTTGGCCAGGCTGGTCTTGAACTCCTGATCTCAGGTGATCTGCCTGCTTTGGCCTCCCAAAGTGCTGGGATTACAGGCATGAGCCACTGTGCCCGGTCAACTGAGCACTCTTTAGAATTGAAAACACAAAGTCTCGTCAAACTCTAGGGACACAGGCGGAGGGTCTGGCTCTGCTCTGCGGAAGCCCTGCTGGCCCGGGCACCGTTTGGCCAGGCCTGATTTATCCTCCAGATTCAATCAGGAGGCACCTTTCAAAGTCAGGGGCCCGCCTGCGAGCCCAGTTCCCTGTGGGTGATTCTAAGGCACCTCCAGGCAGTTCACTCCCTCACAGAAGACAGGGGCAGGTCCAGGCCTCTCTGGGGGCTTCACATATAGACATCTCATTTCCAGCTTCTGTTTGGGGGAGAAACCTGAAGACTCCCTCCTGTACCTCTTCAGTTTGCTGAGTGGTCAGGCGCAGCCCACCCAGCAGAGCTCCCTCGATGGTCGAGATGCTGCCTCTGCCATGCTCAGCATGAGCGCGTGCAGTGTGGCAGTGCACCTGTAGGGCTGGGTGCTCCGTTTCTTCCACGTCACTTTGTGTTTTAACAGCCATATGCCAGCTGTTGCCACAAAGTGCGCGTGCTGGGTAGTGTAGGTTAGCATTGGAGCCCTCGGCCCTCATATGGCAGGGGCTGTAATAAGCAGCCTGTGTCACGTGGCCCAGACGAAGCCCACACTTTATTCGGAAGAGCCAGCTTTTGGCCAGAAAATGTGGTGGCCTGAGAGCCTGAGATCCGGGTGGTCACCCCAGGCGGAGGGTCCTCAGGCCTCACGGGTGCCCTGTCCACAGGCACTGGCAGCATCGAGATCCCTGTCCTCTGCTTGCTGGTCAATGGTGATCCCAACACCTTGGAGGTAGGGGCCTGGCTGAGGCCCCCTGGCTGGCCGAAGCCTTGTGGAGGGGTGCGGTGGGTTCTGGGCACCCCTGGGACAGGGCTGAAGGGATGGGGGCACCCCTGACACCTGCATCCAGATGTCGTCGGGCTAATCTGGGGTCCGCTCTCCCCTCCCTCCCCGTCTCAGAGGATCTCCAGGGCCGTGGAGCAGGCTGCCCCGTGGCTGATCCTGGTAGGCTCGGGGGGCATCGCCGATGTGCTTGCTGCCCTAGTGAACCAGCCCCACCTCCTGGTGCCCAAGGTGGCCGAGAAGCAGTTTAAGGAGAAGTTCCCCAGCAAGCATTTCTCTTGGGAGGACATCGTGCGCTGGACCAAGCTGGTATGTGCTGCCCCCTCCCCTGTCCTCCCGACCCCTCCTCCGGGGGTGGGGCTGGTCCTCTGGGAGAGTTCCTGCAATGCAGCCTCCAGCCCACTCCTCCCACCTCAGGCTGCTGGGCCCCCCACCCACTCTCGCTTCAGGCCCACAGGGAGCAGAGAGACCCAGGCAGCCCCTTGGTCTGCGGGTGGTCCCAGGCCGGGCCCGGTGGGCGGTGGGCATGCAGGCTGCAAGGCTCACCTGGGGACGCTGCCTGTGCCTACGCTGGTGTCTACCACGGCCTGCCTCTGCCCCCGTCCTGGCTGAGGCGGCCCCATGGGGGCTCTGTTCTGGTGCCCAGCTGCAGAACATCACCTCACACCAGCACCTGCTCACCGTGTATGACTTCGAGCAGGAGGGCTCCGAGGAGCTGGACACGGTCATCCTGAAGGCGCTGGTGAAAGGTGAGGGCGGGCAGGGTGGGCAAGGCAGGCGCCATTGGGGGGCTTCATGCTCAGAGCCGCTTTGGGGTTTGGCAGCCTGGCCAATGTTTGTGACGCTCGGCCGCCTGCCCCTTCCCAGGAAAGATGACACATGATTCATGAAGCTGTCTGTATTTGGCAAGTTTTATGACGTGTTTTTTACCACAACTTAAAACTATACTTAAAGCTCTCAATTCAGTGGTATTTTTTTGGTGGGGGGGTTGTTTTTTGTTTGTTTTGGTTTTCGGTTTTTTGAGACGGAGTCTCGCACTGTCGCCCAGGCTGGAGTGCAGTGCTGCGATCTCGGCTCACTGCAAGCTCCACCTCCCGAGTTGAAGTGATTCTCCTGCCTCAGCCTTCCAAGTAGCTGGGATTACAGGTGCACCCCACCATGCCCGGCTAATTTTGTTTTTGTATTTTTAGTAGAGACGGGGTTTCACCGTGTTAGCCAGGATGGTCTCGATCTCCTGACCTCGTGATCCGCCTGCCTCGGCCTCCCAAAGTGCTGAGGTTACAGGCGTGAGCCACCGCACTAGCCAATTCAGTGGTTTTTAGTATATTCGTGAGGTGGGGCGACCATCACTTTTATCTAATTCCAGAAGCCTTCATCGCCCCAGAAAGAGCCCATACCCCTTGGCACTCACTCCCCATTTCCCCCAGCCCCTGGGAACCATCGATCTGCTTCCTGTCTCTATAGATTTGCTGACGGGCATTTCGTGTCCATGGTTCCCTGCAGGCAGCGGGAGGGTTTGACGGTTCCTCCGTGTTGAAGCGTATGCCATTCCATGCTTCATTCCTTTTGTAAGGCGGAGTCAGGTTCCAGCCTGTGGACAGACCGTGGTTGATGCGTCTGTTCACCCGCTGATGGAAAATTTTGATGAGCATTTGATGTGCTTTTTGCTGGAGACGAACGCGTGCTGAAGGGCTGGACGCTGGCAGGCAGACACAGCCCCAGCAGGGAGAGGCACTGCTAAGCAGGGGCTGGGGACACCTTGAGGGGACGCTCTGGGAAGGGTGTCTGGACTGCGGGTGGCTCTGGGTTTAGAAACCTCACCAGGACAAGGAGGTCAAAGAAACCTCCCCGTTTAGGAACTCCCCCGCCTCTTCTCACCAGTCTCAGTTTGGTCCCAGTGGCCTGAGAGAGGCACCGTAGTCTTACGGGGTCCATGGTTGTGGAGGCTGAGGCTGGTGAGCCTCACGTGCGAGTCTGGTGAGGACAGCGGTTTCCAGCAGGCGCACCCAGCCCAGGTGCTGCAGGCCCCCCTTGAGTGACCCTGGTGACCTCACCAAGTCATGGCCAAATGCCCTTGCCCGTGGAGGAAACGTGGCCCAGCTTGCTCCCCCGACAACATCCAGGAAGGGTGTCCTGGACCTTCAGTGCCAGGAAGTGGCCTCGAGGCCCAGGTGTTAGCTGGGGTACCCCCGTTGCAGCCGAGGAAGTTGCCTCACATGGGAGCAGACGGGCCGTCCCGACGCAGACCAGGGCAGCACGCTTTCTCCTGCGGTTTGTACAAAGTCTCGTGCCTCCTGCTGGTGCTCAGAGGTGGCGCATGTGCCCCCTCAAGTCCCAGCGTGAAGTTCCCGTTTCCGCGTCTCTAGGCAGCGCACCTTTGGGGACCCTGTGCCCCGGCTCTGTGAGGCCCTCAGCTCCACCCTCACCAGTGCCTGCCTGCTCTGCCCACAGCCTGCAAGAGCCACAGCCAGGAGCCTCAGGACTATCTGGATGAGCTCAAGCTGGCCGTGGCCTGGGACCGCGTGGACATCGCCAAGAGTGAGATCTTCAATGGGGACGTGGAGTGGAAGGTGCCTCCCAGCCCTGCCTACCCACCTCCCCATCATGGCACTGCCCGAGCTGCCCACGCTGCCTGCTCCTGCACCCTGTGGGCTGCTTGGCTGAGCCCGTTCTGCCCAGCTGTCCCAAGGTCCGGGGCAAGACCAGGCCACGGTTCTGCCCGGGCTTCTGCCTCGCTCACTGGCCCAGGCAGAGCTGGCTGGGTGCCGGCTGTCCCCAAAGCCCAAGGGGGTTGTGACACCCTCAGCATTTGCTCACGACTGGCCCCTCTGTGCCCGCCCCAATGCAGGGGGCAGGCTGGGGTGCAGGAGAGCGAGAGGGTCTGCGTGACCTGGCCCTGGGGATGGATCCCCATGCTCCCTGCTCTCTCCTTCCTTGGACCCCCTCCTCCTGTCTCTCGCTCACTCTCTTGTCCCCCTTCCCTCGGGTGCCCATGGCCGCCAAGTCCTGTGACCTGGAGGAGGTGATGGTGGACGCCCTGGTCAGCAACAAGCCCGAGTTTGTGCGCCTCTTTGTGGACAACGGCGCAGACGTGGCCGACTTCCTGACGTATGGGCGGCTGCAGGAGCTCTACCGCTCCGTGTCACGCAAGAGCCTGCTCTTCGACCTGCTGCAGCGGAAGCAGGAGGAGGCCCGGCTGACGCTGGCCGGCCTGGGCACCCAGCAGGCCCGGGAGCCACCCGCGGGGCCACCGGCCTTCTCCCTGCACGAGGTCTCCCGCGTACTCAAGGACTTCCTGCAGGACGCCTGCCGAGGCTTCTACCAGGACGGCCGGCCAGGGGACCGCAGGAGGGCGGTGAGCGGGGGCTCCGTGGGGATGGAGGGCGAGGCTGGGGCCGCAGCAGGAGGCCGACGCCCGTGTCCTCCAGGAGAAGGGCCCGGCCAAGCGGCCCACGGGCCAGAAGTGGCTGCTGGACCTGAACCAGAAGAGCGAGAACCCCTGGCGGGACCTGTTCCTGTGGGCCGTGCTGCAGAACCGCCACGAGATGGCCACCTACTTCTGGGCCATGGTGAGCCCAGGCCGCGGGCCCAGCGCGGGGGCAGGGGAGGGGCGGCCTCCTGAGACCAGGTCTCGTAGGGCCAGGAAGGTGTGGCAGCCGCACTGGCCGCCTGCAAAATCCTCAAAGAGATGTCGCACCTGGAGACGGAGGCCGAGGCGGCCCGAGCCACGCGCGAGGCGAAATACGAGCGGCTGGCCCTTGGTGAGTGACCGGCGGCTGGGGCCGGGCCCGCGCGCGGGGGAGGATGTGACGGAGGGGTCGGACGAAGGGTCCTGGGCCTCGCCAGGGCTGCCTGTTACCGCCGTGGGGCTCCAGGTGCCCTCAGGGGCCTCCTCCATAGGAGAGGACAGACGGCTCTGCCTGGGGTGGAGGCGGCCCCAGACCCTGAGTGTGGGACCGCTGTGCACGTGGTGAGGACGATACAGCCTCACACCCCGGGCATACACTGGGCCCTGCCGCAGGACGAGGGACATTTAGCGTGGCAGAGGTTCCCTTTGTCCTGCTGGGGGAGGGACAGAGCCGGAGAAGGACGGAGGTTCAGGAAGGGCCCGGAGCAGGCCGGAGGGGGCAGAAGGCCTGGCTGGGCCCTGCGTGTTGAACGCAGGGTGCGGCTGCAGAGCCCAGGTCTGGGCAGGGGATGGAGGAGGGGCGTCGGGGGCCGGGCCGGGCATCGGCGTCTCGTCCTAGCGGCCAGGGCCTCCGGGGGCAGACCTCTTCTCCGAGTGCTACAGCAACAGTGAGGCCCGCGCCTTCGCCCTGCTGGTGCGCCGGAACCGCTGCTGGAGCAAGACCACCTGCCTGCACCTGGCCACCGAGGCTGACGCCAAGGCCTTCTTTGCCCACGACGGCGTTCAGGTGAGTGCCAGCTGTCCTCGAGGAGAGCTGCCAGGGGGTGGGGTGGGCGGGCGAGCTGGGCCCAGCTTGAGTTGACTTCCCAGCCTGCAGCTGCCCTGTCACTCCCGTCCTCAGCACAGAGGGGGCGGGGTGGGGCTTCTGTTCCTGGAAGGCGCCCACCTGGCTTCCTCCACCAGGCACACTCCTCCTGCCTCTGGCCTCAGTGGAAGTGGCACTTCCTCCTCTCAGTCCTCCCCAACCCCCAAGCCCAATCTTTTCCCTAGTGAAGGGTACAGCAGCTCAACCCACACCCCTGGGATGAGTGGCCCAAGGAGCACATGCCCACCAGGACGGGGGCTCCGGGAGGGAGGGCTGGGCTGGGCACCCCTTCAGCTCACGTGGGCCAGGCACCTGGGGGAAGGGCATTCCTGGGGCAGGGCGCAGCCTGGGCAAAGGTGCAGAGTTGGAGCCGACAGTTTTGCCTTCACCTCAGGCCTTCCTGACCAGGATCTGGTGGGGGGACATGGCCGCAGGCACGCCCATCCTGCGGCTGCTAGGAGCCTTCCTCTGCCCCGCCCTCGTCTATACCAACCTCATCACCTTCAGGTGGGTGAGGCCTGTGAGCTGCCCGGCCAGGACAGGCAGCAGTGCGAGTGCCGGAGCTACGGGGAGGGCCTGGGCCTCGCAGGTGCTGGTGGTAGCCTGACTCTGTAGCCCCCAAGTCCAGCCTCCCTGCGGGTCCCACTCCCCACAGCCCCTGCATCCCAGTGGGCACTTTGATGGCCAAGCGCCTGGAGCCAGGCAGGCGCCTCTGGGAGCCCTTCCTGCGGGCCCTGAGCTCTCCTGTGCTCGCAGTGAGGAAGCTCCCCTGAGGACAGGCCTGGAGGACCTGCAGGACCTGGACAGCCTGGACACGGAGAAGAGCCCGCTGTATGGCCTGCAGAGCCGGTGCGAGGCACAGGGCCAGGCAGGGTGGAGGGGACTGGCGGGTGGTGGCTGGGAGGCTGGACTCTGGTGGGGCACCCGGCTGGGCGCCAGCCTCACCACTGCGAACTTCTCTGCGGCACAGGGTGGAGGAGCTGGTGGAGGCGCCGAGGGCTCAGGGTGACCGAGGCCCACGTGCTGTCTTCCTGCTCACACGCTGGCGGAAATTCTGGGGCGCTCCCGTGACTGTGTTCCTGGGGAACGTGGTCATGTACTTCGCCTTCCTCTTCCTGTTCACCTACGTCCTGCTGGTGGACTTCAGGCCGCCCCCCCAGGGCCCCTCAGGGCCCGAGGTCACCCTCTACTTCTGGGTCTTTACGCTGGTGCTGGAGGAAATCCGGCAGGTCGGTGGCCACACTAGCCTAGGTCCCCTCCACTCTGCAGCTTCAGGTTGGGCAACCTAAGCTGGGTCCTGCCCTCGCAGGGTGGGGCTCCCCAACTGTAAAACAAGAACAGCATGGGGGCCTCCCATCTTCCCAGTCACCAGCGGCCATGATCCTGGTCAAAGACCGAGCCCTGAGCCCTGCTCCAGACTGAGCATGACCATGGTCTCCCTCGTCAGAGTCTGAACCCTGACCTGTATCACGGACTGAGTCCAGACACTGCATAAACTGATCCCTAGACCCTGGGCACAAAGAGGCCCTGGCCCCAAGTGGAGACTGACCTCACCTTCTGTCCCCAGACAGCCCTGGAATAGCTTCAGTGGACCCCTAGTCCCACTGGTAGCCTCGGCCCTGGTCATAGATGGAACCCTGATCCTTACAGATCCAAGCTTGTCCAGGTAGGGCTGTCCCCAGCGAGGGCGGCTGGACAGCTGTCAGTGGACTGCCCACCTCCCTCCCAGGGCTTCTTCACAGACGAGGACACACACCTGGTGAAGAAGTTCACACTGTATGTGGGGGACAACTGGAACAAGTGTGACATGGTGGCCATCTTCCTGTTCATCGTGGGTGTCACCTGCAGGTCTGTGGGGCCCAGAGGCCGTGTGGCCTCAGGGCGGCTTGTGGGCAGGCTTCCAGATGAAGCCACTCAGGTTGGGTGTGGCGGTGGCACTTGTGGTCCCAGCTACTCAGGAGGCTGAGGTGGGTGGGTCACTTGAGCCAGGGAAGTTGAGGCAGCAGCAAGCCGTGATCATGCCACTGCACTCCAGCCTGAGTGACAGAGCAAGACCCTGTCTCTTAAAAATAAATAAACAAAAGATGAAGCCACTCAGGGCCCAAGGAGTCCTGGCCTGGCCCTGGCCCTGCCCGCAGCCAGCATGCTGTGTGCCCCTGGGGAAGCCTCTGCCCCTCTCTGGGCCCCGCAGCCGCATCAGCCTCCCATCCTCCAGGATGCTGCCGTCGGCGTTTGAGGCTGGCCGCACAGTCCTCGCCATGGACTTCATGGTGTTCACGCTGCGGCTGATCCATATCTTTGCCATACACAAGCAGCTGGGCCCCAAGATCATCGTGGTAGAGCGCATGGTGAGCCCCCGGGGGCCCTGGCCCTGGCCCTGGAGGGACAGCAATCCCCTGCCTGGGCCCCACCCGGCTGGCCGCTGACGTCCCTCTCTCTGCCCCTGCCCCGTGGAGATGAAGGACGTCTTCTTCTTCCTCTTCTTTCTGAGCGTGTGGCTCGTGGCCTACGGTGTCACCACCCAGGCGCTGCTGCACCCCCATGACGGCCGCCTGGAGTGGATCTTCCGCCGGGTGCTCTACCGGCCCTACCTGCAGATCTTCGGCCAGATCCCACTGGACGAGATTGATGGTTTGCACACAGCCAGCGGGGGCAGGGGCAGGGAGAAATTGGAGCCCTGTGTGCACAAGCCCTGGGCATGAGGCTCTCCAGAGAGGTCTGTTGGGGCCATGGAGACCCCAGCCTGGAGCAGAGATGGGAGAAGTGGCTGAGGCCTGGTCCCCAGGCCCCCCACACCCCAAAGGGCCAGGCCTGGTTCCTGAGGTAGAGGCAGCTCCAGTCACGGAGCCCCGACCTGGGACCTGGGGCCTTGGGCTGGGAAGGAGACACAAGGAGACCCCAAGGCAGCCAGGGCTGCCTCCTGCTTGGGGAGGCCAAGCAGCAAGTCTTGCTCTGGGGGTGGTCTATCGGTGGGGAAGGGATAGGCAGGCACTAAGGGCACAGAGTGGGCCCAAAGGCTGTCCCAGCCATCATCCGGGGTCTGGGCCCTCCAGCTCTCCTCACAGCCCCTGGCCTCTGCCCTCCCACAGGGCCCTGCTTGGCCTAGGGCACCCACCAGAGCCCCTACGCCGTCCTGCTGGCAAGGCCCCTTCGCCATTTGGCCGCTCCTAAAGGCACCCTGGCTGCTCCTGGGGACCCACCCCAATGTGTGTGTGTGGCCTGCCCATGCCTATGGGTGTCCCCAGGCCGACCCCTGTAGCTGGCTGGGGCTGGTGGAGGCTCTGGAAACTTTTTCATAAGCCAGTGCAGTGGGGAGGGGGCGGGGGTCAGAGCCGCTTGGCCATGGGGGCCTCTGTAGTGATGGGTTGGTGGGGAGCTCTGGGGTGGGGCAGGGACCTGTGCAGGCCCCTGGGATGGCTGGGACTCAGTGAGGAGCCCCAACCTGGAAAGGGACGCACCCCTCTGGGAAGGTGGACCAGCAGCCAGCCCGCCCCTGGGGCCCTCGAGGGGTGCCGCAGACTTGGAGACCCGGCAGAGAAGGTGCAGGGAAACTGCTCAGGCGGTGTCAGGCGGCTGGGGCTGCCCGGCACGGGGCAGTCATGGCACAACGTGCTGCCCAGGCCTGACCCCGACCTCTGTGGAGTGGCGCTCAGGACCCTCGATAAATATTTGTTGAGGGGATGACGGCCAGACCGGAGCAAACACAGGCCTCCGGGGACAGGCGGGGGCGACGCCGTGATGGAAACCGCCTCTCCCAGCGCGGCTCATTTCCTTGGGCTGTTTTCTCAGCCCCCGCAGCCCCTCCTGACATTTTGGTGTTTGCTCATCACAGGCATTCATTTTCCAGGCCATTAGTTTAACCAGACCCTGCCTGCCTGCGACCCCACCTCGCCCTCACCATACGGCCTCCAGCACTGCCCGTCCGCAGGGCCCCTCGGGGCAGGAGGAGCTCTAGACGGGCGCCTCCAGCCAGGGCAGGGTTGGGGGTCCCCTCTTTCTTGAGTGGCTGCATCTCTGGTGGGCCAGTCTCAGCGACTCGTATGAGGAGACAGGCCTGGCCATAGCCTCCTTCTCGACGGGAGAAGGCAGGGAAACAGACTCCCGAGGGGCCCCTGCTCCGAGTGCTGCCTCAGGGAGGTCTGCGGTGCTGCGGGGATCTCAGAGCCCCGTGCTGAAACGCCTGCAACAGGGCCAGCCCCGGCCGCCCACTGAGAGTCTCAGACTTGTCACTTCCCCTCCCTGAGCTGCAATTCCTTGGGCTCCGTTCAGCTGCCGAGCAAGTATCTGGGCCCTTCAGGTTGAACCCCAGCCACTCACTGTGACCCAGCCCCTCATGCTGCTAGGCAGGGAGTTATTCACTAACACATGCTGGGCTGAGAGGGAGACTGAGGCTCAGACAGTTCCTGTACAGCCTGCAGGTCTCCTCAGAGCCCAGAACAGACCCCTGCCCCACTCTGCACTCGTGCCGAGCCGGAGCTGGGGTTGAGCTGTGGTGACGAGCTTGTTCTCTGGGTCTCCAGGCCCCAGGGACAATTTAATTTCCAGCCCGGCCTGGTGGCGCCTTCCCAAATCACAGAGTCGGGGAGGGTGTGGGGGTCTCATTCCTCAGAGCTGCCTTTATCAGACAGATTTACGGCTTCACAAACAGGCTCTCCAGGCTGGCCCCGGCCCGCTCCTCCAGAGTGCAGGGAGGAGAGGGGGTCATCAGTCTGCCCAGGAACAGATTCATGGGCTGGAGGTGGCCAGGGCGGACAGAGGAGGGGCAGGCCTAGGGTGGGAGCGTGGGGAGGGCTGGCGCTCACTGACTGCCAGTGCACACACAGACACTCAATAACTCACACACGGGCCAACGCGTCACACTAACTCACTCGGGAGAAACAAGGCAGGAATTCACCCTAGGAGGGAGAACGGACCCCTCCAGCTCAGGACCCAGGCACAGAGGCAGGAACCTGGGAACAAGGAGACCCCCCAGAACCCACCGCAGGGCAACCTGGAGCTGGCAGGCACTAAGATACACTTGAATGTGCCCGTGTGTGCCAGTGTGCTCACACGCAGACTCACACATGAGCATGTGTGCCAGGCACATCCAATCACATGTACAGGCTCACACAGACACACGCCAGCGTGCAGGCTGGGGAGGGAGGAGAGAGCGGAGCTCCCATTCGGATATGGAGGGGATATGTGGTCCTGGACGGCCAGGGCACACTCTGGCCTCTGGCTGGGACCCTGAGCACCCTGACGCCCACTGCGGCTCCTTCCTCCCTCCTCCCTCCTCCTGCCCCGCAGGCTGGGGTGGGGTGAGGGTCCAGGGTTGAGCCCTACAAGGGAGAAGCAGGTGTGAGGGTCTGGTTTTAAGGGACTGGAGTGAGATCTGCCACCCCTCCAGGGTGTCCCTGCCCAGGGCCGAGGGAGCTCAGCCTGCAAGCTCCCAGAGTGTGCCGCCTGAAGAATGTTCTTGACTTGAGTGGCCCAGTGCGGGATCGGTGCCCTCAGAGCTTGCAGCAAGCCCAGTCTGGAGCCTGCTGGCTCAATACATTTTGGAAAGGTGGCGGAATTACTTGCCAGCTTGGGGTTTAATCACAGGCATTAGTGCTGTAGAGGCTCTGAGAAGTCCTGGGCCCCATCTCCCTTTCCTCGGCAGCTCTCCCCAAACCTTCAACAGCAGAGGCTTTTTTCGGAGGAGGGGTGGAGGTTTTAACACATCCAACAACCAGGAGAAACCTGGGTCCCGTGACCCCTCTGTCCCCCACCTTCCATCCCTCCAGGGGTCTTGGCTCTACTTCCAGGGCCTGTGATCTTGGCTGACTCCAGCCCCTGGTGGAAGCTCAGCAGACATGGCAGAGGGGGCCCAGGGTGGGGCTCACCACCCGTCTGGTTCTGGTTTGCTGTGATGGGGCTTTCACTGCTAAAACCCAGGCCGCCCTGGGTGAACTGGGACAGTGGGTCACCCAACCAGCACCCCGTCCCCTGGGTTCAACACCAGGACTCAGCGCTCTATCTCGGGGCATTTGCCTAAGGCCGCCCTTGTGGCTGCCCCCGGTCTGGTCCCCACAGCACCCTTGCTTTCCAGAAGCCCGTGTGAACTGCTCCACCCACCCACTGCTGCTGGAGGACTCACCATCCTGCCCCAGCCTCTATGCCAACTGGCTGGTCATCCTCCTGCTGGTCACCTTCCTGTTGGTCACCAATGTGCTGCTCATGAACCTGCTCATCGCCATGTTCAGGTGACTCCACCCAACCCCTGGAGGAGAGAGCCCTGGAGCGGAGGGAGCAGAGGGTCATTCCCCAACACCGCCTCCTTTGCAACCCACCTGGTGTGCTGCAGAGGGTGAGGCTTGGTGCCTCAGGGCAGATAGAAGGTGGCATAGCCTGGACTGCAGGGCTTTGCCTGCCCAAGACCGGGAACTCTGTGGGCCACCCTCCCAGTCCCAGGAAGCAGGGCCTGGGTCTTTGGGGGACCGGTGCTGTGGCAAGAACTCTGGGCTTGTCCAGGAGAGCAGAGTGGACAGGGGAAGACCCAAGGAGAGTGGACCCCTCGTGACACACCCCAGAGGCAACGCAGAAGCAGTGCTGGGCCTCAGTTTCAAAAAGGGCTCCCCAACAGCAATCAGGGTGCAGGGGGATGCGTCCCCCAAGTGGTCGTGGGGAGCCGGTAGGTGACGGCTCAGCTGTGCCCCTGCAGCTACACGTTCCAGGTGGTGCAGGGCAACGCAGACATGTTCTGGAAGTTCCAGCGCTACAACCTGATTGTGGAGTACCACGAGCGCCCCGCCCTGGCCCCGCCCTTCATCCTGCTCAGCCACCTGAGCCTGACGCTCCGCCGGGTCTTCAAGAAGGAGGCTGAGCACAAGCGGGAGCACCTGGGTGAGGCCGAGCACAAGCGGGAGCACCTGGGTGAGGCCGAGGTGGCGGGTCCCAGGGCGGGGCTGTGCGCTGGAGGCAGGTCTGGAGAGACCTGGACCCCTCCTCAGCCCTGTGGGTCCTCAGCTGGGCTCTGTGCAGGCTGGCACAGCTGAGCCCGTCCACCCGCAGCTTGGCCGTCCTTGCACAGGGCCATGCTTGCCCTCCATCCCTGGCTGGGCCCCACTCACTCCTTCTGCCTGGCCCACCTCGCCCCGGGACCAGGCCTGGGCTCTGCCACTGACGCCCACATGCTCTAGTAATGCTGGCTGCCACCTGGCTTTCCCAGAGAGAGACCTGCCAGACCCCCTGGACCAGAAGGTCGTCACCTGGGAGACAGTCCAGAAGGAGAACTTCCTGAGCAAGATGGAGAAGCGGAGGAGGGACAGCGAGGGGGAGGTGCTGCGGAAAACCGCCCACAGGTGCGGGGGCCTGTCCTGATCACTGGTGGGTATCGGGCTGTCTTTAAGCGGGGATGTGCCATTGGCGCCAGTGACAGAGGATCTGAGCTGGCGAACTGAAGCTGAAGGGGTAGGGGCAGGGCTCTGGCCGAGCCCAGGGGCCTAGCTTTCCAGCCTGACCTGTGCAGGACCCTGCTGGGACGCCTGGCCAGGCAAAAAGGGAGCGTGCACAGTGACCGTGGCGCCCTCCCTGCTGTGGTCTCAGGGTTGGGACTACCCACCCCTGGCTTCCCTCCAGCCCTGGCTCCAGGGGCCTGTCCCCGACTGCCTGCCCTGCACCGTCTTTCTGGGTGGTGCGCCCAGGCAGGGATGGCACCCTAGCCCTACTGGGAAGGCATAGAGCGCTCTGTACTGCACCAGGTGCACTTTGAGGGGTCCTGGTGCCACCAGATCTGGGCATGAGGGAGGAAGGGAAAGGGCCAGGGCACCCCAAACTCGGGCACACAGGGAGGCCTGGGGGGATGGGGAGGCTCCCCACACGCAGAGCACCGCGTGGCCATCCACAGCCTGACCACCTGCTCCTGCCGCAGAGTGGACTTCATTGCCAAGTACCTCGGGGGTCTGAGAGAGCAAGAAAAGCGCATCAAGTGTCTGGAGTCACAGGCAAGCGAGCCCCAGAGCTCCTCTCCCTGATGGGAGGCGGGTGGCTGCGTGGGGCTACTGGGATGGGTCCACAGCCCTGCCCGGTCACTCACAGAGATGAGGCAGGCCAGAGCCAGGACAGGAGCACCCCAGTGGGCAGAGGAGCGTTCTGGGGAAGACAGGCCGTCCCCACCTGTGCCTCCTCCCACCCTGCCACTTGGGAGGCTACAGCCTTAAATGAGGGGTCTCACATTGAAGACCCCTCGCCTTTCACTCTACACGCCTCACGGGAGCCTCACTCACCCCTGCCTGTGAGCGGCAGCTCTCAGAGGGAGGAGTCACAGGGCAGCGGGGGCCCTGGCAGGAGAGGGGAGATGGGGAGGCTGCCTGTCCCCTGCTGTCCTGAGAGAGCCCTGGAGCTTCCCGGACGTGTTTCCCTTCTCCAGATCAACTACTGCTCGGTGCTCGTGTCCTCCGTGGCTGACGTGCTGGCCCAGGGTGGCGGCCCCCGGAGTAAGCCTGTTTGGGGAGCGTGGGATGAGGGTGGGCATGGGCACCCACTCTGCAGCGGCTGGGGGGCCGTAGGCTGTGCTGTGTGCTCTGCCTTCCCTGCCTGGCCCGGGAGTCTCAGGAGGCCTTGGCTGGACGCGGCTCTTCAGGGTGGTGTGGGTGCCCTCTGACGGAGTCCCTGCCTTGGCCAGGGCCGAATGTGCTTCACTCAGACTCTTGAGGCTCTGCCTGGCGTGGGCCCTATTGGACTGTCCTGCTCAGCAAGCAAACGGGCCCCTCGGCCTCAAGGGGGCTGCTTTCCTAGTCCCAGGAGTGCAGGCAGAGGCCTGGTTGTCTCTGGGCTCCCCATCTTCCCCAGGCTGGCCTGTGGGGACTCACTCTGAGAGCCACGGCGTCCTGGCCCTTGCCTCTGAGCCAGCTACCTCTCCCCTTCCTGGGCCTGCCTTGCTGGTTCCCACCGCTCAGGGGGGCCTTCCTTCCCAGCAGGCTCTCAGCACTGTGGCGAGGGAAGCCAGCTGGTGGCTGCTGACCACAGAGGTGGTTTAGATGGCTGGGAACAACCCGGGGCTGGCCAGCCTCCCTCGGACACCTGAGCTGCTTGGCCTGCCACGTGTGGGGCCACCTCTCCTCAGCTGGCCACCCTGCACGTTGTGCACTGACCTTTGCCGACCTCCAGCGGAACCCCCCAGGGGGCACCAGCCCCCCAGCAGACAATGGCCCTCCTGGTGCCTCACCACAGACCCTCACCCAAAGGAACCGCTCCTTGTCCCTCCTGGCCTCCCCGGAGGCACAGCAGTGTCATGGGGCTGTCTCCCCTGACAGGCACAACTCCCCGGGCAGAAAACGTGCCCCACCGCATCCCTACCTGGAAACTGACCAGCCTGCACTGTGGAAAAGCTGGCCCTGTGGCGTGACGGGGGAGCACCCCCATCCAGACTGCGAAGCTGCTCTGGGGTCTGCACCCACCCCTGCCCTGACTTGTGTTGCCTGACAAGAGACTCATCTTTTTTTGAAACACTGGTGGTTAGAATTTCTGTCACTTAAGACCCAAAAGGTCCTTTGGGGCTCAGGTGACTGGCTCCTGGAAGACAGGGCTGGGCATCCACTGCATCTGTCAGCTGTCCCCCTGACACCCGATGGCCAGTACAGCACACACTGGTGTTTATGGCCCCAAGACAAAGCCCCTGCTGGCACCAGTGGCTGCTTTATCTTCAGTGGAGCCTGGAAAACACTGTACCCCACGTGGCCCAGATAAAACTGGACCCCAGGCTCAAACACCTGCCCAGGCCCCCCAACTGCCCACTCACCCCAGCCTCCTCTGTCCACACCCATTTTGTCATCTCCCTTTCGCTTCCCAAGCTGTGGTCTGCACTAGGCCTGGGGCTGATGGCATCATGTGGGCTTTGGTTGGGGGAGGGCAGATTCTGTACCCACTCAGGCCCATTGAGGGCACTCACTGGACACCTGCCACTGAGCCACAAGCCCTAGAGGAGGCCTGGGGTTTCCAATTCTCACTGTCACCTGGGTGATGTGCTGGTGAGGGATGCAGGTGTCAGCCACCCTCGAGTGGTCCGGCACCGAGGGTCAGGTGTGGGGAGCTCTTGCTGCCAACTGAGCCCTTTGGGTAAGCAGGGCCCAGATAGACACAAAGTCTCAGAAAGACCCAAAACCTTTATTGTCCCTACCAGGGAGCCAGTGCTTCCAGCCCACACCCCACACCCCAGGAGCTTCAGCAAGGTCTCTGCTTGGGAGGATGCTGCCCAGAACTGCAGCCAGGGCCACCGGTGCCACCTGCAGGCTTCCTCCCATTCCAGCTAGGCAGTGGCCAGGCTGCCCCCTGACCAGCCCCACTGGGAAGGCAGCAGGATGGCAGTGGCCAGTGGGGTCAGGCTGGGCCATCTCCCTCTCAGACCTCAGCACCTGGGTCCTCGGGGCTGCTGCTCTTGTTCCGGAAGTGGTCTCGACTCCGCTTCCTGCTGCCATGGAAGCCAACAGTTTCCACCGGCGGGAGACCTGGCACAGACCCACTGTGGACAGACCCTGACAGTGCCTCCACCTCCTGCAGGCCTCCATGGTGGCTGCCCCACTCCTCAGCCTCTGGGCTCCCGGGCCCGGCCAGATGGGCCAGCTCCACAGGGCCCTCGCCCCTGTCTGTGGCAGGATTCCCAAGGCCGCCCCTGCCTGGCTCTCCCACCTTCCCCAGGACCCTCTTCCTCTCGTGTCTGGCTTCGACCCCTCGGACTGGTTTGGTGAAGATGACCCTCCCCTCCCCACAGCTGGAGGGATCCTGGTTGAAGGAGGACACGCAGTCAGTGGGGGCAGCCAGGCTCTGGGAGCCCAGGAAGGCCAGGGCGGTGGCCTGATTGCTCTGCTCGCTGACCTCGGTCACATCTTCCAGGCTGTACTTGGTCCAGCGCTCGGGGTGTGCCACGTAGTCGGGGACCGGAGGCACCCTTGGTGAGGCAGGGCTCCGATGGGCCCTGCCCAGGCCTTCCACTGGAGACCGGCCTGAGGGCGCTAGGGGCCGCTTGAAGCCTCCGTTGTCACTCATGCTGGTGTGGGCCACAGAGGATGGAGCCCGTCTGGCCGCCCCCTCCAGGCAGTCAAAGATGTCACGGCTGCGCTGGGAGAAGGTGGAGCTCATGCCTCTCAGATGGAATGGCTGCACCGTGGCTGGGAGGAGGCCTGACGGGGGTGAGGGCGGCTCATCAGGACCTGAATCCTCCTCCCCAGGCAGCCCCATCGGGGACAGTGCTTCCACTTCAGCACCACCGGGCAAGCTGAGGTCAGAGTCCGAGTCACTGAGGGAGACTGTGTCGGAAGGCAGCGTGTCATACTCCGTCCCGTGTTCGCCCTCCACGCTGGGGGACGGCTCACCTGTTCCTGCCTCAGCCATGCGTCCCCAGGGCCACGCCACACCTAAACCAAAACAGCCCAGAAAATTTGTTTCTCAGGAGGAACAGTATTGAGAATGAGTTCCCCCTGCAGATCCACTGCCCCTGGACAAGTGGAGGGTCAACTGACAGAACTGTCCCACACAGGGTGGAGTCCCGCCTCCCCCTCCAAGCCCTCCTCTCACCTCTCTTGGCTGCTGGGTGCCAGTGGTTGACACTGGAGTGTGATTGGACAGCCAAGCGGGCCAAGTGGACGGAGCCCTGATGAAGGTCCTCAGCGGCACAGGCGTGGTCGTCTCAGGCCTCGGAGTGCCCCGGCATGGCCTCTGTTCAGCTGCTCAACTGCAGGTGGGTGGGGTGGGGGAGAGGACCAACCTCAGACCGGAGTGTACATGTGTGAAACAGGTGCCGGGCAGGACCGACCTGAGCCTGGGTTTTCGGAGCCCCTGACAGGCTAGGACCCAGGGTAGGGACTTTTGACTCGTTACCTCATTTAATGGTGCCAACCCTCTGCAGGCAGGCTTGGAGCTACTGAGCGATTTTGGTAGTAAGCAGCCACCCAGGGCTTGAACCCAGGGCTGAAATCAGGCAGGAGGGCCACTTATAAGCTGCTTGCTGTGCGGGGTGAGCAGTCGTATTCCACAAAGAGCGTGCACCTTCCTGATCCACGGGGAAAAGATTTGCTCCTATTTGCTGGAAGATCCCCGGGAGCTCCCAAGGAATCTGCAGCCAAGGCCCTGGCATCTGAGGGTCAAGCTCTCAGGAAAGTGGGGTGTCGACCATCACCTTGAGCAGCCCTGTTAGGCAGAGGTAAATCCCCGCGGCTCCTGGAGCGACCTCCAGTGGCCTTCCACCTGTAACACTCAGCACATACCCTGCCTTTCCAGCTGGGCAGACAAGTGCTGCCTCCTGCACCCATTTAGTGCTGGAGTGACTGGGTGCCTCAGAACTTGAATTTCCAGGCAAAAAAAGACGGCCCAGCCACACCCTTCTGCACTGTCCTCAGCCATCCATCCACCGACTCCTCTCCTGCTACCAAAACTCCTTGCCCGCCCAGAGTGACCTGTGTCTTGTGCACCCAATAAGGATGGGGTCAGGGGTACTATCAGGGGCTCTTAGTGCCCCCCACCAGGTCGAACACAGGCAGGACCTCAGTTCCTCTGAGGCGCGACTCTCCTCAGTGAAGAAGCCACCCCAGTGAAAGGGGATACGCAGCACCCCCCACTGATGACCGTTTTAAAGCTGGCAGGAACGGGGCGGGGGAAATAATTTGCCCAAGTCACACAGTATGTTGCAGACGAAGCTGGAGTTCAACCAGAACCCTGCTTCCCAGATTCGCACTCCCGTCCTCTGCAGCGGAACGCCGCCGCGGCCAGAAGCAGCCTGGTCAGCGGGGCACTCCGACGGGTAGCGGGGATCGGGCTGCAAGATAGGGACTCCGGTAGTCCGTTTCTCGGGGTTCTCGGCGAAAGCCGGCAACGAGTGGAAGGTAGAGTTGACTCCTTCATGTCCGTAGGCTGAAGGAAGCCGTCTCTTTCTCCACATGAACGCAGAGCCCGGCCTTTCTCCACTATATGTGCCAGCAAGACCTCCCCGCCAGAGAACAAACGAACTCTCGGTGCCAAGCTGGCTCTCGGTGCCCCTCGGCACTGTCCAGTCGGGCTGGACAGGCCTCCGGGCCTCACAAGGATGCTGTGGGTCCCAAGGGCCCGGCCGCGAGGTACGGGGGTCGGCGAGCACAGCGGGGCCTTCGAGCTCAGGTATTAAAGCTGCGCTCGGTGACCTCCCGGAGGCTCGGCCGGCCCGCGCGGCCCGTCCTCCCTCACCACAAACCTACCGGCTCAAGGCTGCTCGGCAGTCTCCATCTTGGTCGGCGCCGCACCTCCGTGCGGCGCGCTCAGCCCTCTGGGAAACCGAGTGCTCTGCCGGCCGAGCACCACGGCTTCCGCGCCTGCAGAACTACAGCTCCCACAAGGAACTGGGCCGCCGCTCCCGACGCCTGTCGGGACGTGTAGTCCTGTGCGCATGCGCTCGCCCCTCTACTCCTCCACGCCCCGGCCCTTGGGTCCGGCTCGGAAGCAGCCCCGGAAACGACGGCATTTGTTGGGGAAACAAGACCGGAATTGACCAAGAACAGGAAGAGGAGGGGCCAGGCCTGCAATTCCCAGAATGCTCGAGGGCTAACCGACAGCCAGGCTGGCTTCCCGTGGTCTCAGCGCCACCTGCCGGAAGCCGCGAGAACAGCGGCCGCCTCAGGCAGGAAGTGCGTCATCTCGCACGGAGGACGAATGCCGTTCCCGGCACTTCCGGTCCTGACCGGAAGCGGTAACCGTCACTCCTTCTGGGCTCTGTCAGTGCACCGAGGCGGGGCTCCCCAGGATCCCACGGTCCCGCTCAGGCCAGACGCAGAGGCAGTCCCAGCCCGCGATGAGGACGTGGGGTCGTGACCGCTGGGCCACGGTGAAGGGGGCAGCCCTGCTGGACCCGCTAGCTGGGCCGACGCTTTCCCACCCCTAGGGGTTTGCTGGGCCCTGGCCGCAAACTTGTGGGGCGCCGTCCTCGGGGCCACTGCCCGGCCACCCTCACACCCTTGGGCCCTCAGCTCTGGTGCATTGGTCCGGGCTCCGGGAGGCACTGAGACGTCCCCCTAGGGCGCTGCAGGGAAGCGAGGGCCAGGCCCTTCCAGGTCCCCGGTCCTCCCGGGCAGGATGGAGGCTGCTGAACGCTCCTCAAGCTTCCAAGTCAGCCGTGGCTGGGCGGGCGGCAGCAGGGAAGGTTTGGGCTCCGCCATGCTTGCGAGCCAGCAGCCTGGCCTCGCCTGTCCGCAGCAGGGGGCAGGTCAGCTGCCCGCCCTGAAAGGGAGGACCAGGGCCCAGATTCTCCCTGCGACAAGCCGCGTCTTCCTTGGCCACTGGGCCCTAGATGGTTGGCACCTTGTGCCCCTTCTCAGCTGGGAGAGTTCCTGCCCCACACACTCAAGGATTCTGAGTTCTCCTTGGCTGCTAGACCTCTGGTCCCTCTGAAAGGCTCGAGAGAGAACTCCCCCAGGGCCTGCTGTCCTGGCATCCGCTGGGAAATAGGATTCAAGGACCTGCTGTGGCTCAGCCTAGAAAAAAGGAGGGGAAGCAGGACCCACTCCTCGGCCCCCGGTCTGCTGTGCGCCTTTGGGATTCCTTATTTCTTAAACTGCTCTTCCCTCCCCACAGGGAACACAGCGGAAAGTAGAGAGGGGGCTCCTTGGACCATTATGTTCTCCCAACCAGTGCAGGCTTGCAAGTTGGGAGCAGCAGGGGAGGAGGGCCTGCTGAGAGACTCTGTAACCCCCTAAAATGCAGGGCTGGGGACAGTTTCCAAATTGGCCTGCAAAGAGGCTGCTGGGAGCCCTAGATATGAATTCCCAGGCACTCATTTCCTCCAGGGAACAGTGAAATGTGCCAGCACCCCCCTCCCCACAACTAGGGAAAAGTAGCCTAACCCAGAGCAAGCCCCACCCCACGATGTGGGGAAAGATAGGAGAGTCTAGACCAAGCCCACTGGCTGGAGGTGCTCAGACAAAGGGAAAAGGACGGGGGAGTGCAGGGGCTCCTTAGCCCCACAGCCTGTCTGCCCCCAACCACCGCTCGCTGGTGGGCTGGGGGGGCTCCCTAGTAGGATGAGGTCTTTCTTCCCCTCCAGACCCTCTGAGATGTGGCTCAGGCCTGAGCCATCAGCTCCTCAAAGGAACATTTACAGGTAACAGATGGGCAGGGCAGAGACCCTCAAATGCTCGGGAGGGGGCAGTGTGTCCATCCTTTACCATCCCTCAGGAGGAAGAGGAGTCCTGCAGCGCACCCAGCCCCTACCCCAAGCCCATCTCACTGCATTCCCTGGCTGCCCGACCCCTCCTGCCCACCTGCTTACACTGTGTGCCCCTTGTGTGCCCAAGGGGCAGGGTGGAAGTGGCTGCAGGCAACACAGGGCCTCTCCCAAAAGAGAATAGAGAGAACGCTCCCAAAAAGGGCCCTTGCTACCTGGAGTTGCTCCCTGGTTTAAACCCAAAGTAAAATTCTAAGCAACCCCAACCAACTGAATGGGCACCTCTTGGCCAAATGCATTCTAAAGTAAACCTGAAAAGCTCGTTGAGGCCATGATGACTGTGGGTGGCCGAACATGCCTCATAGGCACAGCTGACCAGCATTCACATTAAAACAGAGACCTTAGTCCGGTGTGGTGGCTCACACCTGTAATCCCAAAACCTGGTGTGTCACGTGAGGTCAGGAGTTCGAGACTAGCCTGGCCACCGTGGCGAAACACCGTCTCTACTAAAAATACAAAATTAGCTGGGTGGGGTGGTGCATGCCTGTTGTCCCAGCTACTCAGGAGGCTGAGGCAGGAGAATCGCTTGAACCTGGGAGGTGGAGGGGAGGCTGCAGTGAGCTGAGATCACGCCATTGCACTCCAACCTGGGTGACAAGAGCAAAACTCTGTCTAAAAATAAAAAGACCTTAAGACTCACAAAACAGACTCTGTAGTAATAAGATACCAACGTGACAGCAGGCCCTGAAAGAAACCGAAGTATTTTACCCCAAAATATATTTCTCTGATGTATTTTGAAATGGCCCTGCAAAGCTGTCTCTTGGGAAAATCTACATTCTATAGAGAATCCCCCTCCCTTTCCAGGTCTATTTCCTGATCCAGGAGAGAATTAACTAAGATTCTGGTACCTTTTTAAGTCTGATAAGAAACATTTACAATCTGGCGGCTTCATCTGCATAATAATCTTGGTCTCCACAACTCCTCTTAACCCAGATAGTCCATTCTATTGATTTCAGGTCTTTAGATAAAATCAACCAATTATTAATCAGAACATCTTTTAATCCGCCTATGACCTGAAAGTCCCTCCCCTTCAAATCGTCCCACCTTTCCGACTAAACCAACGTACATCTTAGATGTAATGATCAATGTCCTATGTCCCTAAAATGTATACAATTAAGTAGCCAGACCGCCTTGGGCACAAGTTCTCAGGACCTGGGGCTGTGTCACAGGCCACCGGTGCTCATATTTGGCTCAGAATAAATAACTCCCCAAATTTTACAGAGTGACTCCTTTGGTGAACACCAGGGATCCCGACCCACCCACCCTCACCCTGGACCCCACAGAGTCCACAGAGCCAAGCCCCACCGATGTCAGATTCCCCTGCCCTCCGGCCAACCCCTAGGTCTCAGACACCACTGGCACTGAGGGACTGCACAGGCCTGGTAGCATGCCTGATGTTCCTTCTTTATTAAATGACGGAGTCAGGATGTTGTGATTACAGTTGAAGGCGACGTGTTAGAAAGGACAGGTGCATGAAGGCAGAGAGTGCCCACAGACTCGGCTCTCGAACCGGGGCAGGAGGGAACAAGGTGAGCTGTGCAGCCCACAGGACGGGCGGGCTGGGTGGACACAGCCCCCCAAGTTGGCCAAGCTGAGTCTCTGGGCGAGTGGCTCCCAGGAGAGGCCTGGCTGAGCAGGCAGAGCACCCTGGGACCCCAGGGCAGAAGGACCCCTGCCCTCCAGTCCCCAAGACCCAGGCCCGTCTCCACTCATACACGCCACCTACATGTGACGTCAGCCCTGAAAAGGTAACAGGAAAGTTCAGAACAAAAACAAAACCCCAAAAGTAAAAAGGCTACGTGTAGCAGAGTAATACCGGAAACGTTATATACACAGGCGGTGATGGCCCCCTCGGAAGTGTCCGGGTCACTTAGGGGGCACTGCAGAGGTCCCTGTGGCCAGAGCTGCGGGGCCTCAGTACACGGAGCTGTTCCGGATGCCACAGCACAGCACCATGCTCAGGATCATCTCGAAGATCTGCAGGAGGGTGGTGGGGGGCGCAGTCAGCACAAGGCCCCGCGGAAGGGGCAGCCCAGAGAGCAGGCCCTCCGCCCCCGCCCGCTCACCATGATCACAGCGACCACGATGGCAGCAATGCCGATGAGGTACAGCTTCCCGGAGAAGAGGTCATCGATCTTCTGGTGGCAGTCCTCCTGCAGGGGTGGCCAGGCACGCGTGGTCAGGGACCGGGCCTCGGCTCCCGGCTTCCCGTTGTCACGCAGTAATCCGTGGTCACCACAGAAAGCGTAGAGGGGAATCCTGGGAACAGCCCCCCACCCCCTACCCACCTCGGAACAGGCGGGTGCAGCGGCCCGGCCTCTGCCGGCTTGCTATCTTCCACCCGTTTTAACATAAACGCGAAATGCCTGGGACACACTGTGCCCTTTTCCACTGAGATCACGGTCATTGGTGTCACTAGACCCCTAAAGCATCACTGATGACGACTTCCACTGAGGCCTCAGCAGGAAACTTCCACAGGGCACTATATGGCCTGCAGGCCCTGCCAGCTACAGGCTGTCAGGGGCGTCCACACCCACGAGTGCACACGTGGAGCTGGGGGTGCAGGTGAGTTCCCACCCCCCAGAGCCTCCACCTTCTTCACCCGGAATGCGCAGCACAGGGCGCCTGCCTTCCTCGTGGGCCAGATGCGGTCCCACCCCAACCCTCCCAGCAGAGCAGCCCTGACAGGGGCCATGCCACCCAGTGTGGTCGCTCCCTGTGGGGCTGCCGTGTGACCTGCCCACCCCTAGGACCCCACCCAGGGGCGGGACATGCGGGGGGTCAGGCGCGGCCCCACCGGCCTCGCGCACCTTGAAGAGGTTGCTGATGATGTTGCTGCCCGAGGGACACAAATTGTTCTTGAGCACTGAGGTGGTCAAAGCAGTCAGTGTGCTGGAGCCACAGCAGTCAAGCTGCAGAGAGCAGGGGTGCAAGGTCAGCCCTGGATGTGCCCAGGGGGACGGTGGCTCTAGGGAACCCATGGGGAGGTGGCCAGGGGTACGCAGCGCTCCCCACTGCAGAATGCATCCAGGGGCCAGCCTTCTTCCTCCTCAGCTGCGCTGCTCAGAGCTTTCCGCACCCTGGGCCACCCTGGCCCACTAGGTTCCCACCCGAGGACCAGTTGAGACCAGGGGTCCTGGAGGTCCCAAGGGCACCTCCTGCTCCTGAGGTCTGGGCGTAGGCAGGATTCATCCAGGACGAGACACACCCCGCCGGGTTCCCGGGGCCCTGCTCCCCGCCCTCGCCCCCCGGGGCCGCACCGTCTCGTGGAAGGTCTTCACCACAGCCTTGGCGTTGTTGGCGTCATCATCCACCACGGCCTGCTGTAGGGCCTGGTCATAGAACTGCTTCACATCCTTGGCGATCTGGGGGAGGGGTGCGGTCACATGCACAGGGGGAACCTCCCCCTCCTTGCCCCCACCCCGCCCCGCCCCAGGCGGACGCACTTTTCCCAGGCTCTCCCTGGGCAGGGTGGCTTCGAGGCTAGACCCCAGAGGACAAGGACTCTGCACTCTCAGCTGCCCCGGGAGTGCTGGGACACGGGAGGCTGGCCTGGTGCTCAGCCCCAATGCTGCCTCCTCCATAAAGCCCCTGGAGATCCTCCTGGCAAGTGGGACCCAGGAAGAGCCCAAAGAGCTCCCACAAGCCATGAGTCAGCCCAACCCCCACCCGCGACAGGAGAGGAGGGTGCCCCCGTCACCCACCCCACCCTGTCCCTGCACACCCAGGCTCACCTGGTCCTTGTTGACAAAGCCCCAGATGCCGGCGGCCACCTCACAGGCAAACAGGATGACCAGGCAGGTGAAGAACTGGAGCCGGGCAGTGGCCAGAGGGAGGAAAGAGGGCAGGCTGTAGGCGGGGCCCAAGGACACACACCCAGGTGCCCAGCAGGCGTGTCTGTGAGGGGCTAGTGGGAGCCACCAGCCCACGACCTGACCAGGAGTGAGCGGCTTGTGTGGAGCCCTGGGGCACAGAGGCTAAAACTCAGCGCAGGGAGGAGCCGTCAAAGCCCAGGATGTCCCCACGCGGCACCAGGCTCCACAGGACGGGGTGGATGGGGCGGGGCGTGTGGTTTGGGGTCACAGGCTGGTGAGTCCAGGATGTCTGCAGCCCCCAGGGAGGCGTGTGCAGCAGCATGACCCCTGACTGATCTTCCCCACCCCCTTGTTCCTGCTCCCCACGGAAGGGGGAGCCATGGGATCTGCCTCAGTTTCCCCCACTGGAGACACGGGCATAGGCTCCCTCTTCCTGGACTGGCCAGGCCCTGGATGGCACAGCCAGGCCTGGGCTTCCCACAGGGGGCGGTGTGCCCGGGACGCCGAGGCTGGCCTCAGAGCTGAGGCTTGCTCCCTGTTATATTTGTGGCTATTTTTTGACAAAGAAAAGCGGTCACGTAGGAACTGGCCACGATGGAGACCAAGCACGGTGGGATTTAATTTAAAAACCAAACGGGAAAAGCAGGGCACAGGAGCCACCTCCCCCAGAATTCTAGGCTCCGCCCTGAGCACCAGCTCTGCCCCCTCCTCAGGGCCAGACGCAGCCCCCAGCCCCTCCCCGGCCCAGGCACAGGCCCGCCTCCCTGCCTTACCGTCCCCAGCAGGCACTGGGATTCCTGGATGGCCCCGTAGCAGCCCAGGAAGCCAACGAACATCATGACAGCGCCCACAGCGATGAGGATGTAGATGCCTTGCGGGGAGAGAGACACCAGGTGGGTGCCTACACACTCGCCACAGCCCAAGACCCCGGAGGGTCCTGGGTGCCGAACCCACCACGGGCCGCCCAGCTGGGAAGATGTAGGGTTGCTGACTGCCAGGGATGAGCAGCAAGGGACCTCACATCCCAGCCTGGCCTGGTGAGTTTTCTGTGCCTCAGTTACCTCTTCCATGACACAGGACGGAGACTAAGGAGGCCACATGGGGACTGGGCACCTCATGAGCGCTCTGAGTGCTGGCGACAGGTGCTTCGCAGGGATGACACCTGCGGTGGGGCCCGCCACCTGCCACACCCACCACCCACCGCCTGCACCTGCCACCCGCCACCCACCGCCTTCACCCGCTCCCAAAGCCTCTGGGACTTGGCGTGGGGTGGGAGTGGCATCAGAAGGCACAGGGTGGGCCCCACTGTAGGCCGGGGTTGAGAGGGCAGCCCAGGAACCGGAACTGGAACCAATGCTGCCTCCCCAGTGTGGTGCGAGAAGAGGGTGGGGGGGCCCTGCTGGCTCCTGCCCCCCAATCTGGGCTGCACAGCAGCACTTCCGTTACGGGACCTGCATTTGAACCTGGCTGCTGTGTGGGGAGGATCAAGTTGGATTCCTAGGCCCTGGGCTGAGGGCTGAAGCCCAGCACCCCACCTGGGACAGCTGGACCAGGGCGTGTAGGCCAGCCCTCCCGAACTCCCCCACGCTCCCTGGCTGGGCAGCATGCACCTGGGGAGGGAGAAGGCGCCGTCCAAGGGTGGGGGGCGCACTGTGGGCCCGAGACATGGGCCTGGCCACCCAGACAGGGCCCTGTACCCGCGGGACAGCTGTCAGTGTCTCTCACTGCCTGCCCACTCCCCTATCCCTCAGCAGGCAGGGGCCATCTCCCGTCACCGAGGCAATGCAGAAGGCAGCCCAGGCCCCCTCCTCGCAGCCAGGCCCATTGTCCCTGCCCAGCCAGCCCAGAGGAGAAGGTGCCTGGGGCAGGACCCACCGCCAGGCAGAGAACACACCCAGATTTGGGGCTCGGCCACCCAGCCTCCTACCTGGCCAGATGAAGCCTCTGCCAGGAATGCCCTGCAGGTGGCCACCTCCTTACGGGCACGGCACCCAGGAGCCAGGTCTCCCTCCCCTCAGGCCCTGACACTCCTGGGTTGCAAGGTTGGGTTCACTCCGGGGTACAGGTCAGGAGAGGCGCGTTGCCTTTTTTGGTCCTGACAGGAGGTGGGAGGCCCAGGGCTGCCAGACCCCCTGCCAGGCCCCAGCCCCACCCCAGCCTCCTCTCTTAACGCCCTTGGGCCTAACCCACCGCACCCGCAGCGTCTCTGAGGGGAGTGAGCCCAGCAAATCCACCCTGTTCCCGGCGCAGGAAAAAAAGCCCTTGGCAAGGCCCAGCCCGCATCAGGGACAGCAAGAGGCTCCAGAAGGCCGATTCTGGAATGGGCGAGGACTTGGTGGCCAGAGGAGCTCCAAGGGGTCCCTGTCCAGTGGGGGCCCAGGCAGAGCCCACGTCGGGGGTGGCAGGTCCTGTGGTCGTGTGGCCAACACAACGGCAGGCTCCTCCAGCCCAGGGAAACCACAGCCAAGGACCGAGGGTGGGCGGCTCTGGGGCTGGAGCTCTGATGTGGCCACGGTGACACCATGCAGGTCAGACACCTGCTTCCAACGCCAGCCTCACCCTGGCATCATGGGGGCAGCACCATGGGGCCTCAGCACAGCCTGTGACCTCTGCTTCTGCCGAGAGTGGGGCGCAGGAAGGAGGCCTGGCATACCTCTCTGGGGTGTCCCCTGTCCTCGCCCCAGCCCGAAGCTAAGTGACCCTTCAGCTCCTCTCCGGCCACACGGGGCCCGACGCCGACCCCACAGCGGGAGCTGCTCCAGCCACAAGCCTTGGCCGCCGGGTGCCTGGAGAGTGACCCCTTCCAAGAACACCTGCCTCACACCCACAGGCCCCAGGTCCTGGAGAAGGGGACTCGGTGGCAGGGGCAGCCCCTCCTGTCCCTGGACAGGAGTACGAGGAACGTGCTGGGGGCAGCCTCGTTCCAGGCCGGGGATGCTGTGGTTGTCACTGGCTGGACTGGTGGCCCCGGAGGACAAGGCCCAGGATGGCTGGGAGGCCCTTCTGGACCCCAAATATCCTAATGATCTGGGAAGCGGGGAGCAAGAGGCCCAGGAGGGGCCTCCAGTAGAGATGCACCCTTGGAGATCGGAGGATGCTGGCCGGGCTCTGCCACCCACAGCCCAGGCACATGGGCAAAGCTAAGCCGAGTGCTTCTGAGGACACAGGCAGGAGCGCCCCAGCTGCGTGCAGGGGGTGGTCTCCACATGAGCCCCTGGGACAAGCAGCCTTTCCCGTCCTTCCTGACACCACCTGTGAGGGCACCACGGCCCCGAGAGAGGCCAGGAACCTATGGGCAGGGCCATGGGACCCTCCCTAGGATCGGCTGGGCCCAGAAACCCTCCGTGGGCCACAGGCTTCTGTCTCTGGGGAGGACAGGGACCATCCCTGTTGACACCATCTGGACCCCAGCACCGGCCCTCTGACCCATGAGCGGGGCATGGGGAAGAAGGAACGGGCACGCTGTGTGGCCAGGGCCCTCACCTGGCCCTGGGGTGACTGGACAAAGAGGTGGGACGGCGCAGGTGTGGGGCTATTTCGGCCTCCTGGGGCCCTGGTTCAGCAACCAAGCCAAGCAGCCTCCGTAACTGGCAGGGGGCCTGGCCCTGCAGCTCCAGGCCTGGGGGCACCTGCCGGCTGAGGGAAGCCCTGAGGACTGGGGACACACAGGCTGCCCACCTCACCCACCCCTCAGCCTGTGAGGGCAACAGAGCCATCCCAGGGGCCTCCTTTCAAGGCCAGAAGCATCTCAACAAATGCTCCCAGAGCCCCACCAGCACCAGCCCTGCCAGGGGCACCAGGAGGAAGGGTGCTGCTCTCTGCACAGTGAGATGGCCCTCCTCCTCCTCCTGGCCTTGCCCCTCCCCTCCTCCTCCTCCATCACTCCTGCTCCTGCTCCTGGGGGCAGGGAGGGCAGCCCAGTCCCCCACACGCAGCCTAATAAGGCAGCAAGGTGCAGCTGCCTGCAGGGGCAGCTGAGTCACACCGCCTCTGGGGCGTCTCCACCCCTCTCCACCCCTCCCCTGCCCCGTCTCCACCCCTCACTGGGTTCCATCCCTTGAGCTCCATCCCTCCCTCCCTCCCGGGCTCCACAGCGCCAGCTGCCTCGGCTGCTCTGTGTGGCCCAGGCATCCAGCCCCACCCTTCTCAGGGAGCCTCCCCCGAAATAACCCCACACTTAAAATAAGCAAGGTCTCCACACAGTCCCTGCCCAGGCCTAGCTGCCACCCCCTGCCCTGGCTCAGACCAGAAGGGCCAGCAGGCCACAGGCCCACCTCCATCTCAACCCTTGTGCCCAGAGCCCTTTCCAGGGCCGCCTCCCTGCCCGGACACGCCATGCCCGACTGTCTTTCACCCTCCATGTCCCCATCCAAAAGGCTAGGACCTGCCTCCTCCTAGAAGCCCTCCCTGAATGCGTCTGCGGCCACATGTGCACTCACCTACATAGAAGGTGTTGGGCGCGGGCTTGTCTCCCAGCTCCAGATACAGGAGGTTGGTGGTCTGCGGGTCATGGCGGAGCCACAGGGCCACACCCAGGATCACGCCTCCAGCCAGCTGGGAAAGAGCGGGAACAGTGTCACATGTACGAAGAGCACTGCAGCAGGGAGTGCGCCCACCCCACACGCAAGGCCTAAGCAGCCTCCTGCCTTGCTGGCTCCCGAGCAGGGACCAGGTGTCAGCTCTGCTGCTGGTTTTCGCAATGCCCTGAAGAGCCCCGGGAGTCAGGAGCATGGGGCGGGTGCTTTGGCCGCCATCTACTTGGAGCCTGGCCCTGCCCTGCACCTGTGGAGTGTGACTCCAGGGCAGGACTGCCAGGAAGACACGGGACGCCGGTTAAATCTGCCTCTCAGATGAAAACAGAATACTTCTTTAGGGTAAGTGTGTCCCAAATATTGCACGGGACATACAAAAAAATAATCTGGTGTTTATCTGAAGTTCAAGGTGAATTGGATGCCCTGTAGTTTCACCTTCCGTATCTGGCCAGAGGTGATACCAGGACCTGAGCATCCCAGGAACACTGCCCCCTCCTGCAAGGGTGTGGCAGCGCCCCAAGAGTTCTGAGGTCGCTGGGGGACTGCTTCTGTCTGGGGGTGCTGAGAACTCTGGGGTGGGGGCACCCCATCTTTGCTGCCAGGAGGAGAGGGTAGGATTTGATGTTACCAGGCCAAGCTGTAGGCACCAGGGCCTGCGGGGTTTGTGGGATACATCCCTGCTGTGGGATGTCAGCCCTGGGAAGGGACTTGGGAGGAAGGACGCTGCTGTGGTTTCCAAGATGGGCTGGGGGAAGGGGCGCGCAGAAGCCGGCCCAGCGCTGTCGCTCAGCAGCTGGGGCAGGAAGCAGGCTGTGCTGGGAGTCTGGCAGGTGGGGATGAGGCTCACAGAGAGGAGAGGCCTTCAACGCCGGGTCATCCGGTGTGCACACAATCAACTCTAGCCAGGTGGGGTCTGCCCTTGAGACTGGGCCCCAGACCAGGCCCAGCCCAGCCCACTCTGATCATCTGACCAGGCCAGGCACGTGCCCCAGGCCCCCCTCTGCACACACCAAGGCCCCCTCTCTCCCTAGGGGCAGTGCCCAGCCCTCTGGTGGTGGGAGAGGACACAGGCTTGTCCTCTGCTGTCCCTGGTGCCTAGCACCATGCAGGGCACACTGCAGCCGTGTGATCCCCATAAATGACCAGTGACCCTGAGTCCTGCTGCCTCTATCCTCCTCCACTTCAGCACCCCTCGGCCTCTTGCAGAGGCTCCTCCCTGCTAGACAGGGTGGGGGCTGGGTCCCCTTCAGACCTCTCCTGGGGTTTCTTCCTGCTTCAGGCATGAAACAGGGCCCCACAGCCCTCTAGCAGCCTGGGGACTCTGCGTCCCTAGGACACAATTGGTCAGTTCCAGGGTCCCTGGCCCACAGCAGGAGGCCCTTGTTGCTGGACAGTCTGGGTGGGTCAGGCTTTACCCCCTGCTGCTCCAGGAGGACAGTACAAGAATCCCCTAAAATCTGGTCTGGCAGATGAGCCGTGCACAGCCCTCAGGCAGGGATCACCCAGGCCAGGGCGTGCTGAAGAAGCCTATGGGGTCAGGGCCCCACAAGTGCGGCCACCATCCGACTCCCATGGGCCTGGGCGAGTCTTCTTCCTCCTCCATGCCACTCTCAAGGAGGGCCAGGCCCTGGGGGCTTCCTGGAGGAGGAGGCAGGGGGACAGGAGATGAAATCAGCCAGGTGAGGAGGCACCCGGGGGGGGCCACGAGGGCACAACCCCCCTGGCGGAGAATGCCAGCCCAGAAGGCAGCTGCTCCCAGAGCTGAGTCGGAATGCTTGGCTCTGCCACCAGCTGGGTGCCAGGCAGGTCCTGTCCCAGCAGCTGAGGCCTTGCCTCACCAGCACCAGGCGCCGACCCCACCACAGATGCAGGGCTGCCGGTCAACTGCAGAAGAGAAACTGAGGGCTGGACCCAAGAACACCACCTGGACAGCCCCACTCCTGTTCCAATGGCCCTGGCCAGGGAAGCAGGGCCCCAGGGTGGGGTTGGGCAGGGGGCTGTGCTCAGCAGAGCGTGAGCTTCAGGCCCCAGCACCATGGCCTGCACCCAAGTCCCCGGCCTGAGGACCCCCCGGTCAGGCCGGTCTAGGGTCTAGGGCCTCGGTGAGGGTTCGGGTGGGTGGAGGAGCTGGGGGCTCTATACCTCTTCCCCCTTTCCCTCACACTCCTGTCTCCCCTCCTCCGGGACCTGAGCTGGGCCTGGCAAACAATAAGGCCAGAGGGGGCTGGGCGTGGTAGCAAGCGCCTGTAATCCCAGCACCTTTGGAGGCTGAGGCAGGAGGATCGCTTGAGCTCAGGAGGTTGAGGCTACAGTGAGTTATGATTGTGCCACTGCACTCCAGCCTCGGTGACAGAGCAAGACCCTGTCTCAAAAATAAAATAAGCCTCATAGGGGCTGCTGGTGCCAGCAGCCACGGGGCTCTCACCCCAAAGGGGCTGTTGATGGTCCCCCTGTAGCAGGACTGCCAGAGCACCTTCTCCACACACCCGAAACAACAACCTGGGCTGTGGTTTCTCAGACCTTCTTCTGAGGAGCTGTGCCTCCTGCCCTCCTATGGGAGTTTCAACTCAATTTTCACACTTTGGTTTAGCGAGGATGGCAGCCTACTTCCCCCGCCCAGGCCCCAGACTGAAGCTCTTCTGTGCCGAGTGGAAGGTGCATTAGAGTCACCAAGGGCCCAACATACACCTGCGGGCAGCGCTGGAAGCCATGTGGCAGCTGGGACCCCACGTGTGCCCCTCACATGACAAGGCCCCAGGGAGGCCAGGGGCCCCTGGCTTCCAGAATCCTGCAGGGGCAGACAGCTCCTGGTTCTTCTGTGCCCATTATACCCGTGGGAGCACAGGGAGGGCCGTGGACAGTGCAGGAGAGGCAGGAAGGGTGGGGGCTGGGGGGTGGCCCCAGAGAGCCTGGCTGTCCTCACCCTGCTGCCCTCCTGAGCTGGCTCCAGATGCAGCCTGGCGGGAGGAGGTGGCGAGGCCGAGAGTTGCCGTGGTAACTCTGGCTTCCTCCAGGGCCTTTGAAAACATTGCTTATTTTCTTTTGAAACTGTGGTCCAGAGACCGTTTTGAGAGCTGTTCCAGGACAGAGTGGGGCAGGTGGATGGGGGAGCCTCATCCCCACAGAGGCCTGGTGACAAACCCTGACTCAGCCACAGGAGCTGTGGGGCCACTGGAAGGTCCCCAGGCTCCCGGTTCCTCAGTGTCCCCCTCTATAAAACAGAGCTGATCATGGAACCGTGCCTGGCTCGGAAGCTGCTCTGTAGAGGCCCATCCACCCCCAGCCCTCCCTGGCTGGGCAGGGACCACCCCTCCTCTAGCCTGGGCGCTGAGGGGATGATCCCATCTAATGGGCATACCGTCCTAACAGAAAGGTAGTGATGGCAAAGCTCAGCCTAAACCCCAAACCTGCTAATGGTGGGACTTCAGGCCACGTTGCAGCTTCTTGCTGTGCTCTGGGAAGGGGCTTCTGTTCAGACTCCAGGGCCGTATGGGGAGGCTGCCCCTAGACAAGCCCCGGCCCCAGGCCTCTGCCGAGGGTTGCAGGGAAGGCTGGTCCTGGCCTGCAGGGCCTGAAAGAGCCTGGGCCAACACCAGGAAGGACCCGAGGGCCCATGTGACTTTTAATAGGGCAGAACAGCTGGGCCAGGAGGGGGTGGGAGGGACAGCCGGAAATGGGGGTGACGCCAGCCTGTCCACCTCAACTGTCCCCGAGGCTACCAGAAGTAGTCGGGAGCCACCCTGGGTGGAAAAATGGGGCAAGAAGGAGTGCCAGGCACTGGGCAGAGGCCTCACCTGAGCCTTGGTCTTCCCAGCCCTAGCATGGACAAACGGGGCCATGCCAAGCTCTCCGACCTTCAGCAGGGACCTTGAGCTGGAGCTAGGTGACAACAATGGTGGTGATGGTCACTGCCGGTTTCTGGATGAGGAAACGGAGGCGGAGGGACCCCCCTAGGGCCACCTACGAGGGAGGGCAATGGCAGCACCAAATCCCCAAGCCCCGTGGTGGGAAAGGCACAGGTGCCCCTGCCCCATAACAAACCCCATGTGGCAGGGCTAGAGGTTCCCCAGAGTCAGGAATGCGAAAGACACCTGCTCTCCGAAAGACCTGGGGCAGAGCCTGGTAAAGGACCTGTGCCCTGAACGTATGCAGAGCTTTCCAAACTCAACAGCAAGAAAACTGGCAACCCAATCTTTGAAAGATGGGCAAAAAACAGGAACAGACCCTTCCCCGCAAGATCCACACACAGCAAAAAAGCACATGAAGAGATGCTCCACCTTGCCAGGGACCAGGAAACCCAGGTCAAGCTGCAGCCACATGCCGAGCGCACCCAGTGGACTGGCTGCCACGAAAAAGACCAACCACACCACATGCTGCTGGGGGAGGCAACTGGGACGCATACAACGGGGGCTGTAAAACGGTCCAGCCACCTTGAATAACAGTTTGGCAGTTATGTAAAACTGCTGCTTAAGCAGTGAAACCCACATTCACCACATGACCCAGCTGCTCCACGCACAGGTATTTACCCAAGAGAAATGAACTTAGGTTCACACAAGACTTGTACACAAATGTTCTAGCACGTTTCTTGTAAATGCCCCAAACTGAAACAACCCATATGCCCACTGACCGGTGAACGGGTGAACCTGGGGTCCGTCGCTGGCTTGCACATGTGGGTGCAACCCTGCCCGGCAATAAAAGGAACAGACGAAGGGCACACCACAGCACGGGTGCACAGACGACGGGCACGCCACGGCACGGGTGCACAGACGACGGGCACACCACAGCACGGGTGCACAGACGACGGGCACGCCACAGCACGGGTGCACAGACAGGCATGCCACACAGACGACGGGCACGCCACAGCACGGGTGCACAGACAGGCATGCCACACAGACGACGGGCACGCCACAGCACGGGTGCATAGACGACGGGCAGGCCACGGCACGGGTGCGCCTCTGGGTAATCATGCTGAAGCAAAGAGGCAGAACAGCAACGATGTGCAAGTGCCTTCTGAGTCCGCTTGTTGAAGAAATGCATGCTGTGTGCACCCACAGCGACGGCCCGTGGTTGCCCTGGGACGGGGAGGAGGGGCAGGAAGCAGAGATCCCAAGGGCCCCAGGGGCACCTGGGGAGTTGGTGATGGTTTCACGGGGGTATAAATTTGTCAAAACTTACCAAGTTGTACCCTTAAACATCTGTATTTACTGTGTGTCAATCACGTCTAAATAAAGCTGTTTGAAAAGCCCCCACATCCTAAGTCCCTGATGACTGAACTCCCCGGGGCCAGTGTTTCTTCTGGGCCCCAAAGACCCCAGGCTGCCATCTTGGCGCTAACTTCTTCCGAGGCAGAGCCAACGCTTCCCAGGGGCAAGCAGCGGCATGGGAAACACCGAAGCCGCGTCCTTAGAAGTGCACTTTTAGGATCCATCAAAGTTAGGACTGGAGTAACTATGGAGCCCGATGTCAGTTAAAAGAGAGTCCCGCTTTCACGGTGATGAGGGAGGGCAGCCCAAGGCCCTGGCTGCTGAGTGCCTTTCACCAAGGCGACCTCAGGCCCATCTCAGCTTCTCTCTGCCTTGTCTACAAACAAGGAAATAAAAGTGCAGAAGCTGACATGCACACAACTTAGCCTGCACAGCAGCACTCGGCTCTCCATCACTGTGAGGTTTCATAAGTGCCGGAATCTGGAACTCCTGTCACCCCTCTCCCCACAGAGCCATCCATACAGGCACCTCCCTGCTCAAAGCTCACCTGTGGGAAGCCTCTCTGCCACCTGCTCCCACCTCCCAAGATACTCCAGCCTCCGGAGGCGCCCTCTGAGATGCCCCGCCCCCAGGATGCCCCGCCTCCCAAGTGGCCGGGCCCCAGAGATGCCCCACCTCCCGAGATGCCCCACCCCACAAGCCGTCCCACCCCACAAGATGCCCCACCCCACAAGCCGCCCTACCCCACAAGATGCCCCACCCCACAAGCCGCCCTACCCCACAAGACGCCCCGCCTCCCGAGATGCCCCACCCCCCAAGCTGTCCCACCCCACGAGACGCCCCACCCCAGGAAATGCCCCACCCCACAAGCCACCCCACCTCCCGAGACGCCCCGCTTCCCGAGACACCCCGCCTCCCAAGGCGCCCCGCCCCACAAGCCGCCCCACCCCACAAGATGCTCTGCTGGGGATTGGGGATGGAGGGTGGCTCTCAGGATGGAGCCCAGGTAACCTGTGGGGTTCCTGGAGGGCTCCTTGCAAGGCTACTAAAAGCAGTGTTTGTACTCTATGAAGGATTGTTTCTTTCTTTCTCCTTCCTGGGAATTAATAAATAACAGAATCGACTTTAAAAGGGGGGCTGCCAAGCACACTGGGTTCCTGCCCAGCCTGTCCGCTGTTTCCAAGAAGCAGCTGAAAGGGAGCAAAAGGCAGCAGGCGCTGCCCGGGCAGGCCTAGGTCAGCTCCCCTACCCATGCCAGCTGCTCGCTGCCCCCGCAGGCCCCGGACAGCCAGGAGCCAGAACTTCGGGTGGGAGCTCTCCAGGCCAGCACACACACCCCCACAGCTGCAGGAAAGGGCAGGGATCTGGTCGCCCCACCCATACCTTACCCCCACCCAGACGGGCCAAGTGGTCACCCCAAGTCCTGCCCAGGCACCCCAGTGGGGGACGAGGACGATGGTACATCAGCTCACCCGCCTTTACGTACAGGCTGGGCATCTGTGTGTCTCTAGTCCAGGCCCTCCCTTGATGCTCTTGGGGAGGGGGTCCACCAGGCAGGGCCACGCTGCGGGCTCTGTGCCTGCTCACCGACACCTAGGGACTGCACATATGGGAAACACACCGGGAAGTGCCCATTCGGCTCAGCCACTGGGAGGTGCTGGGGCCTGAGACACCCTCCCCAGGAGGACAGTGAGGCCCTGAGGCAGGAAGGAAAGGAGGAAGTACCCCTGGAGATACTGGGTGAAGGAGGGGAGGGGCTCACCAAGGTGCTTCCAGGAAGGGACGCTGGGGGCCGGAGGTGAACGGCCCCTCCAGCCTGGGTCCCTGCAGGCCAACCCCTCACTCTCTGCCCACCAAGAAGGGGCAGTGCCAGGCCTGGGTGTGGAGGTTGGGGACGGGGCCAGACTCCTCCCTGGGTGACGTAGGGCCCTCTCAGGCCCTCCTAGGTGGTGAGCAGCTGCCCCTCTGACCCCGTTGTGGCCTCCAGGGGCGAAAAGGCAGCATGGAGGGAAGAGGAGCAGGAATTCTCTCCTAGGCCAGGAAGCGGAAGCTCCACTCACAGGGCCCCTGGCCCCGAGGAAGCCGCCTGTCTCAGCATCTAAAAATAGGTGTCAGGCGAGGATGCTGGCCCTCTGGCCCCGCCAGCTGGGGGATGTGAGGAGTCACTTCCCTCGGGACCAGGAGGACGCACACATGCTCAGAGGATGCTGGTGTCTCCCAGGCATCAGGGGTGGTGGGCACCAGTGCCCCGAGGACCAAGCCCCTTCCAGGACCAGCTGTTCCCGAGGCAGGGAAGCCAGGAAGTCCCTAGCCCTACTCTAAGCCTCTAAGCCCTACTCTAAGCCCCTCGGAAACCCCTGGGGTCCCACTCGGGAAGGAGCTCCAGGATCAGGACTGTTCTGGGCCCCCATCGGCCTGGGTCCTTCGCCTGTCCTGGGGTGAGTCTCATGCCCTGTCATCTGTTTTACCTACACTGTTACCTGGGTTTGAGCTTTGAGATTAGTTCTGCACCGCAGCGGATATCATGCTCCTGGCAGGGCTGTGAGGGACCTGGCCTGGCTGGGGAGAGAAGTGAGGACCCCAGGCTGCCCACCTGCCCTGATCCTGGAGCTCCATGTAACAGCACAGGGCGCCCTGCGGGGTCCCCCATCACCCAGCCCTCTCCCTCCCATCCTTTACCTTCTCTGAATCACGCCACTTCCATAACTGGGAGCCCGAGGGGCTGAGGAAGAGGGAAGCAGTAACTTTCCAAACGTGGTGGGAGAGCACATGACCAGAGAGAAGGGCAAGGCGTGGTGGGGGCGTGATCCACCAGGCTCTGGCCAAGCTGGTGGCTCCCTCCTCTCAGGCCCCTAGCATTTGGAATCTCACACCTGGACTCTCAAAGCTCCCCTGCTGGGCCACCCACATCCTGGAGAGAGGCGCTTACAAGCTCTGTGCCCCTGGTCCCCCAGCCCTACCGCCAACTCCTTGAGCCCGCAGCCCTCAAAGACCTTGTGCGGGGGGTGGGGGTGGGGGGCAGATGCCTTATCCTGGCCATCCCACGGCCATGGCATTGGCGGCCAGTGCAGGAAGCCTACAGCCCCAAAAGTGAGATCCGGCTGCCAGCTGACCTTCCACACCCTTGGGCGTGGCCCCCTGCCTGAGGGGACTCCTCCAGCACTGGGGGCCTACCTGGAGGACCCTCAAGGGTCTCTCATGATTCAGCACTTGCTCTGCAGCCCAGGTTGGGGGGCTTAGTTTGGGCCCAGAAACACAAAGAATGGTGTGTAGGGCTGGGGGACACTGAGTAAGTCCAGAGGTTCCTGGAAGGCTGCCCAGCATACCAGGTACCACTGTGTCCTACAAGGCAGGTGGGGACGACTTGGAAGTGGAGATCACTGAAGCCCATTTCTGGGAGAGCCTGGTTCTTCTTGCCCAGAGGGGTGCTGGGAACAAGGCGGACACCTGCAGGGCTGGAATATCACCCAGCACCCATAGCACGCCCAGCCTGGATCACAGGGACACGGGGCCCAAGCAAGGGGCAGGGCACCTGGCTCCTCTCCAGCCCCAGCCCCACCCCAACCTCAGGGTCCTGTCTAAAACCACGGTGGGTACAAGGGTGATGACCTGCTCCCTCGCACAGGCGCCTGGACTCTAAGCCTTATTGACTCTATGAGCAAAGCTCTTCCCGTGGTGCGATTTCAGGTGCGGAAATAGGGGTAGGGATCTTTTGGGGTCTGTCTCCTTGTCTGGGCTTGGAAGCAGTTATGAGAAAGGGATTGGGGGTGAACCAGATTTCTGAAAGTTGAGCTGAACTGGGCGCTGGGGTGGGTGCAGGAGAAGGACCCTCAAACCCAGGAAAGAATGGAGGGCTTTCGGGCATGCACCCTGGTGACCGCAGGGAGGGCGAGTGACTTGTCAGCACCCGGCAGAGCCACAGCCAGCCACAGGGGCGACCGGGGAAGTAGGCCCATACCTCCCTGCTTTTGCTCTGTGCCCTGCACTGCTGGACAGCCTCACTGGGGCCAGTCTGTAGCAGAGACAAACCACAGACTTCCTCTTCTCGGCCCGCTTGACCCAGTGGCCGTTTCCCCAAAGCTGTGCAGCCAGACAGCCTGGGGGAGCCAGGGAAAGTCCACACACCCACTTGGTGAAACCAGGCACAGGATGTCCTAGCCCCCTCCCCCACAGCGCCTGCCAGGGTTGCAGCCCCTCTCCCGGAAGGACGGCGAAAGACGTGCCAAATGACAGTCATGTGCTGTCTGGAAGCGAGAAATACCCGTGAGCGAGGCTTCTAATCAGTCTCTTTCCCGGCCGGGTTTGGCTGCCCTGCCACTGGGAGGTGGCTACCAGCTGCATTAGCTTGGGGGAGCAGCCAGTCCCAGGCGGGGGACACCGCTCTTCTCCCTGCGGGGACTGGTGACACCTCTTCTGGACTCCCTGGCCAGCCCCCGAGGAGAAGACTCTTATATCCATTACACAGATGAGGAAGGCAAGGCTCCCACAGGCCAGTTCCCTGTCCCGGGACACAAACTCTCCTGCCCTGCTCCTGGCAGCAGGTGGGTCTCAGGTGCCAGCCGCCTCTGATGGAGGCTCCGAGACCCACCCAAGGGACAGGATTTCCACGCTGCTTGGCCAGGGCATCTGCAATGTCCTCCCTGCTTGGGCCCGCCGCGCACCCAGGGAGCCCAGTTCTCACTGGCCCCCAAAGCGGTCAGGGCGCAGGTGCATGCTGCCCAGACCTTCCCCCTCGCACCTTGGCTTGGGAAGGGAGACAGCAAGAGTGTGAGTGTGTGTGAAGGTGGGAGTGTGTGTGTGTGCACATTCGTGTGTGTGAGTGCCTGTGCGTGTGTGTGTGGGCTCCTTCCTGGGAAAGAGGTCAGGCTACCCCAGCTGCCTTCTCCCACAGGCAAGGCCTCTTTCCTCTCTAAAATGGAACTTCTAACAAGTGCCCCACCCAGATATCCATTGTCAACCTCCTCCCCACCAGCCTCCCCAGAGCCCACAGGACTGCACTGTGTCCTTCTGGACCCTGCAGGGTTCCCGCAGCCCCTTCCCCACTGCACATCCTGCCTGTCTGGGCTGGGCTCTCTGAGGCAGAGGTCCCTTTGGACCCCTGGCCAACACCCACGCCCTGAGCCCTTCCTGCACCAAGCCCCCTGTCAACACTCAGGCATGTCAGCAAATCCACCAACACCACCAGGAGGTAGGCTCACTGTGGGCCCCCACTGCAGACGGGGAAGGCCGAGGCCCAGGACCAGAGCAGTGTGTTGGGGACTCCACCAAGGAGGCCCAAGCCCATGGCACTGTGCTCTCAGCCACACACCCTGCGACACCAGGGTGGAGGGGGGTCCACCAGGGTGGTGCCCACCAACCCCACCTCACCCAGCCTGGCATTGCTGGCTACCACTGAGCCCCAGTGGATGGGTGGGTCCACAGTGACTGTGGACGGACTCAGTTCTCAATGCTTTGCAGGGAGCAGGCCCTGGGGAGAGGAGCGGTGAGGCCTCAGAGACATTTCCTTGAGCCTTAATAACAAGCACCCTTGGGATGTGTCAGGTCTCCACCCCAGCTGCCTGGGAAACTTCCAGGCCCGCCCTGGCGACACTCCCAGGGGGCTGCCAGGGAGACCTCTCAGCCTGGGCAGGCAGGAGGGGCTCACCCAGTGCTGACACACCGTCCAGAGAGCAAAAATCCACCTCCGGAGAAGTCCCCTCCCGTGACTCCCCTTCAGCCTCTGCCCCTAGGTCCACACTCTCCCTCAGCCCCTGCCCCCAGGTCCACACCCTCCCTCAACCCCCACCCCCAGGTCCACACTCTCCCTCAGCCCCTACCCCCAGGTCCACACTCTCCCTCAGCCCCCACCCCCAGGCCTACACCCTCCCTCAGCCCCTACTCCCAGGTCCACACTCTCCCTCAGCCCCTACTACCCCCAGGCCTACACCCTCCCTCGGCCCCTGCCCCCAGGTCCACACCCTCCCTCAGCCCCCACCCCCAGGTCCACAGTCTCCCTCAGCCCCCACCCCCAGGTCCACACTCGCCTCGTCAGGGGACGGGGCTTCAGGGGCTGGCAGAGGGACATCCTGTGTCTGGTGCCTCTCCCACATGCCTGGGCTGAAGCAGGCCACCACTAAGCAACGGCTGAGGTCCCAGGGCCGGGCCTGGGGAAGGCGAGCCCCTCCCAAATGGCCTAGCTGCCCCCACTGCCAGGGCAGTGCCGAAGGCCACAGTGACTCCCACCAGCGTCCCAAGCAGGCTGTGCAGAACAGCCCGGCTTGGGGAAGGTGGGATGTGACTGCCCCACTCATCTCCCAGCTGAGAGTTCAGTTCAGCCTCCGTCCTTCCCCCTCCAAATAATCATCCGCACTGGGATCCTCAGCCGTCCAGATGGGAAACAGATGTCTCTGGTCCCACACACTGGCTCCAGGGGCCATTTAAAAAGTTTGCCCTCCCTGCCTCAACTTGAGAAACACTCGGTCCACTGGGACATCAGCCGAGTCTTCCACGAGAAGGGGGTGACAGCCTGGGGGGCACGGGGAGGGGCTTGCAGTCTATGCCCAGGGGCGTGGCCACGGGGAGGCCGCGGCCATGGACACCCACTCCAGTCCTTCCAGGCCAAGAAGGGATTTCCACCCCCTCCCCAATTCTAACACCGACAGGAAATGGAAACAAAAGGCGAAAGCCCATCAGTCACTTCCCAGCAGCAAAGACTGCGGTCAGGAGAAAGCCATTCTCAGCAAAAGACCCTCCTCCACCCACGCTGGCACCCAAAGATGCCCAGCGTGGGGGCCCCTCTTGCAAAGCAGCGGCCCCACTCCCGGACCCTGCCATCCACTCCAGGCCCCTGGTGCCACTCTCTTCCTTGTGCCAACTCAGAACCGCGGGATCCCCACTCCTGCGAGGCCTCCAGAGCCCTTCTGGGAGGAGGCCTCCGCTGGAACGTGTCTGGGTGAGGAGAGGGAGATCGGCTCCCAGGCAGGGACGGCCAGGGTGCGCGCACCCCAGCTTCTGGGCCATCCCGGCGGGAGTCTGCGCTCCTTTTAGGCGCGACCCCCAGGAAGGTCTCGGGTGGTGACCGCAGATTGGAGAGTGAGCTGGGCTGGGGAAAGAGTGAGGCGGATCGCCCCCAACCTCCGGCAAAGTGTGCGCCCCCGCCCCACCATCCAGGGGCGGCGGCTCTTGATGAGCTCATGGGGGCGGGGCGCCAGGAGTCCCGCCCGCGAGCCCCCCCCTCGTCCCCGCGAAGCAGCAGTCCGGAATCCGCGGCCAGGGACCCGCGCAGGCCCCTCCTTAGCTGAGGGGCGGCCGGGTACTCGGGTCCCGACCCGCGACCACCGCACCCATCACCACCACAGCGGGAACTGCCCGGCGGCCCCCAGAAGCCCCGGCCCGGCCGCAGAGGTGGGCCCCCGAGCACAGAGGCCCCGAAACTCGGCTCGCAGCCCTCAGCCCCAATGTCGGGGGGCGCGGTGGCCCCGGGCGACCCCCCACCCCGCTCCTGGAGCCCACAGGTGGCCCCACAACTTCGCGGCCCGCGCTGCGCCCGCGGGGCCTAGCACGCTGCCGCGGGACCTGCCCAACGTGGAGTGTGTGCCTGCCCCCTCCCGCCCCGGCCCCCGGCGCAGCCCTTACCCAGAAGACGAAATTGAAGACGAAGAGCAGGTACTTGATGCACTTGGTGCAGCCCTCCACTCCCATGGCGGCGCGGGCGGCGGGCGGCCTGCGGGGCGCGGGCCGGTCCTGGGCGGCGGGCGGGCCGGCGCGGGGCCTGGCGGGTGGCCGGCAAGGGGGCCTGGCGGGCCGAGGGGCGGGGGCGCGAAGAAAGGGGCGCGGGGGCGCGGGGGCGCGGGGGCGCGTGGGGCGCTGGGCGCCGGAGGCCTGGCAGGATGCGCGGTGGGGTCGCCGCCGTCGCCGCCGTTGCGCGCTCGCTCTCTGGCCGGGCGCGCGCCTCGCTCCGCAGTACTTATAGGGCGCCGCGGTCCCGCCCCTCCATAGGCCCCGCCCCGGCCAGCTCACGCCCCGCCCCCGGCCCCGCCTCCTGCCGCCAGGGCGCGCAGCCGAGGGGTATGGGGTCGCTGCACCTACCCCCAACTTGGCGCGTTTCGGCCAGGACCTCAGGGCCCAGGTGCACCGTGCTGGGCGCGGGAGGCGTCCCCAAGCTGCTGTCGCGCTCCGAGCCCCCAAGGGGGTGGCAGCAGGGCCGCGCCTGAGGACAGGCATGCAGCGTCTGCCCAGGAGTGCAGCCCCGGTGCCGGGAGAACAACCCATTCCTCCCTCCCTCAAGCACCTTGGACAATCTGGGAGGGCTCCCCAAAGGAGGTGAGCACCTTGGACAATCCGGGAGGGCTTCCTGAAGGAGTTGATGCCACAGTGGTTGGCTTTGCAAAGACAGCAAGCTTTGCTCACATTGCTCTCCGGGGCTGGAACCTGGGCAGGCATGAGGCCCCCTAGTCAGTGTTGGCCTCAAGGTCCTAGTACAGGTAACCAATCCCTGTCTCACGGAAGGGGAGAATTGCTGACCCATGCTGTGGGAGTCTGCATCTGAAAAGGTCACTGGGGCCTGAGAGGGCAGCTCCCAGAACAGTGTGAAGTGTCCAGGAGGCCAGAGACACCTATAGGAGAACCTCCAGATATTGCATCTATTTCGTCTACATCCTGGTTGTGTCGTGCCCCAGGGATGCCAGCCTCACACCGTGGCTCTTCCGGAAGGTGTGGGGCCAGGCCTGCTGCACTTACTGCTTTGGGCTAATGATTCAGAGAGTGAAGGGTGCTTTCTCCCCAGAGGAAGGAGCGAAGGCCTTTGCAGGAGATGACACACTGACGAAGGTTTCCCATGCCCTCTCCAAGAAAACTGATGGACAACGGGGCTGCATCCTGGGCGGGGGCTTACCTGGGAACCACGTGGGACCAGGTCCGGAGAACCATCCTCTAGCCAGCTCGTCTTGGCAAGTGTCGTCCAACCCAGTGCTAGCTGATAGAACCTTCTGCAACGATGGGAATGTTCTGTACCTGGATAACCCCCTGGCACAGATGACTACTGGGTACTGGAAATGTGGCCACAAGGAACCAAATTTTTCATTGTGTTTCATCGTAATTTAAATTCACATGGCCCTGGGTGGCCAGTAGCGCTCACATTGGACAAAACAGCTCTATCGTCATCATCTGTGCTCTACCGGTTTTCTTGGTGGTTAATTTGTAAACTGGTTTTGGCTTCATGCCTGCGTAAGAACTGCAAGCACTAGTAGTTTATGCCTGGTTTTACATTTTGTGCCTGTCGAAGTGACATTATAAGAAAAGACACTATATGGTCACTTGAGAGTCTTCGAGGATTCTTTTTGTTTAGAAGGGAATAGAAAAGGGTTCCAGTGTGAGGAAACATTTCTCTGGATGTCCTGGACACCTGCTCTCCCATCAGCTCCCTGCTGTCCCCAGTGATGGGGACATTTCCCGTTAAAGGTGTGAGCTGTGTCCTCAGCAGGGGGTGGTAGGTGGAGGGAGACACTGGCTCCACTCTCAGGAAGTGGGAGGAGGGGGCAGATCCATGCACACTGTGTCCTTGACCACCAGCCTCAGAAGCAGGCCATGCCCAGCCAGCAGCCAGCCTGCCTGTCCTCTTCAGCCATGCATCAAATATTTAGTGGGTGCCTGCTGTGTGTCAGGCACTGTTCCAGGCCCTGGCTGTGGGAGCCAGGCAGCAGACCCCTCCCCTGGAGGATCTGCAACTCTGGCGGAGATGACACGTGTCACAGCACGATGGTCATATCAGTGCTGGGGAGGGACGGAATTCCTAGGATGCTTGCTAGAGGGTCACAGGGTTGGGGCACTCCTCAACCACGGGGCTGAGGCACTCCAAGTGCAGAGGCTTGGAAGAGCCACAGTGGATCCAGGCCCTGATGCCTGAGAAGGAGCCAGCTAGGCAGAGCCGGGGAGGAGCACTCCAGACAGACAGGTGAGGTTGGAGGAACACAAGGGAAGCAGGAGACAGAGCCAGGGGAAAGGGGCTGGACACAGGTTAGGGGCAGGTGTGAGCCTGGGAGGCAGGGGGGCTGGCCTTGGGACCTGGAGGCCAGAGGGAGGCTGCATTTTATTCTGACTGCAGTGGGATGATGGAGGGCTTCATGGGCCTGACATCTGATTGCGGGGGCAGCAGCCCGTCTTAGCTCCAGAGTGGAACTCACATTCACAGTCACTTGCAGGCTCACAGGGAAGACTGGCTATGAGGGGGTAGGAGGACCACTTCGCAGGGCCTGGCCCATGGGAGCTCCACATCTGAAGTGCCCTTCCCAGTGGCCCACTGGTGTGACCTCATGGGGACCTTGGGGATCCCATGGCTGACAAGGACATGGCTTGTGTCTGTGTGATACTGGCACAGTACGCACCCAGAAGTGCGTCTGAAAGGGTTCCTGTTGTTAGCTGGGCCTGGTGGAGCTTCCATCCTGGCTCCAGGACAAATATTCAGGTGGACTCTGTCAGAGGATGAGGGGAGAAAGGGGAGGGGCTTGCTCAGCAGCCCGGCCTGGGATGGGAGCGCCGCTCCCTGGGCCTCCCCTGCCCTGAGAAGGCTTATGCCTGAGGAAGGCAGAGCTGCTGGAGCGATGTGGGCACAGCCGGAGGCACGTTGAGGAAGGGCAGGCGTTTGCAGCCCGGCTGGGTTCTTCTCCTCCCTGTGTGTAGGAGTCTTCCCCTCCCCGTGACTTCGGGCTGGTCCCTCAGTTTCCCCATCTGCAGAAGTGCCATCTCCCAGCATTTTGGGACAGGTGACATGTGCATATATTCCCATTGCACTTAGGGGCAGGGCCTGGCCTGTGGGAGGAACCAGGTCCCTGGTTCCTTGAAGCCATGTTTGACAGAGAGACCTTTCTGCCTGGCGTGAGGTGACTCACAGCCCCGATGGAGCACACCTTCAGTTGGTGGAGCCATTCATGAGACCATGAGACCCCTGTGCCTTGATTTCTCGTGGAATACATGAAGATCACTCAAATGAGGACAAGCAGAGGCTGTTTATGCAGTGCTCACTCTAGCAGGGAGTCGGCCACTAGCACTCATCTTGGGCAGACACGCCCAGGCAGGTTGGGGAGTTGTACAGCTTTCTATTAAAAGGGGTGGCAGAAGAGTTTGGATGTTATCAACATCCAAAAAGCAACCAAGGTAATAAATACGCCATATCAATAGAATAAGAGACAGAAACCGTAAGATCATCTCAACAGACGCAGGGAAGGCACCCAAACACAAGCTCACACTCTTCCCTGATTAAAAAAAAAAAAAAGCACTGAACTCACTAGAAATAGAAGGGACCTGCCTCCACCTGATAAAGAGCGCTGACAAAAATACCCCAGCTAACGTGGTGCTCAGTGGTGAAAGCCGGATAGTTCTTCCCCTATGATCAGGAGTAAGGTGGGGTGAATGCTCCCCACTTCCATTCAACACTGTCTGGAAGGCTCTGGCAGGGCAATTAGGTAAGAAAAAGATGTCAAGGGCACCCATATTAGAAAGGAAGAAGAAAAATGCTATGTCTGAATATCTGTGTCCCCCCAGTGTTGAAATTCTTACTCCCCAGGTGATGGAATTTGGAAGTGAGGCCTTTGGGAGATTAGGTTATGAGGGCAGAGCCTTCCTATATTGGATTAGTGTCCTTATAAAAGAAGCCTTAGAAAGACCCTGGGCCCCTTCCTTTCACTATGGGGGGGACACAGCGAGAAGACAGTCATCTATGAACCCAGAAGTAGGCCCCGACCAGACACCAAACCTACGGGTGTCTTGATCTTGGACATCCCAGTCTCCAGAACTGTGGGAAATACATTTGTGTTGTTTATAAGCCACTCAGTTTATGGTAGTCTGTTGTGGCAGCTCAAAAGGACTAAGACATTAAACTTTCTATTTGCTGATTATATGACATTATATATAGAAAATCCACTAAAACCCTTAAAACTAATAAACATGCATAGCAATGTGGCAGGATACAAGATCAATATACAAACATCGATTTTATTTCTATACACTAGCAATGAACCATCCAAAAATGAAGTGAAGAAGACAATCTCATTTATAATATTGGCAAAAAGAACATACCTAGAAATAAATGCAACAAAAGATGCATAAAACTTGTGTACTGAAAAATACAAAATATTTTTGAAAGGAATCAAAGAGTATCGAATTAAATGGAAAGATATCCTGCAGTCATGGATCAGGAGACATAATGTTAAGATGGCCAAACTCCCGAATTCATCTATAGCTTCACAATCTCTATCAAAATCCCATCTGTCTTTTTACAAGCTGATCCTCAAATTCATAAGGAAATACAAGGGTTTCAGAATAGCCAAAACAATCTAGAAAGAGAAGAGCAAAACCGGAGGGCTCACATTTCCTGATTCAAACTTACTGCAAAGCTACAGTAATCAAGACAATGTGGTACTGGCATAAGGATAGACCTACAGATCAATGCAGTAAAGTTGAGACTCCAAGAACAAATCCTTGCATTTATGGTCAATTGATTTTTTTAAAGACTGTTCAAGTGCAGCAGTGAGAAGGCGGGAAAGAGTAGAACGAGGTGTTCCATCTGTAACTGACTGTGAACAATCAATTGAGATAACTCACTACCTTCAGACCGGCCATCAGTTGATTTTTGACAAGGGTACCAAGACAATTCAATGGGGGAAGGAATAGTCTTTTCAGAAAATGGTGCTGGGACAACTAGATATCCATGTGCAAAAGAATGAAGTTGGACCCCTACCTCATGCTGTGCACAAAAATTAACTCAAAATGGATCGTAGACCTAAATGTAAGCACTAAAATTATGATATCCTTAGGAAGGCCAGGCGCAGTGGCTCACACCTGTAATCCCAGCAGTTTGGGAGGCCGAGGCGAGTGGATCACCTGAGATCAGGAGTTTGAGTCCAGCCTGGCCAACATGGTGAAACCATGTCTCTGCTAAAAACACAAAAATTAGCTGGGCATGGTGGTGGGCGCCTGTAATCCCAGCTACTCGGGAGGCTGAGGCAGAAGAATCGCTTGAACCCAGGAGGCAGGGGTTGCAGTGAGCTGAGATTGTGCCGTTGCACTCCAGCTTTGGCGACAGAGAGAGACTTTGTCTCAAAAAAAAGAAAAAAAAAGAAAAGAAAAAATAAAATCCTTAGGAAAGAACATAGGAATAAATCTTGGTGACCTTGTGTTAAACAATGGTTTTTAATATACACTACCAAAAGCACAGGCAACAAAAGAAAAAATAGATAAATTGGACTTGGCCAAAGCTAAAAACATTTGTGCGTGAAAAGACACCATCAAGGAAGTGGAAAGACAACCCAAGAAATGACAGCAAACATTTGTGAATCATCTATTTGATAAGGGACTAGTATCTAAACATGTAAAGAACTCTAACTTATCAACAAGAAGACAAACCACCTACCTTTAATGATGGGCAAAGGATTAGAATAGAGCTTGCTCCAAAGAAGATGTACATATGACCGATAAGCTCATGAAAAGATGTCCCCATCATTAGTCATCAGGGAAATGCAAATCAAAACACAGCGAGATACCACGATGCACCCATCAAGATGGCTATAAATAAAAGAGACAGACAATAACAAGTGTTGGCAGAGGTATGGAGAAATTGGAACCCTCCTTCATTGCTGGTGGGAATGCAAAATAGTGCAGCCACTTCGGAAAACAGACTGGCCGTTTCTCAAAATGCTAAATATAGAGTTTCCATAAAAATCAGCAATTCCAGTCCTAGATATACGTGTGTGTGTGTGTGTGTGTGTGTGTGTGTGTGTGTGTGTGTGTGTATCCAAGAGAAATGAAAGCATATGTCTGTATAACAATATGCACATGCATGTTCATAGCAGTACTGGTTTGTTTTGTTTTGTTTTGTTTTGTTTTTTGAGACAGAGTCTTGGTCTGTTGCCCAGGCTGGAGTGCAGTGGCGCGATCTTGGCTCACTGCAACCTCTGCCCCCCGGATTCAAGAGATTCCCCTGCCTCAGCCTCCTGAGTAGCTGAGATTACAGGCACGCATGACCGTGTCTGGCTAATTGTTGTATTTTTATTAGAGATGGGGGTTTCACCATGTTGGCCAGGCTGGTCTCAAACTCTTGGCCTCAAGTGATCCGCCTGCCTCATCCTCCCAAAGTGCTAGGATTACAGGCATGAGCAACTGCACGCAGCCAGCACTAGTTTTAATAGCTAAAAAGTGGGAACAATTCAAATGTTCATCAATGAATAAATAAATAAACAAAATATCGGTCTATCCATACAGTGGAATATTATTCAGCCATAAAAATGAATGAAGTACCGATACGAGCTACAACATGGATGAACTTTGAGGGTATGATGCTGAGGGAAAGAAGCCAAACCCAAAAGACCATTGTGATACCATTTTTTTCAAGTGTTTAGAATGGGCAAATTAATGGAAAGTAGATTGGTGAGTGGCTGCCTGGGGCTTCGTGGACTGGGTGGGGAGTGGCTGCTAACAGGTGCCTACGGGGTTCTGTCTTTGGGATGTTGAAAATGTTCTAAAAGTAGGCAGTGGTGATGGTTGCACAATTCTGAGACTACTCTAAAGTCACACCAACTAAGTCTACAGTTTATGCTAAGTTTTATGTCATAAGAATTTTATCTCAATAAAGGTATAAAAGACCTTCCAAAGGCCAGGTGCAGTGGCTCACGCCTGTAATCCCAGCACTTTGGGAGGCCGAGATGGCCAGATCATGAGGTCAGGAGATCAAGACCATCATGGCTAACATGGTGAAACCCCGTCTCTACTAAAAATACAAAAAAATCAGCCTGGCACGGTGGCGGGTGCCTGTAGTCCCAGCTACTCGGGAGGCTGAGACAGGAGAATGGCTTGAACCCAGGAGGCGGAGCTTGCAGTGAGCCGAGATCGCGCCACTGCACTCCAGCCTGGGGGACAGAGCGAGGCTCCATCTCATAACAAAAAACAAACAATCTTCCAAAATACCAATAAAACCAACCAACAGAGAAGGCTTCAGATGTGTGTTGCTGGAGGCAGTGGGCTGGGGAGGCTGAGGCTCTGGGCTGGGGAGGCTGGAGGCGGCCACCCTTCGTCAGGGACATATTTGCCTTCCTCCAGTTGGTCTTGAGTTGGGGGCAAAAATAGGTGAACTGGCAGCCGTTAGCCGTGGCCTGAGTCTGTGGCGTGATTGCTACAGAGGTGTGGTTTGGCTTCCAGGCTTCTCAGGGGTCAGAGTTCTACTGACATACGTGATCCGGCCGCTGCCCGCTGGCATGGTTAGTCTTTCCTCCTTGTGTAGAAAGCCAGGATAAAAACTGCCCTATGTCCAGCATTGACAGGCAGGGCTGAGTGCCATCTGGGGCCTGGGGCACATGTGTAGCTATCTTCTCCAGGGGCTCCTGGCTGGCACTATTCTTGCCCAGGGGGCCCTGCCCTTGTAGGGCTCCCAGTGTAGAGGGGGAAAACATGAAATAGTTGGACACGTCAGTCAATTCAAGAATTTGGGGTAGTGACCCCAGCTACAGAGAAACCAAGAGGTAATGGGAAAAGGAATGATTTGGGGCCTAGCAGTCAGGACCAAGCACGCCGGGCAGGGACAGTGCTCTGAGACCTTTGCCTGACACTTGGGGGATGAGGGGGCCCTTCCAGGCCCCGGGTATAGCAAAGGCCCAAGGCCAGAGAGTGTTGGAGGGGACCCTGGGGCGAGGCGGGGCTGGGAGCCTCCGTTACTGCGCGGGTGCTCAGAGGTGTGGAGCCCTGGGGAGCAGGGCACGCAGGGCCCGAGTTGTGCTTTCAAACCTCTCTGGTCGAAGGGCAAGAACAGACCTTGGGGCCAGATGGGAAACAGGGAGACCAGTGATTGCTTCCTGCAGGGGCCAGGCCAGAGCTGACAGCAGCTGGGAGTGGAGGCAGAGATGGCGGAGAGGTCCCAAGAAAAGGGCCCTCTCTGCTTTCAGGACAGAAATAGTTCCCCCTTGTGAGGTTTGCAGGGGGATGCAAGGCTTGGGGGGCAGGGAGGGGAGGGGACCCCAGGGAGGAGGGGAGGACTGAGCACCAGAGGGTGTGGGGTGCTTTCAGGTTCATGCATGCATGCATGGATATGGGGTGAGATGCGGGACTGGGCACACCCCATGGGGTGGGCCAGGGGTGGGAAGCCTGAGCATGCAGTGCCCAGGGGGGTCTCGATGAGATGTCCCGGGGGTCTCTTTGGAGACCCCAAGTCGTGGGATCCCCTAAACTCTCCGGCAGTTTGTGTTGATGGCATGCGGGGTGGGGATGGGAGTCTCTCCCGGCGCTGCAGGGCTCTGGGGGCCTCCCCTTCGTTCTTGCTCTGGGTGGGAGACAGGAGGAAGGAGCAATTCAGAAGCCCGGCAGTAGAGAGGATGCTGTAGGCACAGGCTGAGGCCTGGTTGGCCTCTGAGGGTCCATGATCTTGACCAAGAGCAGCGGGCAGTGGCCAGGCAGGGCCACGGAAGCCCAGGATGGACATCAGAGTGGTGCCCTCCCATGGAGATCTCGTCCCCTCAGAGGATCCCGGCCAGCACCTGCACAGCCTGGCGCACACACTGTTATCATCATGAGGACTCCTGGGTATGAGAAGGGCTGGTGAGGCTCTGATACCATCTCCTCCTCAGGATCCCTGGCAGGCAGCAGAATCCAGAAATCCGGGCTGAGCTGAGCAGGGGGAGTGTGGTTGGGGCCTCCCGGGTGGGCCCAGGAGGCTGGTGGCTATACTCTGTGACTCTGTGGGCCTGGCTTGAGGGGGAAGACAGTGAATAGTCTGCCTATTTACTGTCTCCAGCTGGGGCTCCCCTTTGCTGATGGGGTCCCCTCTCCAGGGTGTCTCCCCTCCACTGAGGGTCTCCTCTCCCTGGACCAAGTGACCCCTGTCTGCATTTGCAGGTTGGGGACAGGTGGGGCTGGCTGGCACCTGTCATTGATTTATTAATAAATCAATAATTTTGGGGGTGGCTGCCTGCTGGAGGTGGGATGGGTGGTGGAGGAGTCACCTTCACTCTTGTCTAAACCCATGAGTTTTTGTTCAACACTGGGATGGGGAAAGCAGCTTGTTAGGACCCTGTTCCCTGAGGAGGGATGGGTGAGGCTGTTGGGGTGAGGCTGTCTGTCAGCCGTGACCAGAGCTGGCTGAGCTACCCTAGGCTTCATGTCCCCAGGTGCAGCATAGCCATGGGACGCCCAGGGGCCTCTGATCCCCTTCCTACAAGCTGTGTGTAGTTTAAAGGGGCTGGGAGTGCAGAAGAGGACGCGGGCCTGCTTTTCCACACTGGCTCCGTTCCCTTCGTGCGGGTGCCAGCCAGGCCCGGCCTTTTCTGGCCAGGGTCACCGTGTCCTGGACCCAGCCCTGACCCCTCCATTCCCTACCGTGTTGTCACCATCCCCTGTGAGGAGGGACCCCTGAGGCCTCTTTCTCCCGCTCTAGAGGCTCTTCCGGACCCCTGATCCTCACAGCCTGGGCCTCCCCAGAGGCTTCTGGGGCCACTGGTTCCCCGTACAAGCTGATACCAGCCGTTAATGACATTGCCTTGTTTACTTCAGCATGAGCTGGGCCACAGAGGGGAAGCTGTGTTGCTGAAGGGGACTCTGAAGATTACCATTGGAGGGGCTGCCTGGCTGAGACCTGAATAAGTGAGCAGTGCCCAAGAACAGAAAGGGGAGGTTGTCAGATGCTGGCCAGCACTGCCTAGCCCCAACCTGCAGACACAGATAGGGCGGAGGGGTCACCCAACCCAGGAAGGGGAGCTCATCTATGGAGGGGAGCCCCCCTGGAGTAGGGACCCCATCAGAGGACCCCGTCAGCAGAGGGGAGCCCACCCGGAGAGGGGACCCTATCAACAGAGAGGAGACCTAGCTGGAGAGGGGACCCTGTCAGCAGAGAGCAGCCTCACCTGGAGAAGGGACTTCATCAGCCAAGGGAGCCCCAGATGGAAAGGAGACCCTGTCAGTGGAGAGGAGCCCCAGCTGAAGAGGGGACCCCATCAGTGGAGGGAGCCCAAGCTGAAGAGGGGACCACATCAGTGGAGGGAGCCCCAGCTGGAGAGGGGACCCCATCAGTGGAGAGAGCCACAGCTGTAGAGGGAACCCCATCAGTGGAGGGAGCCCCAGCTGGAGAGGGGACCCCATCAGCAGAGGGAAGCCACAGCTGGAGAGGGGAACCCATCAGCAGAGGGGAGCCCACAGGGGTATCCAGAGGGAAGGCCAGGTTGGGTATCCTGGGAGTGGGAAGTTGGGTCAGAGGTGAGGCTTTTGCAGCGAGCAAGCTTGTTTCAGGTTGGGAGTGCCCAGCGGGCAGTGGGGGTTGGTGGACGCAGCAGGGAGGAAGTTCCAGGGTCTTTGACAGCGGCTGCTCCCCACTGCAGAGCTGACAATCTCTTGAGGACTCCAAGAATGAACGGATGGCCAAGCCTGGGCCTCCAGTGGGAACAGCGCCACCGTGGAAGAGGAGGGAGGTTGTCCTCATGTAGGGGGCAGGCTGGAGAGACAAGCTTGGGGTGGATGATGGTTTGCTTCTTAGGTGAAGGAAAATGAAGAGCCACCTGCAGCCATCGCTCTGCTCTCCAAATCAATCCTGAATAACTGGGAGAGAAAAACTTAAAAATGAGACCAGTGAATGGAATGGGAGGTGGGATGGGGATGTGGCAGAAGAGGGGGCCGCCCCACTCCTGTTGGACGTGGGGGCACTGGGAGCCACATGCATGCCAGGGACGCCCAGCCCCTGGCCCTGGGCCAGCCTCACTGGCAGTGGCTGGGGACAGTGGGTCTCTGTGCCTCCTCCTCGTCTCTGCGGTCCCTGGCTGGGTGCCCACCCTCTCCCTCATCTCGCCGTCTGCCTTCCTTTCATTTCTTTTTGGCATGGTTCTCTCACTGTCCAGGAAGGAACTTGGCGTCTTGCACCCCAGGCGGGCAGAGCCAGGAGCCCAGCTGACCCAGAAGGGCTCGGGTGGAGTGGGTGGGTGGTGGGAAAGCAGCTGGAGCCCCCGAATGCAGAGCCTGCCCCGTCTGCCGTGCCTGGAGGGCACCCCTCACTCCTCAGGCTCTCCAGAAGGTCAGCTATGGGGGCAGGGTCTGGGCCCATTCTGGACCCTGCTGTATCCCAGGGACCATTTAAATGGGGGCCTGGCACAGACTAGGGGTTCAGTTGTTAAATGAATAAGCAAAGCTCAAAGCCCCCTATGTTCCTTGCCTGAGCCAAGAAGGAAGCCTGGGCCTGGCTTCTGAGTCCACCCACCCTCCTTGTGAGGTAGGAAGGCAGTGGCATTGCATAACTGACCACCTACAGGACCGGGCCACGCCGAGAGGGAGCAGGCGCCTTGATGCTCCTAGATCGTCGGCCAGACTCCCCCTCCCCAGTCCTTGGAGCCTCCTTGCTTCTTCAACCCCTGTCAGAGTCCGTGGGGCAAGGTGAGACTGGGAACACTGTCTCCTCCCCCAGACGTGGCTGATCTCAGCCTGGAGCCCCACCCCAGGGCTGCACAGGACCAGGGTCCAGATCATCAGCCCAGGATGCACGGTGGACTATGTGTGCCCAGCACTCGTGCACCGAGAGACCCGTCTTGTTTCCCATGAGCCCCTCGGTGCTGGGTGCCGGGTGAGAGCATAGCCCTGGTGATCCTGGTGGTCTTCTCCAGACTCTGATGTTTCCTTCCAGTCTCCCGGCCCTCCCCTCAATGTGCAGTGTGTGCGGGTTGAGGGGGCTGCTGTGGTCTGAATGTGTCCCCCATCTCTGTAATCATGATGGACTAACATCATTGTCGTGGGAGCGGGCTCTGACAGAAGGATGAGTTTGGTCCCCTTCTCTCTGGCTGTCTCTCTCTCCCTCTCTTTGCCCTTCTGTCATGGGATAAGGCAGCACAAAGACCCTTGCCAGAGGTGGCCTGTCGATCTCGGACCTCCCAGCCTCTAGGACCAGGGGCCAATAAGTTAGCCAGTCTGTGGTTTTCTGTTCTAACAGCACACGATGGACTAAGACCACAGGCCAAGTCTCCCCAGTGTATCACCATTAGGCCACACCCTGATACGGTTTGGATCTGTGTACCTGCCTAAATCTCATGTTGAATTGTAATCCCCAATGCTGGAGGTGGGGCCTGCTGGAGGTGATTGGCTCATGGGGGTGGATTTCCCCCCAGTGCTGTTCTCGTGATAGTGAGTTCTCATGAGACCTGCTTGTTTAAAGGCATATGGCACCTCCCCTCTCTCCCTCTGGGCTTCCTCCTGCTCCGGCCACGTGAAGTGCCAGCTCCTCCTTTGCCTTCCGCCATGATTGTAAGTTTCCTGAGCCCGCCCCCAGAAGCCATGTGGATGCCAGCACCATGCTTTCTGTACAGCCTGGGGAACTGTAAGCCAAGTAAACCTCCTTTCTTTATGAATTACGCAGTCTCAAGTATTCTTTATACAGTGCAAGAACGGACGAGTACACCCACTTTGTCTAATCCAATCACACTCTGCATGACTCTCCATCAAACTCCACATAAAAATACACGGGTTTCCCTCTTCCCTTGGGTCCTCATTTCTTTTTCCTTTTCTTTTTCTTTTTTTTTTTTTTTTTGAGACGGAGTTTCACTCTGTCACCCTGGCTGAAGTGTAATGGCGTGATCTCGGCTCACTGCAACCTCCACCTCCCGGGTTCAAGCAAGTCTCCTGCCTCAGCCACCCCGGTAGCTGGGACTGCAGGCACATGCCACCATGCCCGGCTAATTTTGTATTTTTAGTAGAGATGGGGTTTCACCATGTTGGCCAGGCTGGTCTCGGAACTCCTGACTTCAAATGGTCTGTCCACCTCGGCCTCCCGAAGTGCTGGGTCCTCATTTCCGAAGGCTCCTATACGAGATGAAACTTATATTGAATAAATGTGTCTGCTTTTCTCTTGTTAATCTGTCTTTTGCTGTGAGAGCCTCAACCATGAACCTAGTGACGAATGAGGAGACAAATCTTTTCTCCTCCAGGTGCTTTGGACATGCTGACGGGTTCTGTGAGGGTCTCACTGTTTAGAGAAGCAGGACTCCCATCACAGGGCCACAGGCAGGGAGCACACCACACCAAAGACAGTGGGACGCCCAGCCGGGCCGGGCTGGGACCCAGGGAAGCCCAGGAGGAGACTGCCCTCTGCCCCACTCGCCTGGGAGCACCTCCCCCGGGGCGTTCTTCCAAATCTGGTGCCTGCCTTGATGTGCTCCCGATTCCTTTGCTCCTTGTCCCAACACTCCCTGTGCAGGCTCTGGAGACAGAGCTCTGATGGCTCGTGGGTCCCCATCACTTTCACTCTTGGCCATGTCAAAGGCTGCTGGTCTGACCCTGAGTCCCTCTGCAGTGCCCCAGGGGTCCAAGGTCCTGTGGGTCAGAAGGAAGGGCCTTGCCCCACCCCACCAGGGGCTGTGGATGGAGCCCCCAGCCAGGGCTGTCATGGGAGGCTGTGAGTGCCCACACCTGTCCAAGCAGCTGCAACTGCGGTTCTTCCTGGAGCTGTATACATCCAGCCCTTTGGGCGTCTGCCCACTCTCCCTCTGGCGGAATGTGACCCACCTGCTGGTCTGATTCCATGATAGGAGAACAAGCATGTTGCAGTCCCGACCTTCAGTGCCTCATATGTGACCTTATTTGGAAATAGGGTCACTGCAGATGTAACTAAGATATGGCCATTAGTATCCTGCTCAGATCTGACCGGTGACCTTAGGAACAGGGGAAGTTGGATGCAGACGCACACACAGGAAGGACGCCATGTGAAGGTGAAGGCAGAGATTAGAGTGATGCTCCACGAGCCAAGAAACACGAGGCTGCCTGGGAGCCCCAGAGGCTGGAGGGACTGGGCAGAGGCTGGAGGGACTGGGCAGAGGCCACCTCGTAGCCCCCGAAGGAACCAGCCCCAACAACAACTTGAGCTTGGACTTGAGGCCCCCAGGGCTGGGGAGATAAATGTCTCTGTGAAGGCTGCCAGACTGTGGCGCTTTGCTGTGGCAGTCCTAGCAGACGACTGCAGGAGACTTTAGTCATGCTTAACAAGCAGCCCCGATTGGTGCAGACCCATCAGAATGGGGCTGGCCACGGCATTGAGTGATGTTCCAGAAGCTGTCTGTCGTGCCCTGCTTGGACCCTGGGGGAAGGAACCGGGGTGGCCTCTGGGGGACACCTGGAGGCTCAAGGTAGGGGTCGTTCAACCAGCATGGAAGCCGTTCTGTGTTTTAACAACCACCTGGGTATGCAGATGCACACCACTCAATATCAGGCCTGTGAGACAAGAAACACCCTCAGGTCCCAGGTGGGCATGGCTTCCATGTCAGCAGAGCTCCAGGCCCAGGCACGACCTTTGGAATTTGTTGCTTGCAAACTGTCTGAGGTTCGGTTCCCCAAGAGACACTGCCAGATAGAGACATGTAGGTCAAGGGTAAAGTGGCAAGTGCTCTTGGGGACAAAGGCTGTGAGAGAGGGAAGGAGCAGGTGGGGGCAGCTGAGCTGTGCTCCACTCGCAAAGAAGGTTTCTGATGATGCCTCGGGTGCTTTTGGAGCTGAAGGGGCCCTTTAGAGAGGCCATGAATTCAGGTGAAGGACCTGACCTGTTGCTTCCTCCATCGACCATTCATTGGGTAGAGGTGGCTTCCAGGGCAGGGAGAAGCCATGGGTGAGGCAGCTGCCTTTGGCTGAGGGCATTTCCTCGGGAGGAGCAAGCTGAGAGCTGTGGGCAGCTGGCTGGACCAGTGCTGTGGTCCCGCTGGGAGGGACGGTGCAGTGCACAGCAGTGAGCATCTACCATAGTCCTCCATGATGTAGATGTATAGATATAGAGACAGATACACGGAATGAGATAGATAAATAAGTACAGATCCATAGAGATAAAGACAGACAGACAGACAGATAGGCAGGCAGACAGTCAGATAGACAGGCAGACAGGCAGACAGACAGGCAGACAGGCAGACAGACAGATAGACAGGCAGGCAGACAGGCAGATAGACAGACAGGGAGGGAGACAGATAGACAGAGAGACGGACAGACAGACAGACAGATTGAGATTACCATAGAGATAGAGATAGATCAGATAGATATAGAGATGTAGACAGAGATATAGATATAGGTAGACATAGATAGAGATAAGTAAAGATACAGGTAGCTAGCTCGGTAGCTAGATAGATAGCTGGATGGATGGATGGATGGATGGATGGATGGATGGATGGATGGATGGAAGAAAGGGGGTTTATGATGGGAATCGGCTCACATGAGTATGGAGACTGAGAAGTCCCATGATTTGCCCTGTCTGTGCAAGCTGGAGACCCAGGGAGGCTGGTAGTGTGGCTCAGTTCAAGCCTGAAGATCTGAGAACCAGGGAGGCCGACAGTGTAACTCGCAGTCAGAGGGGCCACTGGTATAAGTTCCAGGGTCCAAAGCCCAGAGAACCAGGAGTTCTGATGTCTAAGGGCAGTAGGAGGTGGGTGTCCCAGCTCTGGTGGGGGAAGAGAGAGCAAGAGAGCACGAATTCATCTTCCCGTTCTGCCTGGGCCCTCAGTGGATTGGATGGTGCCCTCCCACTTTGGGTGAAGACAGATCTTCCTTATTCAGCCCACGGATTCAATCGCCAGTCTCTCCGGAAATGCCCTCACAGGCACACCCAGAGATAATGCTTTCATGCTCTCTGGATATCCCTTCATCCAGTCAAGTTGACAGCTGAAACGAACCGTCACAAGTTCACTCCTTGTCAGCTTGGAACCCATACACACCTCCTTAAACCGTACTTCATCTCCAAATAGACAGCAGCAAGGTCATGGTTCCAACTAACATGTGATGACTGTCCCGCATACAACCAGACACGCACTGACTCCTTCCCTGGAAGAGGAGGTGAAGTCCTCGAGTGATGTCGACTCTCCCGATATCGCACGACCTCAATACTGTCATGTAAAATTCACGATACCTTGATACTGAGACAAAATCAATAGATCTTATGTTACATGATAAAGGAGTAAGAGAGGAAAGAAAACAGATATTTGCTTAACTTATGTACACATATGCACAAATGCTTTCTTAACAAAATGGAGAGGAAACACTCGTGAAAGTTGCAATCCTCATTTCTGCTACTGGCCAAGCTACAGGAGTACCTGGTGTTTATAACCACTGCCCATTCTGTAGTCCCTTTGCCCTCAGCAAGCACCTCAGCCGGTAGTGGTTCTGTACCTGGCCAGGTGACCCAAGGCCTCAGTGCTTAAGGGTCTCGGCCTTGCTGTAGTTTCCTAAGGAAACTTGCATTGCTGTGCTTTCCCAGGGATTATTTTTTTATTATTATTTTTTATTTTTGAGACGGAGTCTTGCTCTGTCGCCCAGGCTGGGGTGCAGTGGCGCGATCTCGGCTCACTGCAAGCTCCGCCTCCCGGGTTCACGCCATTCTCCTGCTTCAGCCTCACAAGTAGCTGGGACTACAGGTGCCTGCCACCATGCCCGGCTAATTTTTTGGTATTTTTAGTAGAGATGGGGTTTCACCGTGTTAGCCAGGATGGTCTGAATCTCCTGACCTCGTGATCCGCCCGCCTCGGCCTCCCAAAGTGCTGGGATTACAGGCGTGAGCCACCGAGCCTGGCCCCAGGGATCTTAACCACAGGGTGTGGTTACACTTAAAGAAGCCCTAAGGGGCCTCCTGCATTCCCCGTGCTCTTCCGCACCTCTGGTGTGGAGTGCAGTTCGATGTCCCCTGGGTCCTCTGGATCAATCCCCAGCCAGCATCCAAACTCTCTTATCGGCCTGTTGATTCTGAGGCTTGAGGAGCCCCAACTGCCCAGGTGCCACCTTAACTTCCAGTTCAATGGAGTCATTGTTGTGTCTCCTGGTGGCAGCATTCCTCACCTTGGAACCAAGGCCCCTAGGCCAGCAGAGCGTAAAGTCATGGGAACAGGAAACAAAAACACTGCTAGTGGGTCACTGGGGCTGATGGTGGGTGGTGCCACTCCCACTTCTGCCCCTTGGTTCCCGGACGGGTGAATCCTGACTGTGGGAGAGACAGCTCCACATATTGGACACTGATTCAGAGCACGGACAGCCTCCTGGAGCAGCACCTTGCCCCAGCCCTGCAAGGGACTGCCACCCAGCTTGTGCTGGAGCTGTGTCTGCAAAAGCCCATTCCACCGTTCTATCACGCCAGCTGCTTCAGGATGATGGAGAACACGGTAAGACCCGTGAATACCACGAGCATGAGCCCACTGCCACGCTTCTTTGGCTGCAAAGTGAGTTCCTTCGTCAAAGCAATGCTGTGTGGACAGCACGGCATTAGATGAGGAGTTCTGAGCCCACAGATGGTAGTGACGACAGAAGCACTGTGTGCAGGGAAGACAAATCCATATCCATGGCAGGCGCCTATCCCAGTGAGAACAAACCAGCGCCCCTCCCATGATGGGAACCGTCCAGTGTCACCCACCCGCCCCCAGGCACCGGGCTCAACACGCTGGGGAATGGAGCCTCAGCGCCCCTTCCATGATGGGAGCTGTCCAGTGTCACCCACCTGCCCCCAGGCACTGGGCTGATCACTCAGGAATGGAGCTTATCAGGCTGAGTGTTGGTCTCTGCTGCTGGCACACTGGGCATACAGTGCTGGTGGTACTCAGCTTGGCCTTGGTCAGTGGAAGTCCATGTTGCTGAGCCCACGCACAACCTCCATCCCTGCCACCACAGCCACTTCGCTCAGGAGCTCACTGGGTGATGAGAGGGGTGGCTGGGAAAAGGCTCACTGGTGTCCATAGAGTAGCTCATGCTGTCCACCTGATTACTGAAGTCCTCTGCTGAGGTCACCCTTTGGTGAGCATTCACATGGGACACAAATATCTGGATGTCATTAGCATGTTCAGAAAGGGCTATCTATACATCTCTTCCACACATTTCTTCATCACCAATTTTCCAATCATGTTCCTTTCAAGCACCTCCATCCACTTAAATTACTGGCAACAGCCATGAATGAAATATCATCACACATCTGCTCCTTCTAAGCGGAGCACACACAGGTGCATGCCGGAAGTTCTACCCACGGGGAAGATTCCTCTTCACCACTGTCTGAGGGATATCCCCCAGGGGCTACAGGGCTGCAGCTGTCCACTTTCCGGTAGTGTCTGCATACTGAGCAGAACCATTTGTAAGTCCGGCCTGAGTCTTCTCTTCCTCCGTCAACTAATCAGAGGAACTCCCCATGCAGCCACAGGTGCAGACAGGGAGGGAGAAGGCAGGGGAGCAGCAGTGGGGCCACAGGCTTTGGGCCACTACTTCACGTAACTTCCTTGTGCCTTCAGGACCTGCTTGGGCCTGATCACCTATCCCCTGCTTCCACTGGCTGATGCAGCACTGCTGTGCACACGACTTTATGGCTACGTGGGTCAGAAAGTCCCCAGATCATGATGAGCCATTCAAGTCACGTGGTAACTTGGTGGCCCTTGTCTAGTTTAGTTTCCTTTTCTTTTTTTCTTTCTTTTCTTTTCTTTTTTTATGAGACAGAGTCTCCCTCTGTCACCCAGGCTGGAGTGCAGCGGCACCATTTTGGCTCACTGCAACCTCCGCCTCCCGGGTTCAACTGATTCTCGTGCCTCCACCTCCCAAGTAGCTGGTATTACAGGCACTCGCCACCACACCTGGCTAATTTTGTATTTTTAGTAGAGACAGGGTTTCGCCATGTTGGCCAGGCTGGTCTTGAACTCCTGACCTCAGGTGACCTGCCCACCTCAGCCTCCCAAAGTGCTGGGATTATAGATTCACACTGCCAAGTGTTTAATTTCTACAAAGGCCCAGAAGCAGGGCAAGAGCTGTTTCTCTGAAGGAGAGTGGGTTATCTGTGAATGATGACAGGACCTTCCTCCAAAATCCTAAAGGCCTGAGCCGTGATTCACCTACAGGGGCCTGGCAAAGACTCCACACAGGGTCTCTGTCTGCCACTGACACCCCAGGCACCAGTGGATCTGCCGGGTCATGTGGCCCACGTGGCAGAGCGGCATGCACAGAGCCTGGACCTACTGCAGAGACTTCTCTTGCTCTGGGCCATGCTTAAAACTAACTAGCAGCTTTTCAAATCACTCAGTAAATGGACAGAGTTGGACACCTCAAAGAGAAAGAACGTGTCAACCCCACATCAGACAGGCCCACTTAGTGCCGTTCTTCTCTTTTGGTTGTAGGAGGGTTCAGCTGCAACAACCTGTCCTTCACCTTAGAACAGGCCTCACACCACTGGAAATTTCCCTGAGGTAGAAGGCTCTGAATTCCAGTTGGGTTTATTCCCCACCCTCCGACACCAACAAGTCTAGGATGGAGGCTACTTCTTGTGCCTTACGTCCCATCAACATGATGTCACCAGTGTAATGGGCCAGTGTGACATCCTGGGGAAGGGAGAGGTGATCGAGACTCCTGAGAATTACCTCTGACACGGGCTGGAGAGGCGAGAGGCCCCTCAGGTGGGGCGGCGAGGGTGCATCGCTGGCCTGGCTTCTGCTGGGCCCTGTGGACGGGGGTGGAGGAGAACGCATTTGCTGGATCAAGAGCTTCGCACCAGGGAGCAGGAGATGTGCTAATTTGCTCAAGCGATGGAACCTCGTCTGGCCCAGCAGCTGCAGCTGGAGTCAAACTTAGGACAGTCCCCTGTCATTCTCCAGGACCCACCTGTCTCCCCTGTGGGCCGAATAGGTGGGGAGAATGGGCTGTGGTGGGGATCGCCGCCCCTGCACCTCTCAAGTCCTTGGTGGTGGCACTGATGTCTGCAGTCCCTCCAGGGATGTGGGATGGCTTTTGACTGACGGTTCTAGGTAGAGACCTCTCTAATGGCTTCCACTTGGCCTTTCCCACCACAGTAGCCTTCACACACCAGGTCACGGGACGCATGTGGGGACTCTGCTGGCTGCTGAGTGTGTCTGTTCCACTTACACATCTGGAGCTGGGAAGATGACCACAGGATGGGCTGGGTACCCGCTGGACCCACAGAGTCAGACCTGAGCTAAAACTCCATTGATCACCTGGCTCCCTAAGCCCCTCCCTAACTGGAGGGCCACAGTGTCGTTCCAGCATCTCCTAAAATCAATGTCAGGACAGAGCCAGTGTCCAATCGTCCTGAAATGCCACATTATTTTCTTTTTTCCAATACACAGTTACACAGATAGAAGGCCATAGACCCCTTTGGAGAAGACCAGGGAAAGAATTAACAGTATATATACATTTTTGGCCATCCTGGGGTCCTTCCTCAAGGGTACCCAGCCTTTCTTTCACTCTTTCTGGGTTCATAGACTGGCTCAAGTCTGTGAAAGACTGAGGCCATGATTCTCTGTTTTTATGATTGGACTTAGAGTTTTGTCCACTTGATCTGTAAGTTTTCTGCTTGTATCCAGTAGGAATTGAGCAGGCTTCCCATCTGTTTCACTGCTAGGAAAAACATGGTAACCAGCCAGTGCCATAGGTCTACATGGGTTGGACCTGTAACTCAGGTCTGACTGCTACTTTGCCTCTGCTGTCTATCATGGTAACCATGCCAACTTTGCCTTTGGTGCTTGAATGCCCCCACTTGGCCACTGCTACCCCAGGATCCAATTATTCCCATCACATGTAAGTTTCTCAGTTGATTGACTGCAGTTCCCACAGTGAGTCTGGCCTACAGAGAAGAACAATCTCAGAGCTCTTCAAGGAGACTGGGCTCCCTCACAAGTCTATATTTCAGTGTTGTGAGACAGCAGTCCTCAACCTTTTTGGCATGAGGGACTAGTTTCATGGCAGAATATTTTTCCACAGACCCGGAGTTGGAGGATGGTTTTGGGATGATTCAAACACATTACATTTATTGTTCACTTTATCTGTATTATTATTACATTGTAATATGTAAGGAAATAATTATACAACTCGCCATCATGTAGAATCAGTGGGAGGCCTGCGCTCGATTTCCTGCAACTAGACAGTCCCATCTGGGGAGGATGGGAGACAGCCACACATCATCAGGCATTAGATTCTCATAAGGAGCGTTGCAGCCTAGATCCTTCGTATGTGCAGTTCACAGTAGGGTTTGCACTCCTATGAGAATCTGATGCTGCTGCTGATCTGACAGGAGGCCAAGCTCAGGTGGTCATGCAAGTGATGGGGAGTGGCTATAAATACGGATTTCACTCACTCACCCACCGCTCACCTCCTGCTGTGTGGCCCAGTTCCTAACAGGCCATGGACCAGTACCAGTCCATGGCCCGGGGGGTTGGGGATCCCTGTTGTGAAAGGTCTGCGTTTTGGGCCCTCCCAGGGTAGGTGAGGAGGTTTTCATTGTCACATTCTGATCTCCTTTGGGAATGAGCCTTTGAACCCCTTCCTCTATGTTAAGCCAAGGGAGCTTAGGCATCTCCAGCTCGCTCACTGCAGGCATCCTTTGATCCATGTTTCAACCGACCAGCCAGTTAGAGCTTTTCCAAGTCCCTGAGTTGCAGCCTGGAATTCAGGCTCTACTTGGTGGACATGCCTGCACACCTGGTCCCTCCACCTCCATGTTCCTCCCCCAGTGCCCTACACCCAACGTCCGTTCCCACTCATGCTCCCAGGTGTCTGTCTGTATAAATCAGAGAGGTCGAGTGGCTCTTCTGGGGTGTGGCTCGCCTCCTCCTGTGTCACACTGTGGGCCTCACCTTCAGGGGCCTGCTGGGCTGTGAGTCTTGTTATAGGTCTTAAAGCAAAGGGAAGGGTTGGGGGAGGGACCCGAGGAGAATCAGCAACTGCCTTAGGGGAAGTCCTTACCCTTTCCTCAGGCAACACAGATTAATGCCTCAGAGAAGGTGGAAAGGCCAGTACCACTGGGGGAGGGGTGTAGCACTGGGGGTGGGTGTAGCACTGCCACTGGGTGCAGGGAGGCTGCTTCTGCTGACAAAATGACTCATCCTAACTTAGAGGCTGACCGTCCCCAGCTTCATCAGGGTCCTTCCATATGTCTTCATCCCAACTTACAGGATCCTCTGTTTCCCAGCCAATGCCCTCACTGGAACAGTGGACACCCCGCAAGGCTGAGAGTTCAACTTGCGTTGTAATTCATCCAGTTTCAGGACGAGGACTTGTGGTTGCTTTTCAGCAGTCTTGGCCCCAGGGCTACAGGAAAGGAGGTTCTCCTTCAGGGTTCACTCAGCCACTCACAGGTTATTTATACAGAGCTGGAACTGGGAATTTGAATCACTGAGCACATCCTGTGATTTCATCACTTTGTCCAGCAACCAACTGGTAACCAGCCCACGTCACTATATTCCCTGGTTTTCCACAAATGTTCGAAAATATCATATACAGAGTCACTAAGCTCCTTGCCTCTTGTAAGTGGTTTACTAGGAGTATACAATGCAGAAATTTGCATATTTTCATAAACTATTCACACCATGGACCATCAGTGTCCTGTGTACTGTTGGAAGTAGAGTTCTTCTCACTTTTAAGTCAAGTCATATTAGAAAACCAATTCCGAAAAACACAATACACATTCAGAAAACTCATTCTTATGATTCTGTTTCTCTAGAATCATCCTGATACCAAAACCTATGTTAGGGTTCTTCAGGTAAACAGAACCGATAGGATAGAAATAGCATCGAGGCCAGGTGTGCTGGCTTACGCCTGTAATCCCAGCACTCTGGGAGGCCGAGGCGGGTGAATCACGAGGCCAAGAGATGGAGACTATCCTGGCCAACATGATGAAACCCCGTCTCTACTAAAAATACAAAAATTAGCTGGGCGTGGTGGCGGGTGCCTGTAGTCCCAGCTACTCGGGAGGCTGAGGCAGGAGAATCGCCTGAACCTGGGAGGCGGAGGTTGCATTGAGCTGAGAACACGCCACTGCACTCCAGCCTGGGTGACAGAGCAAGACTCTGTCTCAAAAAAAAAAAAAAGAAAGAAATAGGATTGATACAGGTATAGATACATAGATACATGAGAAGGGATTTATTATGGGAATGGGCTCATATGATTACAATGATTACAGAGGCTGAAAATTCCCACAATAGGCCATCTGCAAGCTGGGGACCAGGGAAGCCATTTATGTGGTACAGTCTAAGCGTCAATCAGGAAAGCCAGTTGGGTAACTCTCAGTCTGCAGCTGAAGGCCTGAGACCCGGAGGCCACTGGTACAAGTCTCAGAGTGCGAAGGCTGAAGAATCTGGAGTTCTGATATCCAAAGGCAAGAGAAGATGGGTGTCCCAGCTGCAGAAGGGAGAGTGGGGAGAGGCAGAGAGGGAGAGTTCGCCTTTCTTCTACCTTTTTTCCTTATCTGGGCCCACTGCTGATTGGACAGTGCCCACTCACGTTGGGCGAGGATGGACCTTCTCTACTGTCGTGCTTTGAATTTGCCTTCTCCAAGTTTTTTTTTTTTTTTTTTGAGACAGAGTCTCAGTCTGTTGCCCAGGCTGGAGTGCAGTGGCGCGATCTCAGCTCACTGCAACCTCCTGGCTTTAAGCCATGCCTCAACCTCCCGAGTAGCTGGGACCATAGGTGTGCACGCACCACCACGCCCAGTTAATTTTTGTATTTTGTAGAGATAGAGTTTCTCCATGTTGGCCAGGCTGGTCTTGAACTGATGACCTCAAGCGATCTGCCCGCCTCACCCTCCCAAAGTGCTGGGATTACAGGCATGAGCCACTGCACCTGGCCTCCAAACATTATATTTAAACTTAATCCCCGCTGTGGTGGTATTAAGCGGTAGCGTTTTTTGAGAAGTGATTAAGTCATGAGGGCTCAGTCCTCATGAATGGACCAACGCTCTTATAAAAAAGGCTTCAGAGACAGTTCACCTTGTATTGCTCTTCCACCATCCACAGTGTGGTGACACAGCATTTGTCCCCTTCAGGAGAGGCAGCAACAAGTCTTCATCTTGAAGAAGAGACTGGGACCCTCACCAGACACCAAAACAGCCAGTGTCCTGATCTTGCACTTTTTCCAGCCTCCCGTACTGTGACATAATAAATCTGTTGTAGAAATGACCAAGTTACAGGTATTTTATTATGGCCGCACAAAGGGACGGAGACATAATTTGCTAAACATAAGTGGGGTGTTGCTGTTATAAATACCTGAAAATGTGGAAGCAGATTTCAAACTGCTGGTAGAGTCTGGAAGTGTTTCAGAGTGCATGGCAGAAAAAGCCTAAATGGCTATGAACAGAGTATTAAAGGCAATTCTGGTGCAGGTTTAGAAGAAGAGGAGATCTGTAGACAGAGCCTCAGTCTTCTTAGGAATGTTTAAGTGGGCCGGGCGCGGTGGCTCACGCCTGTAATCCCAGCACTTTGGGAGGCCGACGTGGGCGGATCACAAGGTCAGGAGATAGAGATTATCCTGGCTAACACGGTGAAACCCCGTCTCTACTAAAAATACAAAAAATTAGCTGGGCGTGGTGGCGGGCGCCGGTAGTCCCAGCTACTCGGGAGGCTGAGGCAGGAGAATGGCGTGAACCCGGGAGGTGGAGCTTGCAGTGAGCCGAGATCCCACCACTGCACTCCAGCCTGGGCGACAGAGCAAGGCTCCATCTAAAAAAAAAAGAGAAATGTTTAAGTAATCATGATCCCAATGCTGGTAGAAATATGAATAGTAAAGATGAAGTGTTAGATCACAGCAAGGAATATCTTATTGGAATCTGGAGGAAAGACCGTTCCTGTTACAAAGTGGTAAGGAACTAGGCTGAATTGTGTCTGTGCCTGAGGGCTTTGTGGGAGGCAGAATTTAACAGTGATGAACTAGAATATTCAGAGGAAGAAATCTCTAAGCAAAACGCTAAGGGAGCTGCATGGCTTCTCTCAACTGTGTATGGTAAAATGCAAGAAAGAGAGAAATGAGTTAAAGACAGAATCTATAATCAAAAGAGAAGCAGAACTTAAAGGTTTGGAAGAGTCTCAGCTTGGCCACGCGTGTAGGAGAGAAAACAAAGGGTGTGGCCCAGGGACCATTTGATAAGATTCCTGGCGATAGAGGGAAGTCAGGTGCTGTCCGTTAAGACAATGGAAGAAAGGCCCTGACGGCATCTCAAAGCTCTTCCAGGCTGCCATGGCCATCACAGGCTTAGAGTTCTAGGGCTTTGAGGGCAGAAGGGAGTCAAGGGAGGAACCCAGGGCTCTGGACGGTCCCTGGGTACCTACAGGACCTTAGGCCTTCATGCCCAGTACTGCCTCAAGTCTCTGCTCCCTGCATTTGCTTTGAGGGCAGAATGGAGTCAAGGGAGGAACCCAGGGCTCTGGAGGGTCCCTGAGTACCTATGGGACCTTGGGCCTTCATGCCCAGTACTGCCTCAAGTCTCTGCTCCCTGCATTCCAGTGTAGCACTCCTCAGCTGCCTCAGCTATGGCTCACATGGGCCCAGGTGTGGCTCAGGCTGCCCCTCCAGAGGCACAGGCAATACGCCTTGGCAGCATCTTCTGCAGGCACACACAGAGCACGTGCTATGGAGGCATGGCCTAATAGAGCCATGGGGTCAGGGCCCCCTCAACCACAAGCCAGTAGAAACACTGCTGTGCAACTCCAGCCTGGGACAGCCAAAAGCAGGGGACTGTCATGCTTGGGAGCCACAGCCGGCAAAGCCATGGGGGCAGGACCACCTGGAGACTTGGGGGCCCAACTCCCACCCTAGGGTATCTGGAAGGCATGACAGGGAGTCAAAGGAGATCATTGTCAAGTTTCAAGATCTGATTTTGCTTGCCTTGTTGGATTTTGGATTTACTTGGGATCTATTATCGCTTTTTTCTTTCCTAGTGTTCCCTTTTGCAATGGAAATATCTATCCCCTGTCTGTCCTACCATGATATTTTGGAAGCATGTAACTTGTTTGATTTCATAGGTTTACAGCTGGAGAGCAATTTGCCTCAAGATGAATGTTACCTAGAGTGTCAATCATATCTGATGTAGACGATGTTTAAATAAGACTTTGGACTTTGATTTTAAAGTTGATGCTGGAATGAGTTAAGACTTTTGGAGTTACTGGGATGGAATGTATGTATTTTTAATGTGATAAGGTCATACATTTTGGGGGACTAGGAGTAGAATGCTATGATTTGAACATACCCCCTAGAAATTCATGTTGAAATGTAATCCCATTGTGGTGGTATTAAGAAGTAGGGCTTTTGGGAAGTGATTAAGTTATGCAGGCTCTGTCCTCATAACTGAATTACTACCCTGTCAAAAAGGCTTCAAGGACAGTTCACCCTGTATTGCTCTTCCACTATCCTCCATGCGAGGACCCCAGCATTCGTTCCCTCTGGAGAAGGCTGCCACAACACACCATCTTGGACGCAGAGATAGGGTCCCTCACCAGACAATATACTTGCTGGCACCTTGATCTTGAACTTCCCGGCCTCCAGAACTGTGAGAAAATAAGTTTATCTTCTCTATAAAGTACCCAGTTTCAGGCATTTTCTTATAGCAGCACAAATGGACTAAGACACTCAGTCCACTGATTCAAGTGCCGATGTCTTCTGAGAACACCTTCACAGACTGTATTAGGCTGTCATTGCACTGCTATTAGGAAAGACCTGCAACTGGGTAATTTATAAGAAAACAGATGTAATTGGCTCATGTTTCTGCAGGCTGTATAGGAAGCACAGCAGCATCTGCTTCTGGGGAGGCCTCAGGAAGCTTCCAATCATGGCAAAAGGCAAAGGGGGAGCAGGCATGTCACATGGCAAAAGCATGAGCAAGAGAGAGGTGGGGGGAGGTGCCACACACTTTTAAACAGCCAGATCTTGTGTCCAGATCAAGGACATCACCAAGCCATGTGGGATCTGCCCCTGTGATCCAATCACCTCCCACCAAGGCTCCACTTCCAACATTGGAGATTACTGTTCAACATGAAGTTTGGAAAGGACATCCAAACTATATCATTTAGCCCCTGGGCCTCCAAATCTCATATCCTTCTCCTGTTGCCGAATACAATCATACCTTCCTAATAGTCCTCCAAAGTCTTCACTCATTTCAGCATTAACTCAAAAGTTCAATGTCTCAACTGAGTCAAGGCAAGTCCCTTCCATCTACAAGCCTGTAAAATTAAAAAAGTTATTTACTTCTGAGATACATTGGGGATATGGGCATTGGGTAAACATTCATGTTCCAAAAGGGAGAAATTGGCCAAAAGAAAGGGACTACAGGCTGCATACAAGTCCAAAACCCAGCAGGGCAGTCATTAAATCTTAAAGCTCTAGGGTAGTCTCCTTTGACTCCATGTCCCATTTCCAGGGCATGCTGGTGCGAGGGGTGTGCCACCCCAGGCCTTGGGCCACTCTGCCCCTGTATCTCTGCAGGGTGCAGCTCTTGTGGCTGCTGTCACAGGTTGTTGAGTGCCTGCTGCTTTTCTATGTGCAGAGTGCAAGCTTCCAGTGGATCTACCATCCTGGGGCCTGGAGGACAGTGGCCCCCTTCCTTCCCATGGGTCCACTAGGAAGTGCCCCACTGGAGACTCTGTGTGGGGCCTCCAGCCCCACATTCCCCCCCTGCACTGCCTTAGTAGAGGTTCTCTGTGAGGTAACTGCCCCTGTGGCAGGCTTCCTCCTGGGCACCCAGGCTTTTCCATACATCCTCTGAAATCTAGGTGGAGGCTCCTAAGCCTCCTTCACTTTTACATTCTGTGTGGCTGCAGGTTTAACACTACACGGAAGCTGCCAAGGCTTATGGCTTGCACTCTCTGGAGCTGTAATGGCAGCCCAAGTTGTACCTGGACCCGTTTTAGCTGAGGCTGAACCCAGAGTGGCCGAGATGTGGGGAACAGTGTCCCAAGGCTGTGCAGGGCACTGGGCCCTGGGTTTGGTCCATGAAACCATTCTTTCCTCCTAGGCCTCTGAGCTTGTGATGGGAGGGGCTTCTTTGGAAGTTTCTGAAATGCCTTTGAGGCCTTTTCCCCATTGTCTTTGGATATTAGCACTTGGCTCTGTTTCAGTTGTGCAAATTTCTCTAGTAAGCGGTAGCTCCAGAGTGTGCTTGAATTTATTTCCTGAAAAAGCTGTTTCTTTCTCTACCACTTGACCAGGCTGCAAATTTTTTTAAATGTTTACACTCTGCTTTCCTTTTAAATGTAAATTCCAACTTTAGGTCATTTCTTTGCTCCCGCATCTGTGTGTAGGTTGTTAGAAGCAGCCAGGCCACATCTTGAATGCTTTGCTGCCTAGAAATATCTTCTGCCAGATACCTTGAGTCATCACTCTCAAGCTCAAACTTCCACAGATCCCTAAGGCATGAACAGGATGCAGTCAAGTGTTTGCTAAGGCATAACACATGTGACTTTTGCTGTAGTTCCAAATAAGTTTCTCATTTCCATCTGAGACTTCATCAGCCTGTCCTTCACTGTCCATATCACTATTAGCATTTTGGTCACAGCCATTTAACCAGTCTCTAAGAGGTTCCAAACTTTCCTTCATCTTCCTCTCTTCTTGTGAGCCTTTCAAGATCTTCCAACTTCTGCCTGTAACCCAGTTGCAAAGTTGCTTCCACATTTTCAGATATCTTTATAGAAATATCTTTCTCCCTGGTACCAAGTTTCTGTATTAGGCCATTCTTGCACTCCTGTAAAAAAATACCTGGGGCCAGGCATGGTGGCTATAATCCCAGCACTTTGAGGGGCCAAGGCAGGTGGATCACCTGAGGTCAGGAGTTTGAGACAAGCCTGGCCAGCATGGAGAAACCCTGTGTCTACCAAAAACACAAAATTAGCTGGGCACAGTGGTGCATGACTGTAATCCCAGCTACTCGAGAGGCTGAGGCACAAAAATGGCTTGAACCTGGGATGTGGAGGTTGCAGTGAGCTGAGATTGCGCCACTGCACTGTAGGAGACTGAGGGAAATCTGTCTGAAAGAAAGAAAGACAGAAAGAAAGAAAAAGAAAGAAAGAGAAAGAGAAGAGAAAGAAAAGAAAGAAAAGAAAAGAAAAGAAAAGAAAAGAAAGACCTGAGATAAAAGAGACTGGATAATTTATAAGAAAAGAGGTTTAATTGGCTCACAGTTCTGCAGGCTGTACAGGAAGCATAGAAGCATCTGCTTCTGGGGACGCCTCAGGAAACTTCCAATCATGGTGGAAGGCAAAGGGGGAATAGGCACATCACATGGCAAAAGCAGGAGCAAGAGAGAGGTGGGGGAGGTGCCACACACTTTCAAACAGCCTGATCTTATGACTGCCATGAGGACATCATCAAGCTATGAAGGATCCACCTCGTGATCCAATCACCTCCCACCAGGCCCCACCTCCAGCATGAAGGATTACAATTCAACATGAGATTTGGGTAGGGGGTAGAGGGTGACATCCAACCTATATTACAGACACACCCAGAAATAATGCTTTTCCAGATACCTGGGTATCACTTAATCTAGTAAAGTTGACACCCAAAATTAACCATCACATCTTGCAAAGCATTATTTCTGGGTATCTGTGAGGGTAGATTTGAAAGAGATTGTTATTTGAATCCATGGACTGAATAAGGAAGATCTACCCTCACTTGATGTGGTTGGCACCATCCAATAGGTTGAGGGCCTAGAGAGAGAAAAAAGGCAGGGAATGACGAATTCTCCTTCTCTCCAGGGCTAGGCAACCCATCTTCTCCTGACTGTGGACATCGGAACTCCGGGTTCTCCAGCCATTGTGCTCTGGGACTCACACCAGTAGCCACTCCACCACCACCAGTTTTCAGGCCTTTGGCCTCGGACTCAGAGTTACACAATCCGCTCCCCTGGTTCTGAGGCCTTTGGACTTGGAATGAGCCCCGCACCAGCTTCTCTAGGTTTCCAGCTTGCAGACAGCCTGTCATGAGACTTCTCAGCCTGCATAATCATGTGAGCCGATTCCCCTCATAAATCCTCTCATATGTCTGTATGTATATATCCTGGGGTTCTGATTCTCTGGAGAACGCTGACTAATACCTGGGTTTACAAGTTTAGAGAAACAGCCAACTACAGCCTGTGCCCCATAGCGTCTTGGCCATGGCTGTCATGACCCTTGTTCTTCCCTGACTCATGTTTGGTTCCTTCCCTGTCAGTGGGCACCTCTTCTAGTCTCTGTGGCCTACCCAGTGGGCCAACTGGGACCCTCCTCAGTGAGGGGTCTGGGGCCCTGGTCACCATCCCTGCTCAGGCCATGGCTGTTGTACTTGTCCACTCATGAATAAAGCAGTTGAGGGAACACCAAGTCCCCCAAGTCCCACCACTTGGATCACCAGGCACCAAATGTATTCTTTCCTGTCCCCTCATGGAGTAGCAGTTCTACTGCCTCCTGATGGCCACGGCCCACCTCCCTCCCAGTTTGGGGGCTCGTTGTCATGACTGTTGGTCTCCAGGGACAAATAATCCAAAGTGACAAGGCATCGGCTGTAGCCTAAATTTCAGTGGGTCTCCTATCTGTCCACTGGTGGCGTTGTCCCCTGTGGAAACCACGACCCCGGACTGGCAGCCTAGAGTGGAGGGAACAGCATGCACAAAACCCACAGCAGGTCACTGGCAGTGGTGGTACAGGGGCCGCTGCTGCTTCTGCCCCTTGGTTCCGAGGCCTGTTGGGGACATAGCACCCCATGGTGGCTGTTGAGTTGGAGTGACTACTGAGTTCCACAATGTGACACCCCATCCTTGAACAGTATCACCCCCACGCTGGGGCCTTCATGGAGCTCTGAAAAGGCTGCTCCCCTGCTCTGTGGTGCTGGCTGCGTCTGAGTGGTGTGGGCTGTGATAGGACCAGCAGATGCCATGGCCATGTGCCATGTGCCATGTGCCATGGCTGCACCTCCTCCCTGTGTTGTAAAGTGGGTCCCTTGGTCCAAGGCACTGCTACGCATGCCCTGTTTGGTGGATCAACACTTAATAAGGCCTGGGGATCAGCCTGGGTTATGTGTCAATTCTAGTGGAGTTGAATTGCTGCCCCCAATGGGATGGATGCTTCTGTTGCCTTGTCAACTTTCTCTATGGATAGTGCCTAGTGGGGGCTTCTCAGCAGCCCATGTTGCAGACAGGTTGGGCATTTGTGGCAGCAGTGGCTAGACCAGCCTTGGTGGGTGGAGCTGTGCTGTTGATTTCATGGTCAGCATCCCTTTCTACCACCAAAGCTGCTCCATGCATGCACCCAGGGGGCCAGCACTCAGGTGGTCGGGGACAGAGGCTGGCTGAAGTCAAGGACTGCGGCCATTCTGTCTAACTGGTTGCTTAGTGGCTCCCTGGTGGATGCTCTCTGTTGGGAATGAACACGTGATACCAAGCTCTTCACCTCTCATGGCCACACCTGTGAGTTCATTCATGTGCCTCCTGTCCCGGGGTGGTGGGCAGAATGATGATGTCCCCCAAAAGGTGTCCAGGGCTCTTTTTAAATAGGGATGGCATAGAACAAATCCACCCACTAATGGGTGCTTAACATGTACCCCATTCCACAGCCCTCTGCTCCAGCAAATATAGCACAGCTGGCACAGCAACAATCCACTGGGCTACTGCTCAGTGGAGCTTGGGATTAGCTGTACATATACACAGGGGCTTTTTAGGGGGAATTGGCTCCTGTGATTATGGAGGTTGGAAAGTATCCCCATCTGCCATCTGCAAGCTGGAGACCCAGGAGAGCTGATGGTGTAAGTTCCAATCTGAGTGTGAAGGCAGAACACTGATATCCCAGCTCAAAGACAAGCGGCTCTTTGAGCTGGGCTATCAATCATGTTGAAATTTGGTCCTCAGTGCTGGAGGTGGTGTCTAATGGGGGTGTTTGGGTTGTGAGGGCAGATCCCTCATGGATGGCTTGGTGCCATCCTCATGGTAGTGAGTGAGTTCTCACTCTGAGTTCCCCTGACAGCTGGTTGTTGAAAACAACCTGGCAGTCCCATGTTCACTTGTTTCTCTCACCATGTGACCTCTGCACACACTGGCTCCCCTTCATCTTCTGTCAGGAGTGGAAGCAGCCTGAGGCCCTCACCAGCAGCAGATGCAGATGTCATGTTTCTTGTACAGCCTGCAGAACCATGAGCCAAATAAACCTCTTTTCTTTATCAATTACCCAGGCTCCAATATTCCTTTATAGCAACATAAACAGACTAAGACAGGCAGGGAGAGCGAATTTTCTCTTGCTTAATCTTTTTGTTTTAGTCAGACCTTCAACTGATTGGATGAGGCCCACCTTTACCAGAGAGAGTGACCTGCTTTTCTCAGTCCACAGATTCAAATGCTAAGCATATCCAGAAACACCTTGCAGACACACCCAGAATAATGTTTAACCAAACATCTGGGCACCATGGCCCAGTGAAGTGGACGCATAAAATTTCCCATCACAAGTTGACAGTAGTCTGTTAGCATTCTCTGGAAAATGGGGGAGATGATGGGAATCGCCTCACCTGCAACCTTCAAGTCTTCCAAAGGGGCCCACATCTCTGCCATTCCCCACCAATGAGATTTTCTTTTTGGTGTATTGCCTTGGCTAAGGTGGTGGGCAGTTTCAGAAGTTTCTACTTGGTAACACTATGATAGTTTTTACCCTACAGGACAATGAGCCTACGTGAGGATTCTGCCAACTACCAAGATTGTCTGAGTGTACTTTTAGGGTCTGGGGGAATATGCAGCATTCTGGGAATGCAAAGGGATGACTCAGTGTGAGCTAGAGGTGGACCAGGATTGCACTTTGCTGGCCTCCATACGCCCTACTCTAGTGGGCCCATGATGGTACCTTGACTCCAGCTCTCAGTGTCAACTTGGTCCCGGAGTCCCCCAGCCCTGGGCATTGCCCTTTTCCTAGTGCACAGTTACTGAAATACACCTTTAGTGGTGGGGTGGGGAAGGACTGGGGGAGCCTGCTATGGTACTGCAGGGTCCGTCCTCCTGGGACCTAATCCCTCCTTCAATCAGTGGGGTTTGGGTTTGAAAACTGTCTCAGGTGCAGAAACTGGGCAAGAGATCATGCTTTTTCATTGGGGTATGTATTCATCTATTAGGGTTGCAAAACAATATCACAGACTGGGCAGCTTAAACACAGACTTTCATCATCTCATGGTTCTGGAGACTGGAAGTCCGAGATCAAGGTGTTGGTAGTGCTGGTTCCTCCCGAGGCCTCACTCCTTGATTTGCAGATGGCCACCTTCTCCCTGTGTCCTCATGTGGTCATGCCTCTGCATGTGTCCTCATCTCCTCTTCTTACAAGGACACCAGTCAGATTGGATTAGGGCCCACCCTAATGTCTTCATTTTAATTTAACTACATCTTTAAAGGCCCTTTCTCCAAATACTTACACACTGAGGTCCTGGGGGGTTAAGACTTCAGTATATAAATTTTGAGGGGACACAACTCAGCCATAATAGGATGGCTGTTCTCAGCCTCCTGAACAACCATCCTGATGTCTTTTGATCATGTAGATTAAGCAATACCTTGCTGGCTGCGCACCTGCCTTGCCCAAGGAATGCCATGTTTTGGTGATGGTCTCACTAGTTCTGCCAGTCAAGGCCCCTGGCTCTTTGATGGCATTGCTGCTTCCTGTGTGTATTAGCTCATCCTCACACTGTTATAAAGATACTACCGGAGACTGGGCAATTTATAAACAAAGGAGGTTTAATTGACTCACAGTCCCACATGGCTGGGGAGGCCTCAGGAAACTTACAGTCATGGCAGAAAAGGAAGCAGGCACCTTCTTCACAAGGTGGCAGGAGAGAGTGTCAGCCAGTGTAGGAGGAACTGTCTGGCCGTGTAAGACGTGTCTGCTTCCCCTTCACCTTCCACCATGACTGAAACTTTCCTGAGGCCTCCCCAGAAGCAGCTATGAACCGTGAGCCAATTAAACCTCCTTTCTTTATAAGTTACCCACTCTCAGGTATTTCTTTATAGCTGTGCAATAACAGACTAATACACCCAGGCACAGTGGTATGCATCTGTAGTCCCAGCTACTTGGGAGATTGAGGTGGGAGGATTCCTTGAGCCCAGGAGTTTGAGGCTGCAGTGAGCCATGATTGCACCACTGCACTCCAGCCTGGGTGACAGAGACTGACCCTGTCTCAAAAAAACAAAAAACATAAAACAAAGGTAATCAACAGTAAATGAGTTCATGACAGTGGGTCCTAATCTCATAGGACTGGAGTCTTACAAGAGGAGGTGAGGACACGGACACGCACTGAGGGAAGACCCTGTGAGGACACAGAGAGAAGGCCCCGGTCATCTACAAGCCAAGAGAGGCCTCAGGAGGAGCTAGCCTTGCAAAACCTTGATCTTGGACTCCAGCCGCCAGGATTGTGAGACAATGAGTCTGTTGTATAAGCCACCCTGTCTGCGGTGCTTTGTGATGGCAGCCCCAGTAGACAAATGTACTTAGGGTTGGCTCTTTTGCCCTGAAGCTTCTAAGCACCACTCAAGTGATGATTTGGCACTGTCTCCCTGGAACCTTAGGAGAGGGTTAAGTCCTGTGCTATAAGACAATGCTCTGATATTGACACACTCTTCCTTCTCTAACTTTCTATTTCACCATGATCCTGCACACTCAGGAGCTGACTCCTAGGTACTCCCAGTTCCTGACTAGTTCCTGCAGCTTCCATGCCCAGTCCTCTTTATATCTTCCCCAGCTCTGAACTTCTGGCAGCTTGCTGACTGAGCATCTCCACTGTGAAGGGAGAGAGTCCGTGGAATCCCACCCCGTTCCAAGGACAGAAGCTGTCTGTGACAGTTCATTTGGTCTGTCGACTTGACTGGGCCATGGGTTGTCCAGATATTTGGTCAAGCAGTATCCTGGGTGTGTCTGTGAGGATGAGATGAGCATTTGATCAGTGGACTGAGTGAAGCAGCTTGGCCCACACAGTGTGTGTGGGCCTGTTAGAAATACCAAAATTGTTAGAAATAGATAATCGGTGCTGCGAAGAAGAGTCAGCACAGAGACAAAAGATCTCTCAGCAAGGCCATCTTTACTTTCTGCAGAAAGGGTGCTCAACTGCAGATGGAACAATGGTGAGAGCACACCTGAACAAAGGAAAAGCAGATGTATTTATCCCTTACGCATTTGGGTTGTCCTTACTGCTGTGTCCTGCATCCATTGGCTGGAGTGGGACCTCACTATCTTAAACTGATACCCGATTTGAAACTTTCCTAAATAGGTAAGTGCAAGGAAGAACAAAGAAGTTGCTTACAAAAGGTTTCAGGAAGCAATAACATTTCCAATTAAGGAAGGGGCATAGGCTGTGAGCTGGAATGTGTCTGTGAGCATGTCCAACAGTTACATAGGATAGGGCTTAACAAAGAGCTATTAGCACAAAGCAAGGAGGCTTGAAGAAAATTAGTCTTTAAAAGAATCTATTATTTCTAAGACTTATGATTTATTCTTTAACAAGAAGGGGAACTTTGAAGCAGAAACTTTTTACTTCCTACAATTCCCTCCTCTTTTACTGTATAGTTTTCCTCTTCAAACTTTCTTAGCATGTCTTGGCTTAGTTGTTTTGATGAACTCCTGGATGTATGGTACGACATAACACCTACGAAGAAAGAGTATACTTATTAGCGTTGTTAAAGAGGTAAGAATTGAGGCTACATTTTTTTTTCTTTTTCTGGTTGATGAAATGCCAGAGTAAAAGGGATAGCCAACTGAACTACAGCATCAGTACTGCTCTCATTATTTGGCAGAGTGTCCAGTAAAGGTCCTCCATAATACCACCATACATCCGCTCAGGGATGAATAAGGGCAGACCGATGGGTCAGCTTTTGGAGGTGCCTGACTTTACTGCAACCTTTTAAGTCTCCAAGGAATGCCAAGTTTTTTCCCCTCGTTGTTGGAGACACGAGGTAAAATTGGTTTTGGAAGATGAAGGCTGGATGGCCCTCGGGGGCTGACCCACAGGGCACTGAACTTCAGGAAATAGCAGAGAAAGAGCTTGGCACAATTCGTTATTCCAGGTGGTGGAATCTTCGAAAAGAGCTACCACGCACTCCATGTCCGCTTGATTTGAGGACCGTCCCAGTGGAAAGGAGGCATCCTGAGCCTCTGGCCTACCGCGCCCACAAGCTTAATGGTCACTTTTGCTTAAAGTGCGAACGGGATATTTAATCCGTTTTAACCGGCATTTATGTCTTTATACCCTCTTTCAATGGCTAGGGTTTGCCTTGGGTCTCCTATTTCTACTTCTAAGAACTTGCTTGTGTCATTTGGCATGAGGCGAGGCATAGTTTGATGTTGTAGGTTTGGGAAAGGGGCAGTCGTAGGAGGTGGAGGAGGGAGAACAAAGCGCACCTTGAAGCCTATAGGATCCCTTCCAGTGACCTCTGCTCCCAAACCACAGAAACTCTCTAAAGTGGGGTTAGAGTTGCTAGTGGTAGGAATAGTCATGGATATAGGCACTGGGTTAGGAAAGGAAAGGAAAGAGATAGACTCAGCTTTCCTTAGCTTTAATTTGGTAGGGCTTGATCCAGAAACAATGGCCCATGATTCTGTTGATAATGGTGCTTGCTTGACTCTGGTGGGACGTGTCCACCCCCTTTCCGTTGTACGAATAGCAATCTCGGTAGTCAGCAGCACAAGGCAGGGTCCTTCCCAGGCTGGCTCCAGTTTCCCTTCTTTCCACCCTTTGATGAGAACGGGATCCCCAGGCTGGTGCTGATGTACTGGAAACTCTCAGGGCAGGGCCTGTGCTAGAAGACCTTTTGTTTTAAGGGTGGAGGATAAACCAAGTATATCATTTCTAAAAATTGATCTTTTGTTTTAAAGGTGGGGACATCAGCAGTGGATTTTATAGTCCTTAGTGCCTTCTTGCTGAGAAATTTCCTTTAGTACCTATTTTTATTAGTTTTTAGACCAAAGAAAGCCAAACACCATTTTATATTTGACAGTGCTTCCTGTGTGATTTTATACCAGATCAGCTAAATTTCACCTTTACATTAGTGTGTTATTCGTGTTAAACTTCATTTTAATAAAACCTTGTAGACATATGTATCCAATTTTAAGGTCTGACCACAAGGTGAGATTTCCAGACTCTTTTTTTAAACTTTTATAATTTTTAACCTTTCGTAATTTTTGTTAAAGAGCAGGTTAGCGCTTTAAGAAAAACCCACTGGGCTTTTATTTTAATGTCCAGTTCACAGAAAAACTGGAAGATACCCCTTTAACTTTAGCCAATATGTTTCCTTTACAATGAATATTTCAAAACTTGCTTAAACCTTCGAAACAATTTTTTTTCTCTCAAAGATGATAACCATTCTTTTCCAAAGCGAACTTCCTTTATGTCTGTGGACTAGACAGCCTAAGGTCACAACATTAGAAGTTAGGATAATACATGTTATACTGTTAACTTTTAGCAAACTTTACTTTTGTTGAAAACCTTGTAAGTTTGGGATTTCAATTATCCTTTGCTATTAATAAGACCTTGTTTAGTCCAAATTTAACTTAGAATTGGTACAAATGATGTTTGAAATGCTTGCTCCCCGGTGCCATAAAGAAATGGCACTTGAACATAAATTTAATTTCCTACGCAAGGTCATTTTTATACTTTCTGTAGAAAGGGTACACTCGGCAGCAGTTTTGCCACGAGAGTACACTGAGCAAAGGAGACAGGGTCATTTATAACCTGACGCGTCCACCCTACTGCTGTGTCTGGTTTCCATTGGCTGGAACGGGACCTCACATTCTGTTTCACGCGCGTCCGTGTGAAGAGACCACCAAACAGGCTTTGTGTGAGCAACGCGGCTGTTTATTTCACCTGGGTGCAGGCGGGCTGAGTCCGAAAAGACAGTCAGCGAAGGGAGATAAGGGTGGGGCCGTTTTATAGGATTTGGGTAGATAAAGGAAAATTACAGTCAAAGTGGAGTTGTTCTCTGGCGAGCAGAGTGGGGGGTCGCAAGGTGCTCAGTGGGGGAGATTTTTGAGCCAGGATGAGCCAGGAGAAGGGATTTCACAAGGTAATGTCATCACTTAAGGCAAGGACCGGCCATTTACACTTCTTTTGTGGTGGAATGTCATCAGGTAAGGTGGGGCAGGGCATATTCACTTCTTTTGTGATTCTTCAGTTACTTCAGGCCATCTGGGCGTATATACGTGCAAGTCACAGGGGATGCGATGGCTTAGCTTGGGCTCAGAGGCCTGACATTCTGCATTTGTCCCGACTGGCTAGCAACTTAGAACTTTTTAAAAGAGGCAAAGGCAGAGGAGAACAAAGGAAGAAGTAACTCGTGGAATGCTGAGAAAGGTAAAAACACCTTCAAACTGTCAGGCCTCTGGGCCCAAGCTAAACCATCATATCCCCTGTGACCTGCACGTATACATCCAGATGGCCCGAAGCAACCAAAGATCCACAAAAGAAGTGAAAATAGCCTTAACTGATGACATTCCACCATTGTGATCTGTTTCTGCCCCACCCTAACTGATCAATGTACTCTGTAATCTCCCCAACCCTTAAGAAGGTTCGTTGTAATTCTCCCCACCCTTGAGAATGTACTCTGCGAGATCCACCCCCTGCTGGCAAAACATTGCTCCTAACCCAACCGCCTACCCCAAAACCTGTAGGAACTAATGATAATCCACCACCCTTTGCTGACTCTCTTTTCGGACTCAGCCCGCCTGCACCCAGGTGAAATACACAGCCTTGTTGCTCACACAAAGCCTGTTTGGTGGTCTTTTCACACGGACATGTGAGACACAAACAAGGAAGAGGAACAGGATAGGACCTAATGCTTGCCTGGACCAGTATAAGCATGCCAGAGCAAACATTTAGACTAAATTGTGGGAGCTAAGGACATAAAGTACATTGATTTCTTTATTACGTCTAGCAGATATTTAAGAATGTTAGCGCTGGTCTTTGAATACATTTTGCTACTAAGAGAAGTTACTATTTATTCCTGATTAGATGGGGAGGAAAGTCTTTTGAGGAGGAAACTCTACTTCACTTTTCACAATGACTCCTTCCTGATTCTGTCAGTATCTTAAGGCTTGGCTCAGTGCAAACAACTCCCCAACTCCTAGGCAATTTTCCTAACTCTACTCCTATTTCCCCATTACTTAATGAATACCCATTGTGGCTTTTTCCCTCATTCACCTGGGAGGAACCATCTATTGTCCTGTCTTGAAGGGAGTTCCTTCTAGGTCTGGTTGGACCTTTGTATGGTAATTCATTAAGAGTTAGATCCCCTGTTAGCAAACCTGCTGGGTTAAGGGAATGATCAGTGGTTAATGTTAAATCATCTTTTTCTGACAGAATCGCTTCATATTTTAAATTTTTTGAGTTAGTAAGCTACCTTTTTGCTTTTCTTTTTTTTTTTTTTTTTTTGACTTAGGATAGTTCTGACCTGGTGAGGTGTGCTCACAATGAGGTTTCTTCTCAAAGTTATTTTTCTACTTTCTTCTGTCAGCAAAGAAGTTGCTGCTACAGATTGAATGCATTTGGACCATCCGCGGGTTACTGGGTTAAGGATTTTTGATTAGGAAGGCTATGGGTTGTCAGTGGCCTCAGTGTTTTTGGGCTACGCCGTTGTTTACACCACCAACAAGGTGGAATGGCTGCTTAAGGAGAGTAAAGCTAGGACAGGGGCAGTTACTAATAGATGTTTTAACCTTCCCACCTGTTGGATTTCTGGTAATTGCCACATGAGGGGGTTTGGTCTGTCTCGTGTGAGCTTTTTGTGTAAGAGTTTTGTTTTTAGGGCATGAGTCTACCCATAGACGACGGTATCCATACAACTAATCCCAAAATTTTCTAAGCTCTTATTTAGTCTCCAGCAGAGGCAAGAATGTGATGCCTTCAATCCATTCAAGCTCAATTTTCTGTTTACCTTTGCTAATTAAATGACTTATTTGAATATTTGACCAAATAAATTTGGAGACTCCGTAAACCCTTGGGGTAAGACCGTCTATTGGTATTACCATTTTCCACCGGAGTGAGGGTCTTCTCACTCAAAGGCATATAGGTCCTGGCTGTCCTCTGCAAATGGACAAGCCCAGAAGGCATCTTTTACATCTATTACTGTAACAACAGGGTGGGTAGTTTGGACTAACTGGTTAATAGCTCTAGGGTCTTGCAGTCACTGGTGTGACTCGTCTTGCTTCTTTACAGGCAGTATTGGAGTGTTCTAGGGTCACAGAGAAGATCTTCAATGATCAATTATAGGTTTTAAATTTACCCTGGCTTTTAAAGGAATAGGGTACACTGTTTTCTCTTTACTACTTCTCTTTCTCTCTCTCTGACTCTCTCTCTCTTACTCTCTGTCTCTCTTTTTCTCTCTCTAACTCCCTCTTTGTCTCTGTCTCTCTCTTTCTCTCTCTCTGACTCTCTGTCTCTCTCTTTCTCTCTCTTTGACTCCCTCTTTGTCTCTCTCTCTCTCTGACTTCCTCTCCCAGTTTCTCTTTCCTTTCTGCCGGTCTTTCCCTGCCTCTGCCAGTCGCTTATGCTGCTATTCTCCCTTCTCCTTCCCCTTCCCCTAGGGAAGGGACAAGCGGAGTGGAGCTTAGCCTCTTTCTTCCCCCGAGAAGAAGGGAAAGGAGAACTCTGAATATTTTTCTTACTACCGGAGGTTTGTATGAGGTTCAACTCCCTGAAATTTGCAGAAGACCCCCTCAAACCAGGGGGTGTCTTGCCTTGCCTGCCGTGAGAGGTTGACCTGTTTCCTCCCTTTCCTCCTCTGAAGGTCCCTTGCACACTTCCCACTTGTGTTGTCCTCTCTGGCCACTCCCCCAAGGGAGAGCTAGGCCCCTCTTAGAGTTGGCGTGCCAGTATAAATCCCATGGCAGGATCTGCCCTAAGCCATCTGAGGTTGCTCTGGAAGCACAGAGAGGACCCAAACACTCCGTCCAGCAGTAGGATTTGTCACCATCCACACAACACCGCAAGCAGGGTTGTCTGTGATCATTCACGTGCACACACACATTCAGCCCCCCAGAATCTGACCACCAAGAAGTACTTTACCGGCTCCCGTGGCTTCTCCTTCGTTGGTCTGTGCACAGAGTCGTCACCTCGGTATGTGAGGATCCTTTACCCCAGGTTGTTGGCCAGTTTCTTTCCACATTGCTGAGAGTCCGGGTTTATTGGTCACACCGGATGGGTCTCGGTCCCTTACCCCTGAGGCCACTGCAAGAGGCAGCAGAGTGCCCCCTCGTGAGAGAGGACTAGAGACGCCCCTGGAGGAAAGTATATCCCCATACAATTGCCACCAAAATTGTTAGAAAAAGATAATCAGTGCCGTGAAGAAAAGTCAGCACAGAGACAAAAGATCTCTCAGCAAGGCCATCTTTACTTTTTGCAGAAATGGTGCTCAGTCGCAGATGGAACAATGGTGAGAGCACACCTGAACAAAGGAAAAGCAGATGTATTTATCCCTTACGCATTTGGGTTGTCCTTACTGCTATGTCCTGCATCCATTGGCTGGAGTGGGACCTCACAATCTTAAAGTGATACCCGATTTGCTAATAACCTGAAACTTTCCTAAATAGGTAAGTGCAGGGAAGAACAAATAAGTTGCTTATGAAAAGTCTCAGGAGGCAATAACATCACCAAATAAGGAAGGGGCATAGGCTGTGAGCTGGAATATGTTGGTGAGGATGTCCAACAGTTACATAGGATAGAGCTTAACAAAGAGTTATTAGCACAAAGCAAGGAGGCTTGAAGAAAGTTAGTCTTTAAAAGAAACTGTTGAGGGTCTGAGGCAGCTAGTAGCCGGAGGGTCACCATGAAGTTCAATCCCTTCGTTACCTCGGACCGCAGTAAAAACCGCAAACGTTACTTCAATGCCCCCTCACACGTGCGCAGGAAGATCATGTCATCCCCGCTCTCCAAGGAGCTGCGGCAGAAGTACAATGTCCGCTCCATGCCCATCCGCAAGGACGACGAGGTCCAGGTAGTTCGAGGACACTACAAAGGTCAGCAAATTGGCAAGGTAATCCAGGTGTACAGAAAGAAATATGTCATCTACATCGAGCGGGTGCAGCGTGAGAAGGCCAACGGCACGACTGTCCACGTGGGCATTCACCCAAGCAAGGTGGTTATCACCAGGCTAAAACTGGACAAGGATCGGAAAAAAATTCTTGAACGCAAAGCCAAGTCTCAACAAGTTGGAAAAGAGAAAGGCAAATATAAAGAAGAACTTATTGAGAAAATGCAGGAATAAATAGAACCTGTTGTGCAACCACGGTTTAACCGGAGATTTTGAGGCTAGGGTGTGTTTCTTTCGAACTTTTCGGAATGTCTGGAACATTTCATTTCCTGTTTTGTTACCTGTGGCTCTGTAAATCTACTTTTGCAATTTTAAGTAATAATTTTATGAATAAAAATGGGAAATGCTTCCAAAAAAAAAAAAAAGAAACTGTTATTTCTAACACTTATGATTCATTCTTTAACAAGAAGGGGAACTTTGAAAGTGGAAACCTTTTATTTTCTTTTTTTTTTTTTTAAATAATTAGGAATATATTCAAGCAATTATGAGAACTTATACAAAAAAAGCTATAAACTCTACTGAGAGACATGAGAAAAAACATGAATCAGCGGAGAGAGAAGCTATTTTCCTTCATGGTAAGAATTATTATTACAAAACAAGACTTCTCCAGATTAGTACATAAATTTAACATAATTTCCACCTAAATACCAATGTAATTTTAATTTCTTTTGTAAATTACATGTGAAGTTGATCTGAGAAAAACTGTGAGAATGATAAAATATTGAAAAAGAAGGATGATAAGGGGAGCACATCCTGTCAGATGTTAAAAAGTATTATAAAGCTATAATTTTAATGTATGGTACTAGAACCAGAATAGTTCAATAGAACAAAATAAAGTCTAAAAGTAGACAATAATGTTGATAAGAATTTTCTATATAACAAAGGTGCAGGCAGGGCGCGGTGGCTCACACCTATAATCCCAGCACTTTGGAAGGCCTAGGCAGGCAGATCATGGGATCAGGAGTTTGAGACCAGTCTGGCCAACATGGTGAAACCCCATCTCAATAAAAACACAAAAATTAGCCGGGGGTGGTGGCACGCACCTGTAATCCCAGCTACTCAGGAAGCTGAGGTAGGAGAATCGCTTGAACCCAGGAGGCAGAGGTTGCAGTGAGCTGAGATTGTGCCATTGCACTCCAGCCTGGGTGACAGAGCGAAACTCGGTCTCAAAACAAACAAACAAACAAACAAAAACAAAGGTGCTATATTTCAGGAAGCCTAGTGGTAGGGCTGCCAAAAGTATAATGATAAAAAAAACATGCAGGATCCAATCTAGAAAGAAGGTTGAGACAAGAGCACAACTTTTAATACAAAATAAAAAGAATTAAGTGGCATATGGGACAAAAAATTAGGGAACTAAAATAATTCAAAGGAAAGAGAAAAAGTCTTGGTCATGTTTGCCAAGCTTTGAATATTAGACCTTGCTTTTTTCCCAGAGATTGTCAGTGCACCCTGGTTGTGCAATATCAACCAGGATTAGGCCGGTGTGGGAGCCACAGAAGCCACTCCACCACACTTTTAAGTCATTTCATTAGAGTCGCCTCAGAAGTCCTGGTGAGACAATCCTAGGAGTCCTCTTTGGCTGTCTTGCTTGATATTCTCAAGCAAGTCCATTCTGCTAGACGCCTGCATCTGGGTACTCCTCCCTTTTTAACTCCAGTCCCCACAGGGTCATTTAAGAAAATGTATGCATGTTTCTGATTCATAACTATATTATGATGATTATTCTTATAAACCCTTTTGACGTCTAAAAGCCTTAGAGCCACTCAACAGTCCTGTTTGGGCCAGTCTCCTGGAATATGAGATTCCTTCTGTATGGCCAGTGGTGCAGAATGGCTTTCAATGGAGAGAACAGTCTGGCAGTCTTAAGGCTTGGTGTGGTAAAGTCACTTGGATCCAGAGAAGGCATATGCACAGACACCAGCCCAGTCATCCCAAGGAGACAGCTTATCTTTCCCTAAGTATTTCTAAAAGGGTCTCCTGAGTAACTTTTTTTTTTTTTTTAATTTATTTTTTTATTGATAATTCTTGGGTGTTTCTCACAGAGGGGGATTTGGCAGGGTCATGGGACAATAGTGGAGGGAAGGTCAGCAGATAAACAAGTGAACAAAGGTCTCTGGTTTTCCTAGGCAGAGGACCCTGCGGCCTTCCGGCCTTCCGCAGTGTTTGTGTCCCTGATTACTTGAGATTAGGGATTGGTGATGACTCTTAACGAGCATGCTGCCTTCAAGCATCTGTTTAACAAAGCACATCTTGCACCACCCTTAATCCATTTAACCCTGAGTGGACACAGCACATGTTTCAGAGAGCACAGGTTTGGGGGTAAGGTCACAGATCAACAGGATCCCAAGGCAGAAGAATTTTTCTTAGTGCAGAACAAAATGAAAAGTCTCCCATGTCTACTTCTTTCTACACAGACACGGCAACCATCCGATTTCTCAATCTTTTCCCCACCTTTCCCACCTTTCTATTCCACAAAGCCGCCATTGTCATCCTGGCCCGTTCTCAATGAGCTGTTGGGCACACCTCCCAGACGGGCCCAGAGGGCAGAGGGGCTCCTCACTTCCCAGTAGGGGCGGCCGGGCAGAGGCGCCCCTCACCTCCCGGACGGGGCGGCTGGCCGGGCGGGGGGCTGACCCCCTGACCTCCCTCCCGGACGGGGCGGCTGGCCAGGCAGAGGGGCTCCTCACTTCCCAGTAGGGACGGCCGGGCAGAGGCGCCCCTCACCTCCCAGACGGGGCGGCTGGCCGGGCTGGGGGCTGACCCCCCCACCTCCCTCCCGGATGGGGCGACTGGCCGGGCAGGGGGCTGACCCCCCCCACCTCCCTCCCGGATGGGGCGACTGGCCGGGCGGGGGGCTGACCCCCCCCACCTCCCTCCCGGACGGGGTGGCTGCCGGGTGGAGACGCTCCTCACTTCCCAGATGGGGTGGCTGCCGGGCGGAGAGGCTCCTCACTTCTCAGACGGGGTGGTTGCCAGGCAGAGGGTCTCCTCACTTCTCAGACAGGGCGGCCGGGCAGAGACGCTCCTCACCTCCCAGACGGGGTCTCGGCCGGGCAGAGGCGCTCCTCACATCCCAGATGGGGCGGCGGGTCAGAGGCGCTCCCCACATCTCAGACGATGGGCGGCCGGGCAGAGACACTCCTCACTTCCTAGATGTGATGGCGGCTGGGAAGAGGCGCTCCTCACTTCCTAGATGGGATGGCGGCCGGGCGGAGACGCTCCTCACTTTCCAGACTGGGCAGCCAGGCAGAGGGGCTCCTCACATCCCAGACGATGGGCGGCCAGGCAGAGACACTCCTCACTTCCCAGACGGGGTGGCGGCCGGGCAGAGGCTGCAATCTCAGCACTTTGGGAGGCCAAGGCAGGCGGCTGGGAGGTGTAGGTTGTAGTGAGCCGAGATCACACCACTGCACTCCAGCCTGGGCACCATTGAGCACTGAGTGAACGAGAGTCCGTCTGCAATCCCGGCACCTCGGGAGGCCAAGGCTGGCGGATCACTCGCGGTTAGGGGCTGGAGACCGGCCCGGCCATCACAGCAAAATCCCGTCTCCACCAAAACCAGTCAGGCGTGGTGGCGCGTGCCTGCAATCGCAGGCACTCGGCAGGCTGAGGCAGGAGAATCAGGCAGGGAGGTTGCAGTGAGCCGAGATGGCAGCAGTACAGTCCAGCTTCGGCTCCGCATGAGAGGGAGACCGTGGGGAGAGGGAGAGGGAGACGGAGAGGGAGAAGGAGAGGGAGAGGGAGAGCGAAACCTTTTATTTTCTAGAGGGCCTCATCCCACCCACTGAAGGCCTGCATAGAACAAAATGGCTGAGTGGTGTCAGGGTTCTGAGCCCAAGCCTGCATGTATACATCCAGATGGCCTGAAGCAACTGAAGAACCACAAAAGAAGTGAAAGTAGACAGTTGCTGCCTTAACTGATGACATTCCACCATGGTGATTTGTTCCTGCCCCACCCTAACTAATCAATTGACCTTGTGAAATTCCTTCTCCTGGTCAATGAGTATCAGAAGGTCCCCACCGAGCACTTTGTAACCCCCCCGCCCCTGCCCACAAAAGAAAAACCCCCTTTAACTGTAATTTTCCACTACCTACCCAAATCCTATAAAACTGCCCCACCCCTATCTCCCTTTGCTGACTCCTTTTTTGGACCCAGTCTGCCTGCACCCAGGTGATTAAAAAGCTTCATTGCTCACACAAAACCTATTTGGTGGTCTCTTCACACAGAGGCGCGTGACAAATAAGAGGGAAGTCCTCTTACCTGGGTGAGCTGGGACATTGGTTTTTTCCTGTCTTCAAACTCAAACTGAAACATTGGCTCTCCTTGGGTCTTGAGCCTGCTGCCTTTCAGACGGGAGCTTACACCATCAGTCCTCCTGGGTCTCCAAGGTTCCCAACTACGGATCTTGGGACTGCTCAGCCTCTGTAATTGTGTGAGCCAAGTCCTTACAATAATCTCTCTCTGTGTGTATGTACACATCTTACTGACTCGGTTTCTCTGGAGAACCCTGACTGTTACTCAGCATCCTTGGACTTGTTCGAGTCTGACGTTGGCATGGGAGTTGGTTCCGGGGGAATTTACCTGCATGCTTGGAGCTGGATGTGCAGGGTTTAGACAAGACCACCTCATGTACATCTTCTCCAGCCCAATTCCTGTGTCCATCCCAGCTGGGACAAGCAACCCCACACCACGGCCCCTAGGCCCCTGACCTCCCCTGTCCAGTGAACTTCATCTGCCCCACTGTGCCCATCACCATCCCTGGGGTCTCTTTAATTTTGGGTTGCTTCCTCTCTGAGATTTAAAGTCCAAACCTTGCACCCCTTCCACACCTCCAGGCCCTGTGTGTTTGCTTTGCCCACCTGCTTTGCTGGGAGTGCTCTACGCAGCCGTACTGCATGCTTTCCTCACTGCACTTCTTTGCCTGCACAGCTGGGAACACCTGGTCCTTCACTTTAATCACACCCTTGCCAGTATCCTGAACTCCTATATAGTTGGAACAGCCTTTATTTATTTATTTATTTTGAGATGGAATCTGGCTCTGTCGCCCAGGCGGGAGCGTAGTGGTACGATCTCGGCTCACTGCAACCTCCACCTCCTGGGTTCAAGCAATTCTCCTGCCTCGGCCTCCTGAGTAGCTAGGACTATAGGCATGCACCACCACACCTGGCTAATTTTTGTATTTTTAATAGAGATGGGGTTTCATCATGTTGGCCAGGCTTGTCTCCAACTCCTGACTTCAAGTGATCCACCCGCCTCGATCCCCCTGTGTGCCCTTTCATTTTCTGCCATGTGAGGACACGGCAAGAAGGTCCTCTCAAGTAATCCCAAAGTGCTGGGATTACAGACATGAGCCACTGTGCCTGGCCAGGAACAGCCTTCAGATTGCCCTGGAGAGCTTTTTAGACGCAGATTGCTAGGCTCCACCCCAGCATCCTTAATTTGGGAGGCCTGGGCAGGGCCTGAGAATCTGCATTTCTACCGCATTCCCGGGTGATGCAGCTGGTCCAGGAACCATGCTTTGAAAGTAGGCTACGTTGCAGTTAACAAATACCCCCTGAGGTCTCGGGGTTATTTTTCACTTGCATATGGTGGTCAAGTGACTCTTCATCTTTGAGCTGACTTTGGGAACGTGTGTCCTGTAAGGTCACCTTGGAAAGGGAAGGGCGATTGGGAAGTAGCTTACGTTGCTTCCTCCCATATCCCACAGGTCAGAACTCGGTCACATGACCCTCATGCAACCACACTAACCATAGAGGTGACTGGGAAATGCAGTCTTTCCATTTGCCTAGGAGGAAGAAACAGTGTGGTGAACACATGGTATCGTCTGTTCCGCCATCCACCCCTCTGTTGACCTGCCAAAGTCCACCCAGTCACTACACCCTCTCCAGACCCAGCATCTCCGATGGATGAGCACATCAGGTTTGGATATGCCCTCTCTTGGTCCAGCACCCTATGAATTTAAACATTGAGTTATCTGTCCCCCTATGCTAGATTGTATCTGTGACCCCAGTCTCTCGCCCTTTCCTGTGCCCGAGGCCAGCCACGACTTGCTGTCTTGGGAATGCACCCAGCCAAGATCAGTCAAGCAGAGCCCAGACACATAAGCAGGAAAAGCTGACTGTTGTGCACCACGGAGACTGTGTAGATACGTGTTAATTTGCGTTTCTTCTTATGGCAGCACCCTCCTTCACAGAGCCTGCTTCTGTATTAGTCAGGACAGGCCAGGCTGTATTGTGGTAGCAGTCGGAACCCCCAAACCCAGCTGCTGCCAAGAGAGCAGGCACCGGGGGCCCGAGTGATGGGGACTTGGTGGAGCTGGAGCAGCAAACTTGCTAAAATCACTCCTGGTGACCTGGCAGGCTGAATACAAGAAGGCTCAGCCAGGAGCATAAGGGGCGAAGTGGGAAAACACCACATTGCGAGTTTTGTGTTAGGTCCCGCAACACGAGACGGAGACCAGCTTGAGAAAGAAGGCCCAGCTTACAAGCAGAGATGAAAGTGAACAGAGAGATGGATCCAGAAATTCAGAGCACCGCAAGGGCAGAAAAACCAACTGCTCCAAGAGTTAGGATTTTAACAAGCTTTGGGAGACAAAGGCCCAATAAAATGCCTGACTTGGACCGATCAACAGAAGACAAAGATGGGATTAAGGCCCATTCAAGTCTGAGAGCCTTCTGACAGCTGCCATTGAGTTGATGGAGAGGAATGAGAGCAAATACATCCTGAAACTTCAGTTTTCTGTGTGCATTAGTCATGGCTTACTGTGGTCTGAATATTTGTGTCCCTCCAAAATTCATGTTGAAAAGTCCCCAACGCAACGGTAGTGAGAGGTGGGGCCTTTGGAAGGCGATGAGGCCGTGGGGGCTCCGCCCTCCTGGGTGGGATCAGTGCTTTAGAAAAGGGCGAGGAATGAGCTCGGTGCCTGTGTGCCCTTTCCCTTTCTGCCATGTGAGGACGCGGCAAGAAGGTCCTCTCGAGACATCACCTGCAGTGCAGGATTCCCAGCCTCTGGAACTGTGAGCAATCAATTTCTATGACGTATAAATGACCTATTCTATGGTGCTTTGTTACAGCAGCACAAACAGGCTAAGACAGACATTGCTACCAGGAAGCGGGGCTGTTGCTGTAACAAACACCTGAAAATGTGGCAGCAGAGCCGGAACCGGGTCACGGGAGAGGCTGGAAACGTTTTGAAGTGCACGCTGGAAAAGCACACACTCCTGCGAACGGAGTTGGTGCTAAGGTGACTCCAGTGCAGGCCGAGGAGGGCAGGGCTGTAGAGAGAGCCTCTGGGCTGGTAGCAATGATCTCAGTGGTCGTGATCAGAATGCTGGTGGAGATCCACACAGTCAAAGCCATTCTCGTGAGGTCTTAGACAGACATGAGAACTATCTTATTAGAAACTGGGGGAGGGCTGTCCCTCTTACAAAGTGGCAAAGAACTTGGCTGAATTGTGTCCATGCCCTGGGGCTTTGTGGGAGGCAGAATTTAAAAGCGATGAACTAGAATATTTGTTGGAAGAAATCTCTAAGCAAAGCACTCCGGGTACTGCATGACTTCTGTTGACCGCTTATAGCAAAAGGCGAGAAAAGAGAAATGAGTTAAAGAATTGATAATAGAAAGGAAACAAAACTTAAAGACTTGGAAAACTCTTAGCCTGCCCACGTCAAGGGGAACATCACCCTCTGGGGCCCGTTTTGGGGTGGGGGGAGCGGGGAGGGATAGCATTAGGAGATATACCTAATGCTAAATGACGAGTTAATGGGTGCAGCACACCAGCATGGCACATGTATACATATGTAACAAACCTGCGCATTGTGCACATGTACCCTAAAACTTAAAGTATAATAAAAAAAAAAAAAAGAATAAGAAAGCATGTTCAGGAGAGAATAGCAAGGGTGTAGTCAAGCAAATTTGGATAAGGAGATTAGTACGGGTAGAAGGAGGTCAGAAGCTGCTCATCAAGACAATGGGAGAATGACCCCCAAGGCATTTCCGAGACCTTCCAGACTGTCATGCCCATCACAGGCTCAGGGTGCCGGGGTCTTGAGGGCAGAATGGCTTCAAAAGAAGGGCCCAGGGCCTCCATGAGACCTCGGGGCGTGCTGCCCAGACTTGCCTCAATCTCTGTTCCTCCCTGCAAGCTGGTGCATCACTCCTGGCCCACCCCCATGGAGGCTCACGTGGGTACAGGTGTTCCTTGGGCTGCCAGCCCAGAAGGCGCAGGCGGTAAACCTCGATGGTGTCAGCACGGTGCCAGCTCTGCAGATGCACGGAGTGCACGTGCTGTGGAGGAAAAGTTCCTGCTCCTGGATTCCACTGGGTGTCATGGAGACCCTGGGGCCCAGGCCGAGAACTGCTACAGGTTTGGGCCATGGAGAGTCCCCACAGGACAATGTGTAGTGGTGCCAAGGGAGCAGAGGACACTCGGGACCTGTAGAGCCACCAGCATGCACCACCAGCCTGGGAAAGCCACAGGCACACAAAGCCGTAGGAGTGGGGCCACCAGGAGCCTTGTCCCAGTGTGTCCAGAAGGTAGGACAAAGAGTCAAAGAAAATTATTCTTCAGCTTTAAGATTTAATTTTGTCCTGTTGGGTTTTGGATTTGGTCATGCTCAGTTAGTCCTTTCCTTCCCATTTCTCGTGTTTGGAATGGAATTTTCCATCCTTTGCCTCTGCCGCAGGGGCTGTAGGGCTGCAGCTGTCCATTTTCTGATAGCACCTGCATATCGAGCAGACCACCTGTAAGTATGGCCTGAGTCTTCTCTTCCCATGTCAATTGATGAGAGGGACCTCCCTGTGCAGCAACAGATGCAGGTGGGGAGAGAGAAGGCACCTGGAGCAGGAGTGGGGGCCACAGGCATTTGGGCCACTTCTTCACGTAACCTACTTTTGCCTTCAGGACCTGCTTGAGCCTGATCACAATACATCACTTTCATTCAAATGGAGCGCTGCTGTGCACGCCCAACTTTATAGCAACATGGGTCAGATAATCCCCAGATCATGATGGGCAGCTCAGGCCATGTGGTAACTTGGTGGCCCTTGGTCAAGTGTTTAGTTTCTATGAAGACCTAGACACAGGCTGATATGATTAGGCTTTGTGTCCCCACCCAAATCTCATCTTGAATTGTAATCCCCAGGTGTTAAGGGAGAGACCTGGCCGGAGGTGACTGGATCGTGGGGGCTGTTTCCTCCATGCTGTCCTCATGACAATGAGTGAGTTCTCACGAGATCTGATGGTTTTATAAGTTTTGGTAGTTCCTGTCTTGCTCATTCTTCTCCCACTGGCCGCCATGTAAAATGTGTCTGCTTTCCCTTCCGCCATGATTGTAAGTTTCCTGAGGCCTCCCCAGCCATGCAGAACAGTGAGTCAACTAACCCCCTTTTCTTTATAAATTACCCAGTCTCAGGTAATATCTTTATAGCAGTGTGAAACAGACTAATACACAGTCCAAAACCTGTTTCTCAAAACGGAGTGGTTATCTGTGGATGATGACAGGGCCTTGCTCCAAAACTGTAAGGGCCTGAGCTATGAGTCACCTACTGGGGCTTGGCAAAGGCTCTACACAGTGTCCCTGTCTGCCACTGACACCTCAGACTGGATCTGCTGGGTCATTGGCCCAGGTGGCAGAACAGCTTGCACAGAGCCTGGACCTGCTGCTGGGCCACATTCAAAACTAGCAGCTTTTCAAATCACTCAGTAAATGGGCCAGAGTCAGACACCTAAATGAGGAAGAACCTGTCTTCCTCACATCAAACGGGCTCACCTGGTGTCGTTCTCTTTTGATCGTGGGAGGGTTCAGTTGCAACAATCTATGTATCACCTTAGAGCAGGCCCCACAGCACTAGACTCCTAAAAATTTCACCGAGGTAGAAGGTTCTGAATTTTAGTTGGATTTATTTCCCACCCTCTGACACCAACAAGTATAGAATAATTGCTGCTTCTTGTGCCTTATGTCCAGTTAGCATAATGTCATCAGTGTAATGGGCCAGTGTGACATGCCGGGGAAGGGAAGGGTGATCCAGACCCCTGAGGATTACCTCTGACACAGGCTGGAGAGGCGAGAGGCCCCTGAGGTGGGACAGTGAGGGTGCATTGCTGGCCTGGCTTCTGCTGGGCCTTGTGGACAGGGGTGGAGAAGGACACATTCGCCAGATCAATAACTGCACACCAGGTAGCAAGAGATGAGCTAATTTGCTCAAGCAATGGAACCAAATCTGGCCCAGCAGCTGCAGTTGGAGTCAAGCTTAGGACAATCCCTTGTCATTCTCCAGGACCCGCCTGTCTTCCCTACTGGCCAAATAGGTGAGTGGAATGGGGCTGTGGTGGGGATCACTGCCCCTGCATCTTTCAGGTATTTGATGGTGGCACTAACCTCTGAAATTCCTCTGGAAATGCAGCTTTTGACTGACTATTATTGTATCGCTTTTGACTATTTTTCTAGGTAGAGGCACCTCTAATGGCTTCCAGTTGGCCCACAATAGTGGCCCTCACCCCACACGTCAGGAAACCAATGTGGGGACTCAGCCGGTGGCTGAGTACAGTTGTGCACAGCATGAGGATGCTTTGGTCAAGAACGGGTACATGTGTGATAGTGGTCCCATAAGATTATAGTGGAGCTGAAAAATTCCTATCACCTAATGATGTTGTAGCACAATGCATTTTGTATTAGTCCATCCTCACATTGCTAATAAAGACATACCCGAACTTGGGTAATTTATAAAGGAAAGAGGTTTAATTGACTCACAGTTAAGCATGGCTGGGGAGGCCTCAGGAAACTTACAATCATGGTGGAAGGGGGAGCAAACAGGTCTTTCTTCGCATGGCAGCAGCAAGGAGAAGTGCCAAATGAAAGGGGGAAAAACTCCTTATAAAACCATCAGATCTTGTGAGAACTCACTCACTATCACGAGAACAGCATGGGGGTAACCACCTCCATGATTCAATTACCTCCCACCGGGTCCCTTTCAGAACACATGGGGATTATGGGAATTACGATTCAAGATGAGATGTCGGTGGGGAAACAGCCAAACCGTATCAATTACTCCTGTGTTTTGTGCAATGCTGGTGTAAGTAAACCTGCCGTGCTACCAGTCATATAAAAATCTGGCACATATATTTATGCACAGCACACAGTACTTGACAATGATAACAAACAACTACGTTACTCGTTTATGTATTTACTATACTTTTTATTTAGAGTGTACTCCTTCTACTTATATATAAAACAAGTTAAATGTAAAACAACCTCAGGCAGTTTCTTCAGGAGGTATCCAGAAGAAGGCATTGCTATAACAGGAGATGACAGTTGCATGCATGTCACTGCCCATAAGACCTTCCGGTCACAAAACTGGTCAAGATGTGACAGTGAAAGACAGTGAAACTGATGATTCTGACCCTGTGCAGGCCGAGGCTATGTGTGTTTGTGTCTTAGTTTTTAACAAAAGAGCTTAAAAAGTAAAAAAAAAAAAAAAAAAAATTCCAGCTTTCAAGTTCAGGGGTACATGTGCAGGATGTGCAGGTTTGTTACATAGGTAAACATGTGCCATGGCGGTTTGCTGCACAGATCATTCCATCGCCCAGGTATTCAGCCCAGCATCCATTAGCTATTCTTCCTGATGCTCTCCCTCCTCCCACCCCCAACCCAACAACAGGTCCCACTGTGTGTTGTTTCCCCCCATGTGTCCTTGTGTTCTCATCATCTAGCTCCCACTTATAAGTGAGAACGTGCGGTATTTGGTTTTCTGTTCCTGTGTCAGTTTGCTGAAGATAATGGCCTCCAGCTCCATCCATGTCCCTGCAAAGGACATGAACTCGTTTCTTTTTATGGCTGCATAGTACTACATGGTGTATATGTACCACATTTTCTTTATCCAGTCTATCATTGATGAGCAGTTGGCTTGATTCCATGTCTTGGCTATTGTGAATTGTGCTGAAGTGAACATACACGTGCATGTGTCTTTATGGCAGAACAATTTATATTCCTTTGGGTATATACCTAGCAATGGGATTGCTGGGTAGAATGATATTTCTGCCTCTAGGTTTTTGAGGAATTATCACACTGTCTTCCACAATGGTTGAACTAATTTACACTCCTGCCAGTAGTGTAAAAGCATTCCTTTTTCTCCACAACCTCACCAGCATCTGTTATTTTTTGACTTTTTAATAATGGCCATTCTGACTGGTGTGGGATAGTATTTCATTGTGGTTTTCATTTGCATTTTGCTAATGGTCAGTGATGTTGAGCTTTTTTTCAAATGTTGGCCGCGTGTATGTCATCTTGTGAGAAGTATCTGCTCAAGTCCTTTGCCCACTTTTTTAATGGGTTTGTTTGTTTGTTTGTTTGTTTTCTTGTACATTTGTTTATGTTCCTTATAGACACTGGATATTAGACCTTTGTCAGATGCATAGGTTGCAAAAATTTTCTCCCATTCCTTAGGCTGTGTGTTTACTCTGTTTATAGTTTCTTTTGCTGTGCAGAAGCTCTTTAGTTTAATTAGATCCCATTTGTCAATTTTTGCTTATGTTGCAATTGCTTTTGGTGTCTTTGTTATGAAATCTTTGCCCATGCCTGTGTCTTGAATGGTATTGCCTAGGTTTTTGTCTAGGGTTTTTAAAGTTTTGGGTTTTACATTTACGTTTTTAATCCACCTTGAGTTGATTTTTATATATGGTGTAAGGAAGGGGTCCAGTTTCAATTTTCTGCATATGGCTAGCCAGTTCTCACAGCTCCATTTATTAAATAGGGAATCCTTTCCCCATTGCTTATTTTTGTCAGGTTTGTCAAAGATCAGATGGTTGCAGGTGTGCAGTTTTATTTCTGTGTTCTTTATTCTGTTCCATCAGTCTACGTATCTGTTCTTGTACCAGTGCCATGCTGTTTTGGTTATTGTATTCCTGTAGTATAGTTTGAAGTTGGGTAGCATGATGCCTTTAGCATTGTTCTTTTTGCTTAGGATTGCCTTGGCTATTCAGGCTCTTTTTTGATTCCATATGAATTTTAAAATAGTTTTTCTAATTCTGTGAAGAATGTCAATGGTAGTTTAATGGGAATAGCATTGAATCCATAAATTGCTTTGGGCGGTGAGGCCATTTTCATGATATTGATTCTTCCTATCCATGAGCATGGAATGTTTCTCCATTTGTTTGTGTTATCTCTGATTTCTTTGAGCAGTGATTTGTAGTTCTCCTTGAGGAGGTCCTTCACATCCCTTCTTAGCTGTATTCCTAAGTATTTTATTCTTTTTCTGGCAATTGTGAATGAGAGTTCATTTGGCTTGCCTGTTGTTGGTGTACAGGAATGCTAGCGATTTTTGCACATTGATTTTGTATCCTGAGACTTTGCTGATGTTGCTTATCAGCTTAAGAAGCTTTTGGGCTGAGATGATGGGGTTTTCTAGATATAGGATCATGTTATCTGCAAATAAAGATAGTTTGACTTCCTCTCTTCCTATTTGAATACTTTTTATTTCTTTCCCTTGTCTGATTGCCCTGGCCAGAACTTCCCACTACTATGTTAAATAGGAGTGGTGAGAGAGGACATCCTTGTCTTGCGCTGGTTTTCAAGGGGAACGCTTCCAGCTTTTGCCCATTCAGTACGATATTGGTTGTGGGTTTGTCATATATGGCTCTTATTATTTTGAGGTATGTTCCAAAAATATGGAATGCATCAAGAATTTGCGTGCCATCCTTGCGCAGGGAGGACCATGCTAATCTTCTCTGTATGGTTCCAATTTTAGTGTATGTGTGGCTGAAGCAAGCACCAGTTTTCTTCTTAATTGGAACAAATCAGCACAGGCATTTGTACTGGCAAGCAGCTATTTCGCCAGCAAACACCTGTTTTGTTGTTGTTTTTCAGTCTATCCCAACATATAGAAAACCATAAAGGTGGTTTGCTCTCACCTGGGAGGGACAGCAGCGTGGACCTGCCTTGGGATTACATGAATAACCTAGCTCTCAGCCACAATTTAGCCCATGTGGACCTTGACCGTCTCCCCAGCCCACAGGACATTGGGCTGATATGACCTGGAGGTGAGGAAGTTGTAGGTTGCTTTAACAAAAACCATGAGTGGCAGGGTGAGAAGGAAACCCTGTAAAAACAGAGACTCCTGCTTTCTCCTGAAGCTCTCTCTGGGGTCCAACGAAGCCGGGCATGCCTACTCCGTGGTGGTGAAGGACCAGTCCTGCACCCTGAGTCATCCGTGCGCAGCACTCTTTGGAGGAAACACAGCCTGCATTTGGGTGTGTGCTTCCCCTGTGTCCAGGCACGCCAGGGGTGGCCTGCTTTCTGCAGGAGGCACAGCCAGTGACGATGCCCATGTGGTCTTGTTCCTGTGTGGACTGAGCCACTCAGTTGTGACCCAGGGACCTAAGGGTCCTCTTGGGGTCTTGGCTGACCAAGGCGCCCTCGGAGCCTGAGCCAAGCCATGGTGGAGGCCACAGTGCCCGTCGAGGAGAGCAGAGTTTGCCCTCTGTGTCCAGGACCTCTTCTCGCTTGGATATACAGCGCTCGGTTTCCCCTGGGCCTGGGTGGAGACTGAGCCCTGTCTATGGGCATCAGGTGTAGTCTGACCTGGGTGTTGTTTGTCTGCTGAGTCCTGTAGCTGGACAGGCTGGGCATACTGTCAAGCGCATGGGGTACTGTACTCTAATAAGGTTCTTGGAACCCGTGGCAGACAGGCAGCCTCTGCCCCAAGGGAGCTGTTGCTGCCCTGAGGCAGACATGGAGGGGAGGGGAGCCGCCGTGGCCCAGCCACAGGGACTCAGCTTACCAAGCTCTTCCAGACACCCCTGCACTGCAGCCGATGCCCGATCAAGGTCAGCAGTGTGCCGTCCCGCCCCGCAGAAGCGCACCACATCTCATGGGAGACCGATTGGTCACCTGGCCAAGGGCTGACTGGCTTTGGACGCCTTCCTTCATGGAGAGGGTCTAGCTTTTCCCAGGGACGAAGGGAGGACATTTAGTGCGGAGGGGACAGAATCATTTAGGAGCACAGCTGGGAGATGCCACCGCAAGACTGCAGTGAAGTCCTATAGGATATGGCCCTGCTCCTTGATGCTCCCCCACTGGCACTATTTCCACTTCATGGGGGGCCACACCCCCCTATGGAGGTTAGAAGGGCCCCAACATTCCTTCTCTCTTGTTAGCCAAGCTACATTAGGGCCTCAGCCTAGGCTGGGCCAACTTGGTGTTCGACCCGGGACTTAGAACCTTCAACAAATTGTGCAAACATTCAGGGACATCTTCCAGCTGTGGTCTTAAATGATCCGGTTCCCCTCTCCTTGCTAACTGTCCTGTCTTCATCCCTGGACCGTGCAACTATGAGATGATGGGAAAGATGACTGCACTTAACCCTTCTTGATCTGGACCCACTCCCCTCCACTAGCACTGCTTCCTCCGGCACCGGCACTTTCCTTCCCAGCCTACTGCCTGCTCCTGCACGTACTGCTGTTTCCAGCCAAGGCATCGCCTTTACAGCCAAAGGACAGGGCAGTGGGGAGACCCCATGGGATTCACTAGGGTTCCATGTACCCTGTCCCTCCACAGGACCCACCCCTGTGGGATGGTGATCTGGCTTCTCAGGACCACTCAGGATTATTTAGGAGCTCAGCTGGAAGATGCCACCACAAGACTGCAGAGAGTCCTACAGCATATGACCCTGGACCCTGGTGAATGGTGCCGTTCCCCTAAACCAGAATCCACAGGCCGGGGGCCTACGGGTGAGAGTGAGGGCAGCACTTATGGTTGGAACATTCACAAAAGTTTACCTCTTGGCCCTGTTAGTCCTTACTCTTCTAGTTTGGAGATTTATTTTAATTTATTTATTTTATTTATTAGCATTTATTTATTTAGTTAGTCATATATGTGTATATATGTATACACACACACACACACACACACACACACACACACATATATATATATATATTAAATTTTTTTTTTTTTTTGAGATGGTGTCTTGCTCTGTCACCCAGGCCGGAGTGCAGTGGCGCAATCTTGGCTCACTGCACCCTCCACCTCCTGACTTCAAGTGATTCTTCTGCCTCAGCCTCCTGAGTAGCTGGAATTACAGGCACCCACCACCATGCCCAGCTAATTTTTTTGTACTTTATTTATTTTTATTATTTATTTATTTATTTGAGATGGAGTTTTGCTCTTGTCACCCAGGCTGGGGTGCAATGGTGCGATCTCGGCTCACTGCAACCTCTGCCTCCTAAGTTCAAGCGATTCTCCCGCCTCAGCCTGCTCAGTAGCTGGGATTACAGACGCCCGCCACCACACCTGGCTAATTTTTTTTGTATTTTTAGTAGAGATGGGGTTTCACTATGTTGGCCAGGCTGGCTTTGAACTCCTGACCTCAAGAGATCTGCCTGCCTCGGCCTCCCAGAGTGCTAGGATTACAGGCGTGAGCCACTGCCCCCCGCCTATTTGTTTATATTTTGAGACAGGGTCTCACTCTGTCACCCAGGCTGGAGTGCGGTACCGTGATCATGGCTCACTGCAGCCTCGACATCCTGGGCTCAAGAGATCCTCCCACCTCAGCCCCCTGAGTGGCTGGGACCACAGGTGTGTGCCACCATGCCTGGCTAATGTTTTCTTTTTGTTGTTGTTGTAGAAACAAGATCTTGCCATGTTGCCCAGGCTGGTCTCAAACTCCTGGCTTCAAGCAGTCTCCTGCCTCGGCCTCCCAAAGTGTTGGGATTACAGGATTGTTGGTGGGAGATGGGGCCACACACCCTCTATGGAAGTTAGAAGGGCCTTGACATTCCTTCTCTTTTGTCGGCTTCATTAGGACCTTGGCCTAGGCTGGGCCAACTTGGCGTTCCACCCAGGACTTAGAATTTTGAGCAAATTGTGCAAACATTTAGGGACCATTAGAGCTAATTCGTCATCAACGTGGTCTGAACGTCCAGTAAGAGTGGGTGTGGCAGGCAGAATATCTAAAATGCTCCACGCTTCCCACTAAATGTCCTGCCTTAATCACGGACCATGTGGCTGTGAGATGATGGGAAAGCTGATAAGATTTCTCTTTCAAGAATTCTGACACAGGCTACAACACGGATGGACCTTATGGACATAACAGTAAGTGACATAAACCAGACACAAAAGGATGAATCCTGTGTGACCCCACACATATGAGGTTCCTGGAGCAGCTGAATCCATAGAGACGAAAAGTGGATGGTGGGTGCCAGGGACCGGGGCAGAGAATGGGAGTTGGTGTTTACTGGGGACAGAGGTTCAGCTTGAGAAGATGGAAAGTTCTGGAGATAGATGGTGGTGATGGTTGCACAACAATGTGAATGTATTTAATGCCACAAACCATACACTTAACAATGGTTAAGATGGTAAATTTGATGTGATGTATATTTGACCACAATTTGCTCAATGCACCATTGCTGGTTTGAAGGTGGAGGGACCACAGGACCAGGGACAAGGACTTGGGAACCTCAGTCCTACAGCCATGAGGAGTTGACTTGTCAACAGCCTGAATGGTCCTGGAGGCAGATGCTTCCCCGGAGCCTCCAGGTGAGAGTGCAGCCCACCAAGGCCTGACGTCAGTCTGAGAGACCCCGCTCAGGGCACCCACTGAGCCCACCGCGACTTCTGCCCTGGAGAGCTGCGAGATCATAAATGGGCACTGCTTGCAGTCCTTACATCCATGCTGCTTCTTACGCAGCATAGAAAACCAGTGCAGCTTGTGTCTGGGTGGAGCCCTCCAGGCCGTGGGCCACCAGTGTCTTGCAGTCTGCCCTGGGCTGCTGCCTCCAGTGTGGTTTCCTTTGTGCTTGCTCCCAGCCCGTTCCCATGGAGGGATTTGGTGAGCTACCCCTTACCCTTGCATCTGTTCCCAATGGAGCCTGGCTCTCTGGCTGGGCCTTCACTCCCTTCCCTCCTCACAGCTCGGACCCTCCCCTCAGGGATCCCATGAGGGCTGACAGCAGGGGCGTCTTCACCTCTGTGGGCAGCCAGGTGGCAGGAGAGGGGCAGAGGCGCAGCATCGCTCTCCTGCAGCCACCGAAGACTACCCGAGCATCCTCTTGGACCAATAGCAACTGCTTCGGAGTGGAGACAATGTGTGGGTCCACCCTGGGAGCATCTCAAGAGGCTGGGCTCCTGGGGCTGGCGGCCACATGCTCTGAGGAGCAAGGGGATCATGGGGCTGTGGTGGAATGTTCTACAGGGGACCTGTGAGGCTATTGTGGAATGTTCTAGAGGGGATCATGGGGCTGTTGCAGAATGTTCTGGAGGGGATTATGGAGCTGCTGTGGAATGTTCTAGGGGGACTGTGAGGCTGTTGCAGAATGTTCTAGACGGGACTGTGAGGCTATTGTAGAATGCAGAGGACCCAGGGATGAGGGCTTGGATGGCCAGGAAGAGCAAGTGGGTGGGTTAATGGGCATGGCAGGCAGAGACGGGCCAGGCTCCGTGGGGGCAGGAAGAGCTGCCTGGCTGTGGGTTGGACCCTCCCTGCCCCCTAAGCATGAGGAGCTCTGGGGTATTCAAGCACAGAGATCCTGGCCTGGGGCTATAACCTGGAGGCCCAGAAGCATCCATCTCCAGGTCTTGGTAAGGCCTGGGGGTAAGCAAAGGGGGGTCCCCATGTGGGCCATGGGGTGCGGTGCATTGGGTCTGGAAACTCTCCAGGTCTCCCACCCCACCCTGGTGCTCAGCCACCCCCAAAGCGTTTCCTCTACAGTGTCAGCCTGGGGCTTGGTCCCGGGGCTCCCTCCTAGCAGCTGGCAGAGCAGATGCCTCTCGAGCAGAGCTGGAGGACCCTTCCAGAGGGTGTGGGGGCAGGCAGGGGGCCCTACCGTGGGGTCAGGGTGTATTTGCCCTTGCGGTCCAAGCTGCAGCCACAGCGGATGGCAAACCACAGGAAGGAGCTGAAGAGCAAGGCGGACACCTGGGAGGGAGACACCCGCGGCTGCCCCACTGCCCCAGGGTGCGGGCGCCCCTCCCCAGGAAGCATCAGGACTCTGCAGTGTAAGGGGGCGGCCCAGCTGTAGGAGGCAGGCCCTGTCACACCAGAGCAGCTCCCTGAGGTTGGCAGCCAGTGAGGCTCAAGACCAGAGATCCTGTCCCGGGTCACCCTTCCATCTGAGTCGGGGGCTGGGCAGGCTGAGGGGCAGGAGGTGGGAAGGGGCAGTGAGGGAGGCGAGAGGGTACCGTGAGGGCCAGGCCGATGCTGGTCAGGCTGGAGGCGACCTGCTGGTGTGTCCTCAGGAAGCTCCGGATGCCCTGAAGGCAGTCCTGTGAGAGGGCAGCAGGCATGGTACCCGCCCTGAGCGGCCCTCCCTGCCTGGACAAGCGGCCTCTGTGGGGCCATGGAGCTGCAGCGCCCACCTAGGCCAATGCCAGGGCAGCAGGGCGGCGGGTGCGGCACATTCCTAGGAAGCCCCCAGGGCTCTAGGGAAAGGCAGCACGAGCAGGTGAAGCCCAGTGGGACAGGGCTGGCCTCTGTGGGCACTCTGGCACTGCCCTGGGCCCGGCCGGTGCCGTCTCCCAGCTGTCCTGAGCGTCCATGTTGGGCCACACGTTGGCTCCCCTGGGCCGGGCCACTTCGAATTCACTCTGGGTTCCCAGCATCCAGCCCAGGGCCGGGCACAGCACCTTGGTGACCAGAGGGTGATGGCTAACAGGGAGGGCAGGAAGCCAGCTGGTGGAGGGGTGTGAGGGGGGTCCCCGCACAGTCCCAGCTTCCTGGTTCCATCCCAGGCTTCCAGTGCCACCCCAGGGCATGGCACCCAGAGGCATCTTTTCAGAAAAGGGAGGTGGCAGGCCTGTCTCTGAACCCTGGAGATGATGGCAACTGGGGCGGCCTGTGGAGGCCTCCGCAGGGTCTCAGGGCTCACCCTCCTGTCCCCCGCAGGCAGGTCTGCCTCCCTCCCGCCCATGCCAGCCCATCTGGGTGGCTCCGTGCCTGCCGCCTGTGCTGGCTCTTCCGGCTCCCCAGGAGGCTTTGCAGTCGGGCCCATGGCCCTGCCATCCCAAGGGTGCTCGAGGCAGGCCCTCGCTCCTGCTTTTCAGTCGGGGGCCTTTTCAGTCTCTCCTTGGGTGGCACAGGGGTCCTGACTGTTAGCCCTGCCCCCAATGCCGCTGGTCCCTCCCCAGCACCATCCTCAGCGCCAGCCCTTCTGCCCTCAGAGCCTTGGCTGTGGCTCCACCCCTCACCAGGCCTCCAGCCATTTGCTCTCCTCCCCTCTGTTTCTTGGAGGGTCGCCAGGTGCCTCCCACTGTGAGATAGGGTGGGTTTGTTTCCAGGACAGTAGGGGAGGGGAGCGGGGAGGGGAGCAGGGAGGGGGCAGGGTGGGCTGGGGGAGGGCTGCCGGGCACCAGGAGAAAGAGAGGAGGGCCCAGTCTCTCCCAGGGCCCTGGGGAGGAAAGGCTTCCTGGCCTCGGGCCCCGCTCTGTTGTTGCTGAAGCCCTGGCCACACCCTGGCCTACTTCTTCTCCTCTGAGTGCCCTTCAACTCCTTCTGATGCCCCCCAGGACGCCTGCACCCTTCCCCCTAGACAGAGCCCACCACACCAGCCCTGCAGCCCTTGGCACAGAGCCCTCATGGGTGCACTCCAAGAGGCTTCTGTGGACTTAGCTGGCCTTGGGAAGTCCCCAGGCTGGAACTGGCTTGAAGGAGTGAATGGCGCATGGGGCCTGCGTCCAGCTGGGCAAAGGGGCCTGTGTTTATGTCTTGAGCCCAGCCTGGCCACCCAATGGGCTTGGCGTACCATGAACCCTAACTAGCCTCCGATCACATCAGAACCTTCCCTGAGCCCTTCAGCGGCAGTTCCCAAGGGTCTGGGGAGGCCAAGGGGTGGGGTGGGAGGATGGCCCTGGGTCTTGGGGTTGGGCCCCAGGGTGTCCAGCCCCCGAGGGTCTTGCCTGGCCAGCATCCAGGTCCCCCCCTCACCTCTCTCGCCGCCTCCTCTCCCTGACACAGGTCAGCCTCTGTGCTCCCCAGACGGCTGAAAGGAGACTTCTTCCCACAGCACAGAAACTACAGGAACAGAAGGGAGGGAGTGGTGATGTGCTCCCGAGACCCCAGGAGGCGGGCAGCACATATGGGGAAACTGAGGCACCACAAGTATCCAGGTGGGGTTCCCTGCAGGCCAGGGCTGGGGCTACTGGTATTGCAGCTGCTTCTGCTGGGGCTCCAGCCATTGCACAGCCGGGCCCTGGTAAGGGGAGCTCTCTCAAGCTGCGCTGCCTGCCTGCTGGTGACAGAACACCTGCTGGAGCCAGGCAGCTTCCCCGCCCTGTTCACAGGGCCTGTGCGCTGTATGTGCTTTTATTTTTTCTTTTCTTTTTTTTTTTTTTTTAAAGTAGAGACAAGGTCTCCCTATGTTGCTCAGGCTGGTCTCGAACTCCTGGGCTCAAGCAATTCACCTGCCTCAACCTCCTCCCAAAGTGCTGGGATTACAGGTGTGAGCCACTATGTTCGGCCCCGTATTTGCTTTAATGCTCTTGAAATCCTTCAGTGTTTCTGAATACAGGGCCCTGCCCTCTCGTTTTGCACTGGGCCTCGAGAATCTGGTAGGCGGCCTTGTCCTGGGCAGACAGAGGGTGGGAGCTTTTTGCCCCCAGCCCTGAGGGGCAACTCTGGCCTGTGTCCTGGAACCCCCTCGGTGCCTGGCCAGACCTCTCACTGGCCACCCTGCGCCTGTTCTCTGAACTGCAGTCCAAGCAGAAGCTGACCGCCCTGCCACCCAGCCGTCCCCACGCTCACCACGTCCTGGATGGCCGCCAGCTCCTGCCGCCGGACGTGGGACGTACCTTTCATCGCCTGCTCATATACCAGGTCGTAGGTGTCCAGCATGGCGTCCTCCACCTGCACCGAGAGACCACAGGGAGGTCCTGGCCCTGGTGGGAGATCCGGGGACACAGCCCCCTCCCCACGACATCCCAAACGCTAGTGGGCCCTTAGTGCTGAGTGACGTCCCAGCACTGCCCTCCTTGTAGCAGGTGGATCTCCCCAAAGCGGAACCTGGGTCCCTGGGCAGCCAGTCACAGTGCTTCCCAACATCAACGATGGGGCCTTCACACAATGGCCGTCAGAGTGGCCCTCCTGCCCCCAGAGGGTCCCGCAGGATAAAGCAGAGGCCAAGCTCTGCGTCCGCCTCCGCTGTGGTCTTACAAGGTTGGCCCACAGAAGTTTCCAGCACGCTACTGTTGACCCGGAAATGGGGGATGGGGCTGGGCCTGGTGGAAAAGGCTTGAGAGACCCTGTGCCAGGACCTCAGCTCCCAGAAAGCTTGGGGATTCTAGATCTTTCCCAAGAATCACCCGGCTGCCTTCTGGAAGCCCGGGCAGCTGGGCTCCGGGTAAGGCTTTTGACCAGAGAAGCCTTGGGCACCTGAGGCCAGATCTGGGTGGACGAGGCCACTGTGGGGCAGGGGGTGAAGAAGGTGGAAGGTGACGGGGCCTGGCTGGATGTGCTGCCTGCGCTCCACACCTCACCAACACCTGGACCTCATGTCTCCACCCTCCTAAGCAAGATGCTCTCCCCTGCCAAGTTACTCCTTCAAAGACAAACTGGAATCTCGCCTCCTACAGGAAGGCTTCTGTGACTGCTCCAGGAGTCGCTGGTCTCCTGGCACAGGGCGAGGCCCTCTTTGAGGTCCCTGCCCTCTGATGTCTCCTTCCTGCCTCAGAGGCCCTCAGTTCTCCCCCAAATGCCATGCTGACAGTCAAGACACATGAAGGGGGTGCTCAGCAGCTGCCCCAAAGGGCTGGGGGAGGATGGAAGCCCCAGGCCCGCTCTAGCCACTCACACCTGCCCTCCAGAAAGGAAGGGTGGCTTACGGCGGTCCTCATTGCACTGGGGCCCAGCCCCCGTGGCAGGCCCTGACAGCGGCCAACTGGGCGGGCAGTGGGCAGTGGAGGCTCTCGGTCAGCCCTGCCCAAGCCTGGAGGCCCCAACAGGAGTCAGATGGACTTTCCAGGCCAAACTTGGCTCCTGACCCTAATGCATCCCTCCCATTGATGCTAATAAAAGTCAGACCACTCTCCGTGAGTCATCCCCGACTCAGCCAGCCTTGTCCTCCCCGCAGTGCCCAGGGGCGGGCAGGCACCAAGCTGGCCACACCACTGTCGGCCAGGGCGGGGGCCTTGTTCAGCCTCAGCGTCTGTGAGTGTGAAATGGGGGTGGAGTCTGGCCTGGCCATTGTGTCCTCGTGGGTGGAGGTCCTGGTGAGGACTGGAGGCCCAGCGGAGTGGGCCCGGGGGTTGGCTCGGACCTCCCCTCCTGCTTCCCTCCCAACTCCAATGACTGTTCCCATTGTCAGGCGCCTGCCATGGCCCAAGGAGGACAAAGGTGCCTCTGAGGCTGTGAGCAAGGTGTCATTATTACCACAGCATGGGCGAGAGTGACAACTCCTGCTAGTGGCTGAGGGGCCTGCTCTGCCTGCCCTGCCTGGCTCTGCCTGCCCTGCCTGCCCTGCCTGCCCTGCCTGGCTCTTCCTGCCCTGCCTGGCTCTGCCAAGCAGCTCTCCCCACGACTGGGGAAGCAGAGCTCAGCGAGGTAGGCCTCCTACCCCAAAGCCGGTTGTCTGGCCCTGGAGGGCCCTGGAGGCCGGGCCGGCTGCTCTCCACGGGGCCTGGGCTCCTAGGTGATGCTTCACCGTCTGTCTCCATTCCAGGCTCTGGGGGCTCTGAAGGAGCCTGGGGCCTGTGTTTCTCAGGACACCTGGGGGAAGGTGCTGCCTGACAGGTATCAACGCACTAAGCTCCGTCTTCCGGTGCCCGGGGGCTTTTCCCCATGACCAGATCTTCCCTGGTGTCTGCCTGGGCTTGGCGACCCCATCCTGTGTCTGCTGAAAGTGCTCAGGAAGGTACAGACAGGTCCTGAACGGCAGGTGGGGACCAGGAGCTGCAGGAGGCCTGTGGACCAGCCCCACAGGTACAGAGCTGGCTCTGGCCTGAGCCCACTCGGCGGCTGGAGGATCCAGGGAGGGTAGTGGCTCCAGGGTGGGGCAGACTGTGAGGACGAGGCTGCACCCCACACTGCTGTACTTAATTTGAGCATGAATTATTCCCGAAGCAGACTCGTCAGGGCACAGGGGGAGGGTTAAGGCAAAGTGGCTCTCAGCCCTCGAGGAGAACGTAATTAATAGCCCTCAAGCTCCACATTCATCCCTGAAGCCCGGTCCACGCCTCCTGCCCGCATGAGCATCCCAGGGAAGTGGCAGCCAGGACTCCCTGGGGCAAGAGTTGGGGAGGTGGAGGGGCACCCCACTTTCAGCTCTGGGCCCGGGTCTGTGGCCACAGGGCACCACCAAGGGCATGTGGCTGGTCCCTTCCCTCCTCTGTCCTCTGCCTTCCCATCCGCAGGGGCACCACATGAGTCACCCTGACCCTGTGTTCAGGACACCTCAGTGGCCCTGTGGGGAGGGACAGGGGGAATGGGTGAATGGGCCGGGCTGGGCTCTGGGCCCCCGGCTCTCACCTCGACGTTTCCGGTGCCAACAGCTTGGGGCCTTTGGCCTTTGCCACTGTCTAGGCTGCCAGCAGGACTTTGTTGGACAGGGAGCCCAAGGTTGAAGCCCATTCGGCTCTGGTGGGCCCTGAGGGTGGAGGGCAGGAGACGGGATGTGCAGCCGCCCCTCCTGCTCAGGGCCCGGGCCCTGGCACCAAAGCCACTCCATCCACACCCAGGACAGCTTCGAGCAAGTCCCACGTCCTGGAGGACCAGCCTGGGCAACGGGGCACGGCAGGAGGCACGCAGGTGAGGAGGAAGAGTCTTTGCACACACCTGGCCATTCCCACCCATGCAGCCCCTGGATCTTGGTGCTCCCTTCACAGAAAAGGAAACTGAGGCCCAGGAAGTTAAAGTGGCTTGCCCAAGGGCGGCCCAAGGACACTGACTTCATATTCAGAGCTCCTTCACCCAGGCCACCTCCATGGCCACCAGGCCTGACACAGATGATGCCAGAAGTCAAGACCCACTGGGAGGGGCAGATGGGGACCAGAGGCCCAGGAGGAAGCCCCAGTCCCCTGCCTGGGGTCAGGCAAGGCCCTGAGAACTGACCCCTGAAGGGCAGCTGGGCGCACGGGCCAGACAAGGACCATGTGTGTGGGGGATGCTGCCTGGGGCTGGGACAGGCCATAGGTGAGCCCGGCTGGGGCATCTATCTTCTTGCACCCCCTTCCCTTCCTGGAGAGCAGGCCCCAGCTGCGTTCTGTCCTGTGGCCCCTGTATGGCCCCCTCCCCTCCAGAATTGTGGCTCCACGATCAGAGCCATAAACACACAGAAGCATGGGGCATGGGCCGCAGCTGCCCCAGACGAGCCCGGGGAACCCTGGCAGCTGTCTTGACCTCGGCCACCCACACTGTGACCCAGACCTCAAATGAGCCAGACCACCCCTCAGTGGACAGGAAACGTGAGGCCGAAACACGGACCTGGCCCAGCTCACCACCCTGGTAAGACTCCTGTGCCAGTCCTCAAAGCCACAGCCCTCTTCTGGGGGCTCAGCCCCTCTGGGATCCTTCTGGGCCTGATAAAATGGTGTTTCTCCCACCTGGTTCAGGCGGTTCCTCCCAAATGATGCCAGGGGTGGGTGGGCACTTTGGGGCCAAGAGCCTTTGTCGTAAGCCTGGAGCCCCCATCCAGCCCCGGCACTGCCAGGGTAACCTTGAGCTCCCCCCACCCCCAGAGGGCCTGAGTCCCCCCATTTGCAAACCACGGTGGGGACCACCACACTCAGGCTGCCAGCACAGCTCAAGAAACTGCACAGCAGGCCCCCTGCAGAGCTCAGCCAGAGGACCTGCCTGCTACCAGCCTCGGTATCTCTCATGGCCAAGCCTGTGTTTGAGGGCCCTGGGCAACCAGGCACTTGAATACACGAGGCCACTAGGACTCCAGCTAGGGCTCCAAGAAATCACCTCTTGTGACCTGCCAGGCTCTCCTGCCCCACTCCATGACCCTGCCCGTGGCTGTCCCTGGTGCCGCCCGGCTGCCCTGGGGGCTCTCACCAGGTCTGGCTCTCAAGGGGAAGGTGGGGCTGGCTCTGCTACCGAGCTCTCATTCTCTGCTGGGCCAGGGAGGCCTCCTTCCTCTCCAAGCTGCTGGCCTTTCCACGGGGACGCCCTTGGCCCCTGCCCACGGTCAGCTAGGCCGGACCCTCCTCCAGGCAGGTCAGCATCCAGGACGGAAGGATGGGTGCTGTTCCGTGGAGGGGGTGGAGGCTGCGACACCCCAGTCCGCGGGTCTCCAGGTCCCTTCCCCACTGGTACCGTCTGCCCCACCAGGCCATCAGGAGCGCTGGCCCTCAGGTCTCATTTTCTGGAACACTCTGCTCCTTCTAGTCAACCCCTAAGGCCAAGCCAGTGGCTTTCCTTCTTCTTCCTCCTCATTCCCTCCCTCAAACCCGAGGGGCATCAGCTCAGGAGGGGGTGGGCTGAGGGGCTTTAAGAAAATGAGACTGGGGCGAAGGCAGGGGTACAGCATAGGTCCCTCCCCACCAGGGAGCTGCTGGCCCTCACCCACCTCCAGCGCTTGGCCTCCCTGAAGCCTCAGGCAGAGGGAACCCAGGCTGCGGTCTCCCCCACCCCACCCGGTCAGCACAAGCCTGGAAGCTGGGGCTGCTCCTCCCAGGACTGCTCCCCAGTCCCCAGGTGCCCACTGGCTTACTGGGGGACCCTCCACTGCAGGGTAGGGGCAGCTGGTGCTCACCTGGGTGGGGCTGTGGAGTCTCCAGAACACCACCTGCACCTGTGCGCAGAACGCCAGGGAGAAGCACAGGAAGCCCTGGGGGCAGAGCGGGGCTGGTCACTGTTGAGGGCTGGTCACTGCGGGGGGCTGGTCGCTGCTGGGGGGGGCCGGTCACTGTGGGCGGGCCAGTCACTGTGGGGGGCCGGTCACTATGGGGGGCTGGTCACTGTTGGGGGCTGGTCATTGCGGGGGGCTGGTCACTGCGGGGGGCCGGTCACTATGGGGGGCTGGTCACTGTTGGGGGCTGGTCATTGCGGGGGGCTGGTCACTGTGGGGGGCCGGTCACTATGGGGGGCTGGTCACTGTTGGGGGCTGGTCATTGCGGGGGGCTGGTCACTGCGGGGGGCCGGTCACTGTGGGGGGGTGGTCACTGCGGGGGTGGGGGCAGTCACTGCGGGGCCTGGTGGGGCCTGGCAGGCCTGGGCAGGGCAGTGCCCTCAGGCTGCGCCCCCAGCAGGATGCTTGGTCGAGGTGTGGGTCTGAGTCCCGCTCCCCACTGCCTGAGAGGGAGACTTGGCCTGGGGAGAGCGTGGGCGCTGGGTGCGTGGGTTCCATAGCACCTTCCCATCCCCTTCCCCTGCGCTTTTTGGGAATTCATCCCTTGTTCTCCCATTTTGGCCCCCAGGGGCCTGTTGATGGCAACACTGCACCCCTGCCCAGCAGGGGCAGGGCACCCCTGAGAAGATGGAGACCTCTGCCCACTGGGGCTGCTTCCTGAGGGGCATGGACCTGGACAGGGCCGGGCAGAGTCTCCCCTGAGCCTGAGCCTCTCCAGGGCCGGGGCTGTAGGATCTTCTGTTTTGCCTTCTTTTCTGAAACAAGGCACCAGCTAGCCCAGTGCTGGTGAGGCTTGGGACAGGTGTGGTGCCTGCTCAGGATGCTGTGGCCTCTCTCTTTGCAGTTGAGCCCACCTCCCTCACCTCACTTTCTCTCCATACTCTGCCTGGGTCTCCATGGCCCGGCCAACCACTGTCCCCTCTCTCTCACTGATGCCCGTGCCCCTAGTCGTGGAGTGGGGCGTTCTCTGGTGGAAACGTCTGCGCACCCGCCCCCGGCACTTGCCCGTTGTTCTCTCGGTCAAGGCTTCCAGGCTTTTGAGAGCCCCCTTGCGGAAGCTAAGGAACACGAGAGACCCCTCCTCTGAGAGCATACAGATGCCCCCGATACAGTTTTATGGATGGTGGCAGAGGTCACCCAGGCTAAGAACCCTGGGGATGTCCTCCCACTCAGGGTCTGGGCAGCCGCCTTTGCCTTCATGCTGGTGCCCTGAGGACCTGGAGTACCTGACGGTGAGTCTAGCCACCGACCGGGCAGCTCCCCCAGGAGTCCTGAGGCCCCGGTGAAACGCCAGCCCCCTCAGGCAGCACTGTGCCCGCCTGGGTGGTCCACAGGCTGGAGCAGGTTGGGTCTGGGCCCTTCAAACCCTGGGGCCCCATTCAGGGTGATGCCAGGAGCATGGGTGCCCGTGGGATAGACGGAGACCCACACATGCTGGCAGGTGGGCAGCGACAACGCTGGCATGCCAGGGGAAGCTGGGCCAGAGGGGCGTGGAAAGAGCTGGGGAGCCCTGCTGGCCCCCAAGCACAGGCGTGAGCATGGGGCCTCCAGCCCTGCAGGGACAGGGCGCTGGCGGCTCCTCATGGCCCTCCTGCCTGCCCTGGAGGCTGCAAGGCCTGATGGGGGATGGCCTGGGAGCTGCCTCCTCCTCCTCTCTTCTCTCTCCTCCTCCTTCCTCCTCTTCCTCCTCCTCCCTCCACCCTCCCCCTCTTTCTTCTCCTCACCTTCTTTCCTCTTTTCTCTTTCCTCCTCCTTCTCCCTCCTCCTTCTCCTCCTTCCCCCTCCTCCATCTCCTCCTCCCTTGTCCTCCCTCCTTCTCCCTCCTCTTCCCTTCTCCCCCTCCCTCCTTCTTCTCCCCCCTCCCCCTCCCTCTCCCTCCCCCTCTCCCTCTCCCTTCTCCCCCCTTTTCCCTCCTTTTCCTCCTCTTCCCTCTCCCTCTTTCTCCCTCCTTCTCCTCTGCCCTCCTCCTTCTTCGTCCTCCTCCTCCTCCTCCTTGCTGGCTGAGGGCCACCATCCCCATCTGGAAGCTATCACTCAATGCTGCCTCCCAGGCTTGAGGCCCTGAGCCAGCTCAGGAGACCAGCATTTTCCAGAAACCATTTCATTCCTCAGGAGAAAGAGCATCCACGGCCTCTCTCTCTCTTTCTCTCTTTCTCTCTTTCTCTCTCTCCCCCCACCACCAACCTCCCGCGCAGAGAGGATCTTGGGTGGTGGATGGGCCCACCCAGACCTCCCCAGGGCCTTCACCATCAGAGGCTGCTGGGTGGTCAGGTCTGCCCTGGCCATTTTCTTTCTCCTCATTCTAAATGGAAATAAATAAATAGATACATAAGCGAATTGAATGTGCTTCCTTGGGCGGCGCTGCCAGCTCTGCTCTCTCAGCCCAGCAAGCTCTTTCATTTCCTGTGCGAGAGGCCAGCTAGGGGAGAGGCCGGAGGGGTGGGGGCAGGCAGGAAGGGGCTTTGTGGGGAGCATCCAGGCGCCCAGCCCATTGGAAAAAATCTTTCCACTCCCTGCTCCCCTTCCCTAGCCCCTTCACTTGTGCTCATGCGTGCAGACACACATACAGATGTGCCAGATGCAACACGCAGACACCACACCCGTATGGCAACAGGGGCAGGTGAAGACCGGTGACAGATACTTACACACACACACACACACACACACAGAGGCACCTGCACACGCACACACACATGCACACACACACTCATGCACATGCACACACACATGTATATTTGCACACGCATACACATAGGCTCACCCTCATGCACACACATGCATGCAGCTCAATGGAGCAGGTCTCTTGACTGGGGTCTCCCAGCTCCCTGCTGTGGCCATGCTGAGCTCACCATCCAGGCTGGGTCTAAGTGCATTGGGGCTTGGGAGCTGTGCTGGAGCCCACCCAGCTGGGACTGGAGTGTCCTCAGGACCCCAGCCCAGTGCAGGCATCCAGTTGGGGGCCTCCAAGGCTGCTCTACAGGCCTGACCCACATGTCAAGTCACCCTGGCCTTGGGGCTGGCTGGGGACACAGAACCTGAGCCCAGGTGCTCCCTGACCGCCTTGGCCACAGATGAGGGTGCTAGACTGGTTTGTGCACGGGGGCAAGGTGGGGTGGGAAAGGCTGGTGACTGGGACAGGAGCCCCGTGGCCCAGCGGCTGGCTTCTGCATATGTGGCCTCAAGCCCAGCACCATGGCACCCCCTGGTGGACGGTACTGCAGCCCCAGCGCTGGTTCTTTCTGGGCCTCCAGCTCTGACCTGGACCCCTTGGCCTGGCCCTGTTGCCAACCTTTTCTTCCATCCAGGTGTCCCTTTGCAGGCCACACACCCTCTGGGGGGGGGGGCAGACTACCTGCCTTGTCATCTCCCCACTGGGGCCTCCCACCTGGCCCTGAAGCCAGATAGCACAGGCCGGGGTTGTCCCTGCCCATGCTCGTGTGCCCCGGAGCAGGAATCCTGGCTAGTGCTGGAGCTGCTGGGTCCTCCTCTGCCCACCATGGGCCCACCCAGGGCTGGTTGGCCCGGCAGCAGCTCCAGGAGGTGACTCTATTCCTATTCTTGGAGACATTTATAAACCAGGGTCATTAAACAAGCATTTGCTGAACTTGAAGGCTGAGCTGAAAACCCTGCCAGCCCTGGGGACCCAGGAGGCTCTGCCCTCAGGGACCCCCAGAGTGGTCCAGCTTCACAGGCTAAACAGGGAAGCAAAGCCCCCAGCACAAGCTCCTCATGGCTGGAAAGGGGAGACGGGAGGCTAGAGGGACAGGTGGGAGCCCGGGGCGCCAGGGAGGAGCTGCCCCAGCTGGGGTGAGAGAAGAGGGCTGTGGGCCTAGCAGGGGCAGGACAGGCGTGGGGAGGCTGCCGCCAGGTGGGGTCTGCGATGACCATCGAGTGGCAGGGACCAAGACAGAAGCCCATGGGGAGGAGTAGGAATGAGGGTGACAAGAGGCCACTGCTATGGGGTGGGGTGGAGGGGCCTATGGGACCTCGGGGCTGGGGAGACACCTCCGGCAGCTGGGAAGGAGAGTGTGCAGCTCCGGAGAGCCCAGGCTGGAGAGCTCAAGGGGCGTTTCCTGAGCCTGGCCCGGCCTCCTCCGAACAGGAAATGGGATGCTCCCAGTGCCCTCCCAGAGCTTGCTGGGCAATAGAACCAGACCCTCCCAGGGACTTTGGAAACAGCTCCCAGGGTCAGGAGGGCCGTCTCTCTCTTTCAGAGCTCCTATAGGAACCCTTGTTGGGCGTGTAGATGACAGGGTGAGGTAGGGCCTGGTGGAGGGGCCTTGGCTACCCAGGTAGGGGGTCTCGGCTGGCTAGCATCCCTGGGGCCTCTGTTTCTGCCTAGATACTCAGGTGTGGGGTTGACGTGGGGGTCTCGGCTGGCCAGCATCCCTGGGGCCTCTGGTTCTGCCTGGTCACTCAGGTGTGGGGGTGGCACACAGCCCTGCCAGCTCTTCACTCCTTTCTAATTCTTTTCTGGGGGCCTGGGCATCTGGGAACACAATGAACTCACCCCTGCCATGAGGCCCTGGGCCTCCCTCACGGTGGCTGCAGCGCTCAGCACGGCTCCCAGAGTCAGGAGGCCCACCAGGCTCAACCCCGCAGAGAAGGCTGGTTGGGAGGAGAGAGGAGGAGGGTTAGGGGTGCCCAGGACAGGTCCTGAGTGCACACAGCCTGGGTGTGAAATCTAACTTGGGAGTCAGGGGCCGTGAGGGACTCCTGGGGGGCTCTGAATGGGCCTGTCTCTCCATCAGACGGCCCTGAGGGAAGGAGGAGGGAGGTGGGACTCGTTCAGCCTGGGGGACTGCCCCTCCTTCCCTCTTTTCCTCCCTGCCCTCCATGCCTGTGGGGCTATCTTGGAAGCCACATGCTCCCTGCCATGCCCTAGTGACAAGTGGCCGGACTGGAGCTGTAATCTTATCAGTCTGGACCTGGACCTGGGCCCCAGGCATCCTCCTGCCATGTCCTAGTGACAAGTGGCCGGACTGGAGCTGTAATCTTATCAGTCCGGACCTGGACCTGGGCCCCAGGCGTCCTCCTCCAGGGAGGCCCTGGTCCTAGGACTTGGGGAAAAGCATTGGGTTCTAAGGCAGTATCCCTGACCTCCTGGGCCTCAGTTTCCCTACATCTGCCCACCGGGCTGCAGCCTTCCTGGGCCCCCTGAGCTCCTGCCTGAGAGTCCCCTGCAGATCTGGCTCTGACATCCCCTCATTAAAGGGGCCTTCCTCAGCCTTACCCCTGAGTGGCCCCAGCAGGCTCTGGCCCTCGCTCCCGCTCTCTGGATGTTGGATAAGTCGCTGCTGAGTCCCTGCAGGGAGGCGTCTGGCTAGAGCAGCCCCCACCCCCTCCCCACCCACATCCCAGGTCCTGAGTGGAACATCAGCCATGTGGAGCCCTCATGGACCTGCTGTGCCCAGCCCCAGGCCAGTCCCAGGCCTGCCTGGGACTGAGCCCTGACTGCACAGAGCCAGGTCCTGACCGCACAGAGCCACTTCCTGACCCTGCCCGACATATACCCACACTGTGCCCACGCTCCTGTGGGGCACGAGAACCAGGCAGGAACACTGGCTGTCACCCAGACCCGAGGCCCTGCCCAGGGGAGCTAGGACTCCAGGGCAGCCCCTCCCTGCCCCTGACCACCTCTGGCTCCTGCCTAGGGCCTGGCACCATTCTGGCTGTGAGGCGTCCAGCTGGGCTCGTGCCAGCCACCCTTGCACCCGAGGCCCCTCCCGATGCAGCCAGGCCTGGACCTCACTTACCCCATTGGTGCACAGCCTGGTACGGGTTCTTCTCCAGGGACGCTCGGCGGATGACAGCAAAGTGGGCCCCGAAGTAGGTAAGAGTCACCATGGTGGCCACAGAGAGGCCCAGCAGCTGTGGATAGGGCAGACTCAGAGTGTGGGGCATGGGACTGCTGCAGGAGCAGGGAGCTCGGCCCCAGCGGGCAGGGTTGGGGCTCTCTCCAGCTTCCCGGTCCCGTGAGAGACAGGCTCAGCTGCAGGGATTCCCGGTGTTTCCGTGGAGTGGTCTCAGGAGGCCTTCACTGCAGACGCCCCAGCACACTCACAGGCACCCCCACATGGTAGACGCATACACGCACAGCCCAGCTTCCCCAGACACCCAGGACCTCTGATCATTGTGTCTACGGAGTGGGAGTGAGCCCCACCCCTGTGCCAGCACCCTCCGGGGCAGGAAGGGGAGAAGATCCCTGGAGCCCGGCAGCCAGTGCCCCTCCACCCCAGCTCGCCCCAGGCCTCAGCCCCACTCAGGCCTCCTCCAGGCTCTGTGCTGCCCCTCAGGAGGAGAGACGGGGTTGCTCATGGTGGTCCCTGCCTGCCTGCGGCTGTCTGCAAGGGCAGGACACATGTCTGCAAGGGCAGGACAGGGACAGTAGGGCTGGTGTGTGTGTCAGGGGAGGGATAATCCCTGTGCTGAGGCCCTGCCACCCCTCACCCCTGCTCACCCCCACCCACCACCCACTCCTGCCCGACCTGCCTGTTACCAAGATAAAGAAGCAGGTGACCAGCATCTGGCATTTGGCAACCCTGACTCGACTCCAAGGCCCCATGACGGTTCCTCTCCTCTCCTCTCCTCCCCTCCCTTCCCCTCCCTGTGGTTTCCAGCTGGGCAGGGGCCTCAGACCGCAGCTCACTGCCCAGGAGGTAGGCTGCATCCGCCCCTCTGTCTGTCTGTCAACATCGCCCTAGGACCGAGCTGCTGGGTGCCCCGGAAGAAGGGCAGGCAGGAAGGGGAGGGGCAGTGAGGTTGGCTCCCCCCACCACCTCACCCTGGTGCCCCCAGCCCAGCCCAAGACACCAGGGCATTTGCTGACATCTGAGGCCCTTCCCAGGAAGACATGGCCTCGTTCTTGGTGTGGCCACTGAGGACGGCGCTGAGAGGGGGAAAGTCATGGGCAGGACCTGGTGTGGGATGTGGAGGAGACGGCGCCCGGGGAGGAGGAGGTGAGCTCCCCGTCCTGGGAGTGAGCAAGTGTGGACTGGGCCTTGGGGGCGTAATCCTTGGAGGAATTTGGATGGGGTCTCCTTGGAACATCATTATTGAGGTGTTCTTAGGAAACACCCTTTGAAATGTCCTGTGACAGCTTAAGTTTTGAGAAGGTCGTTGGTTTTAATGCCTTCGTGGGCGGCACTCATGGATATTTTGTCGCAGAGCCTTCTTGGGGCCACAGGGGTGGGCTGGGGCCTCGCTCACACTCACGTGGGGCCTCCAGGGGGAGGCTTTGTAAACCTCGAATTTGCAATTACACCGAGCCGTGTAATTACGTATGGGTGGGGGCAGCGCTGCGGCCCCAGTACAGGCAGGGTTTCCGTGGGCCTCTGGGGCAGGGTGGGCCTGAAGAGGGTGAAAATGTTCCAGGTGAATCCATCATTCAGGGACCACTCCGGGCCCTCCCAGGAGTGCTAACAGGCGGCTCTGCTCGCCCCTCGGTGCTGGAATTGCTCCTCCTGCATTTGGTCAGGACCTCATCAAGGGGGAGGGGGCCCCAAGACCTGCAGGCATGGCAACCCCAGCGTGGCTGTGGGAAGAGGGCCCAGCTGCCGCCCGCTCAGGAACGCTGCTGGAGGAACTGCTGAGGCCACCGCCTCCCTCCCTCTGCGGAGGGAGAACCAGGAGAACCAGGAGGGACAACCAGGACCCCCGTCCAGCCCAGCACCCCCAGGCAGCACCCTCTGCAGCTCTGGCCCCCAGGAATTCCCACCCTGAGTCTGTGGGGGCTTGTGGAGACCTCAGATGCCTGGCACCCACAGTGTCACTTCAGCTGGGGGCCTAGGTGTGGCTCAGACTGGGGCGCAGGTATGAATGTAGGGGTGGCAACAAGAGTGAAGGTACCAGGTCTAGGGGCAGGAGGCCCCCGGGCTGTGCAAGTGGGCAGCCCGTCCTCTCCAGGGAAGATGAGCTGCTCTTGGCTATGTCTGGTTCGCCCCTAGAATTGTCTCTCTCCAACCTTGACCTCCCTGGAGCTGGTGAGGCGGGCCTGGAGCACCACCCGCTTCTGGGACACCTCTTCATCAGGTCTGAAGAATTTCGGAGCAGGGCGGGCCTGGGTTCTTGACCTGTCCTGATGGCCTCCTTCTCACACCAGCGCTGTGCCCAGGTGGCCTCACTTGTCATCTCAAAGTGGCGTCGAACCCCCTGACAGGTGGACGGGAACCCCCGGCTGGCCCTCCAGAGACCAGGTCTGACCACAGCCCCCCTCACTGTGCCCCACCAGCGGGGGCAGGGAGCCGGTGGAACCCCCACGCCCTTTGCTGAGCCACACCCTCCCACCCCAACATTCCCTCTGCAAGAGGAAGTGGCTTGTTGAGGGGAAGCCACTGTGCAGGCTGCTGCCCACCCCACACCCTCCTGCCCACCCCGCACACCCCTGCCCACCCCGCACACCGCTGCCCACCCCACACATCCCTGCCCACCCCACACACCCCTACCCAACCTTACACACCCCTGCCCACCCCACACACCCCTGCCCACCCTCACACACCCCTGCCCACCCCACACGCCCCTGCCCAACCTCACACACCCCTGCCCACCCCACATGCCCCTGCCCACCCCACACACCCCTGCCCACCCCACACACCCCTGCCCACCCTCACAAACCCCTGCCCACCCCACACACCCCTGCCCACCTGCTCTAGAGGTGGTGCCGGCCGCTGGGAGCCTGGAAGACCCCTCGAGCAGCGGGTTCAGCCCCAAGGAGCTGGCCCAGGAGGACAGCTGCCCCCACCCCTACCCCACCAAGGAGCCTGTCCTAAGGGCTGGGCCCCACTGCAAGCTGGCCTAAGGGCCCCTGGCTTTATTTCCAGGGAAGAGATTGGGCGTGGATGCATGTGCAGGCATGGATGCGTGTGCAGGCGTGGATGCGTGTGCAGACGTGGATGTGTGTGCATGCATATGTGTTTACCCGCCAGGGACTTCCTTTTTCCTCTCTCCTTCCTGTGAATTCCTGGGTCCCAGGTGCGCCCGCTCACTCTACAATGTCCTTACCCACCAGGAGGCCCCTGGCTCAATGATGCCACCTGCAGCTGCCCAACCCTCCGCCCATGGTGCCCTTGTTCCACCTGCCACCGCTCATGAACCTGTGGATCACCCAGCTCTGCACTGGCTTGCCTGCTGCTGCTGTCTCAGTTTACCTGGGCAGTTGCCCCTGGCTATCCGGCTGGGATGGGACTTGGACTTAGAAGCAGGCCCCTCCTCTGGAAAGCTGTGTCCTCGGGCCAGGAGGTGGCAGCCTCTACCTTCCTGAGACAGGGACCCTTTTCTGTCCATCAGAGGTGAGCAGCCGGGCTCTGAGGCTGGAGCCTGGGGGCCCCTGTGCTGTCTGTGAGCGCGGCCCCTCCCACCGGGGAGGCACTCAAGAGCTTCCCACCTGCGTCACAGCGAGTGGGGCCTGGAGCTTGAAGAGACCTGTGGGGGCCACGCGGGCACCTGAATCTGGCTCATGTCTGTCCTTTGCCCTGATTCTGAAATCCACGTCCCAGGAGCTGCCTTTGCAGCCTCTCCTGAGCCCAGGGAGGAGGAGGGCAGCTCCCCTTCTGGATTACCCTAGGCCTGGGTCAGCTGGGTGGGCCCCAGGGGACCTTTGAACCCCTACTGCCTGGGCAGCCCCCTTCCCCTGGAGGCACCCTGGCCTGTCCCTTGAGAGCCAAGACCATACTCAAACTGGGTTCTGGGCTCTGGGCACTGCTCTGCTCCCAACCAAGGGAGTTTCTGGGGCATGGCTGCCCGGGCCTTCCCTCTCAGTGCCGTGGGCTGCTGCCTCCGCTGGCCAACTCCAGTGGGCACTGAGGGGCACCCTGCTTCCCCCCCCAAGGAGCCTAGGCTCTGCCCTCAGTGAGGGCAGAGGGGACCCAGGGATGGCTGCCCCTTCATAGACACAGCTGTCTCCCAGGGGAGTCTAAAGGGACCCCACACCTGCGTCACAGATACCAGGGACAGACTGTAGGGGAGGCGTCTCTATCCACATCCACGCTGTGCCACCCACTAGTATGTGGGGCCGGGCACCACCAAGCCTGCTGTCCTGCCTGGGCCACCCCAGCCTGGGCTGAGACTCGGCACCCCGTGGGGGTGGAGGAGTGGGGCAGAGGCAGGAGATGCCTGGGGTAAGAGCCAGATGCCTTCAGAGTGACCCCCCGGGCCTGGGCAGGACTGGGGGCAGGGGAAGGTCCCGCTGGCAGAAAAATGCACATCGGACCCTCCCCCTAATGGTCCCCACACTCCCTGTGCAGACAAGGCAGGCTGCAGGGCAGAAGCTTCCTGCCCCATTCCTGGTGGTCAGCGTGCTTTATTTAGCCCTTGATGAAGAGACTGTTTCATGACCAGCTGGGGCAGTGAGCTCCTGACACCTTTAAAGGTGCAGTGTTGCCTCTCTCAGGAACCTAGAAGTGAACGCCCATCCCCTTTCAGGCCAGACCCCGATGCTCAAGCGTCAGGGCCCAGGCCCATTGCCAGGCTGCCCTCTCTCTGGGACAGGTGCAGGGACCCTTGGGAGGGGCACAAGGTTGCAGAGGATCTTTGAGCAGCATGAGGAATATGGTGAGAGAAGGCTTTAGGAGGCGGGTTCAGTGTCAGTGTTCGCTATGGACAGAATCGTGTTCCTGCAAAATTCATAGGTTGAAGCCCTGCCCCGCAATGAGATAGTGTTAGGAAGTGGATCTCTGGGAGGTAATTAGGGACAGATGAGGACATGAAGGTCCCTGGTCCCATAGGATTAGTGCCCTTATACCAAGAGACATTTAGGAGCTCCCTCTTCTCTCTCTCTCTCCTTACATGCACTGAAGGACAGCTGTATGAAGACACAGAGAGAAGGCAGCCATCTGTAAGCCAGGAAGAGAGCCCTCACCAAGACTGGAATCAGCAGCACCTTGATATTGGACTTCCAGCCTCCAGAACTGCAAGAAATAAGCACCTGCTGTTTACATGCCCAGCCTGCAGTGCTTCCTTATGGCAGATTGGAGCTAACTGAGACAGCTCCCAGCACTCATTCATTCATTCATTCATTCACTCACCTCATGTCTACTAAACAGCTCTGGGCTGGCTCTGGGAAGCAGTGAGTCACACACACTGCCCCCAGCAACGTGTGAAATATGTTTAGAGACAGTGGGCTACAGCGGAAAGGGTAGATGCCCTGAGAACCCCAGCGGTGCTGGTCAGAAGCACAGGCCTTGTTGGGCTGAGGCTGGCATGGGGTGAACCTGGGGAGCCTCGGGGGCAGAGGTGATAGATGTGGGGTGTTTCAAGGCAGTGAGACAAAGAAGGGAGATGGGTGGTGCCCCCCAATGCCAGGCTTCACCAGCCTCCCAACACACGAGTGTTCACCCGCCTGGATGAGACACCTCTGTGGACTTGGGAGTGAAGGCAGTGAATTTGGGCAATGCTGGAGGCCGTGCAGGTGGGAGGTGGGACAGGGGCAAGAGGCCGGGGCCCAGGCAGGAGCTGACAGCCCACCAGTGGTGCTCCCCTGAGAAGCAACCTCAGTGGGTGGCTTGGGGTCTGCTGGGCTGTCCCCACACTGACACCCTGGCTGCAGGGCCCCCCTGTGTCCCCAGTGAGGGGTCTCGGGAGCTGTGTGTCCTACTCAGGGCCATCCCTGCAGCCCATGCTCTCTGGGTGACCAGTTGCCAGCAGTGTCCCCCCTGCCTTGGGCGGAGGCTGAGGACCCCAGGGTGGGAGGGAAGGTGCGGTGGGGGCTCAGCCAATGCTGCCCAGCCTGAGGGTCCCTCACATGTGGGCCGCACCCCTGCGTCAGCCGGAGTGATCTCTGCTTAGGGTGGTTTGAGGTGAGTTCTGATATCTCAAACACCAGCATCAGGGCCAGGGCAGACAAAATAAGAGTGAGCTGGTCAGGGGTGTCCCAGTTGGGAGCTCGCTCACAGTCTTTAAGGAGGCAGGGCACAGCCCAGTGGGGGTGGCCACGAGGCCCCGGGCCTGTGGCTGAGATGGCAACTGGCACCGGCAGTGATTGGAACAGTCCAGCCCATGGAGCCCTGTGGCCTTGGCCGGTGGCTCACGGTGCCACGGGAGCTGGAGCAATGGGTGGCCTCCCTTGCCTGGTGCCTGAGTGAAGGAGGACTGGGTGCCCCTGAGGAAGGACCTTGCCATACTCCTACAAATTTACATTATTCTTCTTTCCCCAGTCTCCCCTCAGGGACCTGCAGCCATTTGCTGGGGTGGCTAGTGGAAAGGGGGATCATCAGACTCAGGGGGATTACTGGACTCTAACTCTAACCTGACACCCACTCCTGGGGACACAAACACCCATCGGATCTAATAGTCAGAGGAGGGGCGTATGGAGGTCAGTGGGCTCACGGAGTTCTAGCTCAGGTCCAACCCTCGGTGGGTGCAGAGGTCACTTCCCTAGCCTCAGATGGGTGAGTAAACAGACGTATGTGGCAGCCAGCAGAGCCCCCACATTTGTTCCCTGACCTGAGGGTGGGGGCTACTATGCTGGGAAAGGCCAGGTGGAAGCCATTGGGGTGAACTCTGCCTAGGAAAATTGTCAGTCAAAAGCAACCTGCAGCCCTGGAGGGACTGCAAAGGTCAGTGCCGCCATCGAGGACTTGGAAGATGCAGGGTGGTGACCCCCACTGCAGCCTCGTTCCACTCGTCTAATTGGCTTGTGTGGAAGACAGGGGGGTCCCGGAGAAAGAAGGACAGTGAATCCTGGTAAACTTAACCAGGACTCCAATTGCAACTGCTGTTCCAGATATGACTACTGATCACTGGGGCAAATCAAAGCATCCCCGGACACCTGGTCTACAGCCATTGATCTGGTGAAAGCTTTAATTTTTAATATAGATTTTATTTTTTAGAGCAGTTTCATGTTTACAGAGAAATTGAGCATATTTGAGAGTCCTCATATAGCATCTCTCCCTACACACAGTTTCCCTTATTATTCATATCTTGAATTACTGTGATACATCTTTGCAATTGATGAACCAATATTGACCTAGTCATTGATCAGGTTACATGAGGGTTCACTCTTCTTGTTGTACATGCTGTGAGTTCGGGCAAATGTGTAATGGCATATCTCCACTATTACAGTGTCACACAGAATTATTTTACTGCCCTAAAATCCGTCTGTGCTCCATTTATTCTTCCCTCCCTCCCCACTGACTCCTGGAAACCACTGATCATTTCATTGTCTGCATAGTTTTGCCTTTTCCAAAATGTTTTGCAACATGGGCCATATGACCCACGGGTAGGTAGGAAGACATGGGTAGGAAAACCCATGTAGGAATGACCTAAAATGCTGTCTGCTTTCTGGGAGTCCCAGAACAAGAGAAGGCTCTGCAGCAAGTGCATGTGGTCATGAAAGCTGCTGAGCCACTTGAGCCACGGGACCAACAGATCCCATGGCATTTGAGGTGTCTGTGGCAGGTAAGGATGCTGCGTGGGGGCCATGATAGGCTCCTGCAGGTGAATCACAGCCCAGGGCCCTTAGGATTTTGGAGTCAAGCTCTGCCATCCTCTCTGGATAACTCTGTGGATTGCGTCCAGGCCTCCATAGAGACTGGACAGGCCACTAAGTCGCCACGTGATCTGAACTGTACGTCATGAGTGGGATGTTGCTGGACCCAGCGAGCCACAGAGTTGGGCATGCACAGCTGTGTTCTGTCTTCAAGTGGAAGCAGCAATATACAACCCGGGGCTCAGGCAGGCCCTGAAGTCACAAGCAAGTTACATGAAAAAGTGGTTCCAACACCCGTGGTCCATACTCTGGGCAGGGCCCCTAGGTGTTTTCATTTTTCCTGGAAGGAGAGTTCGGAGCTACAGGTGCCACCCACTCATGGTCAGTTGCTCCTGGCTTGGCCAGATGGATGGTCAGGGACTTGAAAGGAACACATTTGGGAAAACGGTAGCAGGAGGTGTGGGGAAGTGTTGTGTGGTTAGAGGTCTCTGAAAGGGCAGAGCGTGAAGATCCTCGCAGCCCATGTGACATTTGCCAAAGGGCAACCGCCTCAGCCGAGGAGAAGCTCAGTGACCAGGTAGACAAGATGGCCCTTTCTTTGGGCATCAGTCAGGCTCCTTCCCCAGCCACCCTGTCATTGTCAGCAGGCTGGTGAAGATAGAGACTGTGGTAGCAGGGATGGAGGTCACACATGGGATCGGCACAGGGGCTCCACTCACCAAGGCCCATCCACTAAGTGCCCGCCTGCCCCAGTGTTGCAGGGGATCTGCCAGCCTCCAGGTGGAGTGGATGATATGAGACAGCTGCCGGCATGGAACTGGCACCGCTGCGCTTTCACCAGGATAGAGGCTTGCTCTGCAGGTGGACTGGCCCTCCTTGCCCACGGTGCTTTTGCCGAAACCACCTGTGGACTCTGGAGCGCCTCATTCGGCATTCTCACACTGCTGCTCAAGGAATTCACCACAGTTAATGGAGTAGGGCAAAGGCCCAATGCTTGTGACCTTGGAGGTCTTCCGTGGTCCTCCTCTCCCCGAAGCAGCTCACGAACAGGACCGTGGAATGGCCTTCGGGAGACTCACACGGCGCCTGCTGAGTGGGGACGCTTTGCAGAGAGGGCCGTGTCCTCCAGGAGGCGGTCCAGGCTCTGAATTAGAGTCAGTCTATGGAGCGGTTTCTCCTGCCGCCCAGACCTCACGGTTCTGGGAGTCCAGAAGGGGAAGTGGCAATGGCTTCTCTTCACCCTCATGACATTCTGCTGGTGATGTGTTTGCTCCCTGTCCCCACAACTCTAGGTCCTCTTGGTGTAGAAGTCTGAGTTCTCGAGGGAGGAGAGTTTCCCGCAGAGACACCAACGGCTCCACCAGACTGGAAGGTGAGATTGCACCAGGCCATTTTGGGATCCTCACTGCAGAGAATCAATAGGTAAAAAAGGCAGTTACTGCCCGGGCCACGGGACTGATTTTATCGGGCGGAATCGGCCGGGTTGCACAAGGAGGATGAGGAGGAGCACGTCTGGAATGCGGAGGGTCCCCTGCAGCGCCTCTTAAGGTTCCCATGTCCTGTGATTAAAATCATGGAAAACCATCACCCCTGATCCAAGCAGGGTCATTCAGGACCCAGGCTCTCCAGGAATGAAGGCTTAGGGCATCCCACCAGGCAAAGAGCCACATCAGCTGAGTGCTTGCGGAGGCGAAGGCTATGCGGGAGACGGAGGCTGAAACGCTAGTTCCCGCTGCTCGGCTGCTGCAGAAACGAAGCCTATCACAGGTGTGCGTGTTTCTTATTTTGATCCGAGTGTATTGGGTAGGACCACATTAGCCACTGTTTCTTCTCCTCTTCCATTCCCTACCACTTCATACGGTACTAGTGTATGAAGTGTACGTTTGATAGTAGTTGATATTTAATTATTTCAAACATCTCAGTGTTTAAATTTTAGGCTATCAGGCTGGGCACGGTGGCTCAGGCATGTAATCTTAGCACTTTGGGAGGCTGAGGCAGGCGAATCACCTGAGGTCAGGAGTTTGAGACCAGCCTGGCCAATGTGGTGAAACCCCGTCTCTACTAAAAATACAAAAATTAGCCGGGCGTGATGGCCCGTGCCTGTTATCCCAGCTATGTGAGAGGCTGAGGCAGGAGAATTGCTTGAACCCAGGAGGTGGAGGTTGCAGTGAGCCGAGATTGCACTACTGCACTCCAGCCTGGCTGACAGAGTCTGTCTCAAAAAAAAAAAAAAAAAAAAAAAAAAAAAATTAGGATATCAAAGGGAGAATGAGAATCAGCTGAATCCCATTCCAGCTGAATCCTATTCCCCCTTTGATTTTTTTTTTTTTTTTTTAAGGGGAAGAACACCCAGAGATGAATCAGGATCAGGGGCTCTCCTCTTCTCTGGGGGAGAGGGGGACATGCTGTTCTCTTGTATACGCTTGGCCACATCTTGTTGGGTGGAAGAGGGATTTGACTTTGTCTTTATTTGGAAGTTAAGTATGATTAAAAATTGTGGGTGGGGAATCAGAGGACCCCATTTGTATGAAATGTCCAGAACGTGCAACTCCATGGAGGTGGGAAGTGGGTCAGTGTTTGGCAGAGGCTGGGGCAAGGGGAGCGGCTGCTAGTGAGTGGGGAGTTGTTTTTGGGGGTGCTGCGGGTGGCACGCCTCTGTGAAAATACTAAAGCGGGGAGTTGTTTTTGGGGGTGCTGAGGGAGGCACGCCTCTGTGAATATACTAAAGCGGGGAGTTGTTTTTGGGGGTGCTGCGGGTGGCACGCCTCTGTGAATATACTGAAGTAGGGAGTTGTTTTTGGGGGTGCTGCGGGTGGCACGCCTCTGTGAATATACTGAAGCGGGGAGTTGTTTTTGGGGGTGCTGAGGGAGGCACGCCTCTGAATATACTAAAGCGGGGAGTTGTTTTTGGGGGTGCTGCGGGTGGCACGCCTCTGCGAATATACTAAAGCGGGGAGTTGTTTTTGGGGGTGCTGCGGGTGGCACGCCTCTGAATATACTAAAGCGGGGAGTTGTTTTTGGGGGTGCTGCGGGTGGCACGCCTCTGAATATACTAAAGCGGGGAGTTGTTTTTGGGGGTGCTGCGGGTGGCACGCCTCTGTGAATATACTAAAGCGGGGAGTTGTTTTTGGGGGTGCTGAGGGAGGCACGCCTCTGCGAATAAAGTGGGGAGTTGTTTTTGGGGGTGCTGCGGGTGGCACGCCTCTGTGAATAAAGCGGGGAGTTGTTTTTGGGGGTGCTGCGGGTGGCACGCCTCTGTGAATATACTGAAGCGGGGAGTTGTTTTTGGGGGTGCTGCGGGTGGCACGCCTCTGTGAATATACTAAAGCGGGGAGTTGTTTTTGGGGGTGCTGAGGGAGGCACGCCTCTGAATATACTAAAGCAGGGAGTTGTTTTTGGGGGTGCTGCGGGAGGCACGCCTCTGTGAATATACTGAAGCAGGGAGTTGTTTTTGGGGGTGCTGCGGGTGGCACGCCTCTGAATATACTAAAGCGGGGAGTTGTTTTTGGGGGTGCTGCGGGTGGCACGCCTCTGAATATACTAAAGCGGGGAGTTGTTTTTGGGGGTGCTGCGGGTGGCACGCCTCTGTGAATAAAGCGGGGAGTTGTTTTTGGGGGTGCTGCGGGAGGCACACCTCTGCGAATAAAGTGGGGAGTTGTTTTTGGGGGTGCTGCGGGTGGCACGCCTCTGTGAATAAAGCGGGGAGTTGTTTTTGGGGGTGCTGCGGGTGGCACGCCTCTGTGAATATACTGAAGCGGGGAGTTGTTTTTGGGGGTGCTGCGGGTGGCACGCCTCTGTGAATATACTAAAGCGGGGAGTTGTTTTTGGGGGTGCTGAGGGAGGCACGCCTCTGAATATACTAAAGCAGGGAGTTGTTTTTGGGGGTGCTGCGGGAGGCACGCCTCTGTGAATATACTGAAGCAGGGAGTTGTTTTTGGGGGTGCTGCGGGTGGCACGCCTCTGAATATACTAAAGCGGGGAGTTGTTTTTGGGGGTGCTGCGGGTGGCATGCCTCTGTGAATAAAGCGGGGAATTGTTTTTGGGGGTGCTGCGGGAGGCACACCTCTGCGAATATACTAAAGCGGGGAGTTGTTTTTGGGGGTGCTGCGGGAGGCACACCTCTGCGAATATACTAAAGCGGGGAGTTGTTTTTGGGGGTGCTGCGGGAGGCACGCCTCTGCGAATAAAGTGGGGAGTTGTTTTTGGGGGTGCTGCGGGTGGCACGCCTCTGCGAATATACTAAAGCGGGGAGTTGTTTTTGGGGGTGCTGAGGGAGGCATGCTTCTGTGAATATACTAAAAGCCCCTGAATGGTACAGTTAAAACAGTGAATTTTATAGTATGTGAATTATATTTCAATAAAGCTGTGTAGAAAACAAGAGGTACAGGTGGAAGCCCATGGGAGGGATTGGCACAGTGTCGCCCTAGCTGAGCGGGATGTTCATCTTCCAGGACTCCCGGAGCTGCCTTGTTAAGGGTAGGGTGGGTCACACGTGGCCTGAGCCAGCTCTGGGTGGTGGAGGGATGAGGCAGCCACGCTCTTTTTAAGCCTGGAAGTTTGCTCAACGCACCAGGGGCCCTTGCCGCTCTGCTGTGCACTGCAGTAGGTCTGGGCAGCAGTGGCATCCTCCTGGGAGTCTGGGCCCCAGCCAGCTGCCTGCCCTGCTGCCAGGCAGGAGGAAGTGGCATCCTGGATTCCACGCCATTCCTGGGAGTCCCCTGACTCTCAGGAGTCACCAGTGAGCTCCACGCTCCTGGGTCCAGCAGGCCCCCTCTGTCCTCACTCCAGCCCTCCAGGCATGGGGGGACCGGGTCCTCATGTCTTCCTTGCATTTCCCGTTGCTGACTGTGTTGCCCTTTCTCAGCCACTCCCTGACTCTGCCTACTCCCTCAGTGGAGGAAAAGGGCTCTTCCTGCCTTTTCTGTTCTCTCTCCCGCTTCTTGCATGGTCCCTCAGTGCCCAGGGGCTGAGTTGCCACTGACTGCAGGGGACCCTCCAGCCCAGCCCCTTCCATTAGCCCCTCAGCAACGGTAAGAGGAATCAACAGGTCCTGGGGCTCCACGCTGTCACCCCACTTATCTTTCATGTGTTAAGTTTTAACTTCGAGCCCCTCATTGGAATTTCAGTGGTGGCCTCCCATTTCTGTGGGGATAGTTCCCAGGTACCCCAGACTCCGCACATCCACCCAGGAACCCTGGATCCCTGCAGCCCTTCCCCCGAGGGCCAGCCTCCCTTCTCCTCTCGGACGAGAGCCCAGCAGCCACTGGAGCTGACTCCTCACCCCACCCCCATGAGCAGTACTGACGCTTTCTCCAGGATGCTTCTTTTTAAAAACAGTGTGGTAAAATCGACATAATACAAAACTGACCATCTTAACCATTTTAAACTACACTTCAGCGTCATTAGACACATTCGTGCTGTTGTGCAGCTGTCACCACCCTTCATCTCCAGAACTTTCTCATCTTCCCAAACTGAAACTCTATCCCCATTAAACACTCGTTCCCCATCCCCTCTCCTAGGCCCTGGCACCCACCATCCACTTTCTGTCTCTATGGATTTGACCACCCTAGGGACCTTCTACCCAGGGAATCACACAGGATTTGTCCTTTTCTGACCGGCTTCTTTCACTGAGCCCAGTGTCCAGAATGGCTCTCAGGTCGCACCTCTCTCCTGGAGCCCATGCAGCCTGCTGGTGCCTCTTGCAGCTCTGCCTACAATAGCCCCCTTGCTGGACTCACAAGTCCCACCCCCACCCCATCTAATCTGTCCACACAATAGGCAGTGTGACCTTCTAAGAGCTGGCACTGGCTGCCGGAATGTGTACCTCGCCCAGGCTTCCGTCCCCAAAATCAATGCTGGAGAAGCTCCAGCATCTAGAGGGAGAAACAGCCTTGAGGAAAAATCAACAATGTGGCACATCTCTAAGAATACTAGAGGCGGCAGGGGCGCGGTGGCTCACGCCTGTAGTCCCAGCACTTTGGGAGGCCAAGGTGGGCAGATCATTAGGTCAGGAGATCGAGACCATCCTGGTTAACACGGTGAAACCCCGTCTCTACTAAAAATACAAAAAATTAGCCGGGCGTGGTGGCGCGTGCCTGTAGTCCCAGCTACTCGGGAGGCTGAGGCAGGAGAATGGTGGAAACCTGGGAGGCGGAGCTTGCAGTGAGCCAAGATTGCACCACTGCACTCCAGCCTGGGCGAGAGAGTGAGACTCCGTCTCAAAAAAAAAAGACTACAGGCTGTGGTGAGCTGGTGTGCATGTGCACATGTATGTGCATGTGTATGCATTGTGCATGTGTGTGCAAGTGTGTGCGTGTGTGGGTACATGTGTATGCATGAATGCTGTGCTATATGTGCATGTGTGTGCATGCATGCATGTGTGTGCACACGTGTGTGTGGTGTTGGGAACTGCAACCTGGGGAGGAGACAGCTAGAAGCAGTGACAAGAGCAACAGTTGGAGGCAGGCTTGTCTTTTCCCAAGCTGCCTTGAGACAGTTGTTGCTGGCCCCGTCACTGCAGAAATCAGCAGCAATGGCCTGGACAGCAGGGAGAACAGCAGGGCAGAGTTAGAACCTTACAGAGGGGAAGTGGGATGGATAGAAACACGTGCAGATCTGCCAGCCGTCTCCAAGCAGTTGCTCCTGTATCCTTCTGCTCTGGTCTCAAGGCTGGAGGTGGCCACACGGGCAGTGGCCTCCTCCCAAAGCGGATTTTTTCCAGAGAGTTAATGGCAAATTTCACACAAGGTGCCTGGCTAGCAGGAACACTAAGAGGAATCAACAAAATTCTATGGGTCCTGGGGCTCCATGCTCTAGGCTCACCCCACCTCTCTTTCATTTTTTAACTTTTTGTTTTGTATCATTTCCAATGTGCAGAAAAGCTTCATTAATAGTACAAAGGATTCCTGTACCTCCGCCTATTCTCCAACTGTGAGCACCCTACCACCATTGCTTTATCACCCTCTTTCTATTACTGGACCTTCTTACACGTAGGGCCCCTCTAAAACAGCTGTTTCAATCCTTGTCTGGTCACAGTAGCACCTCTGGCCTTTCTGCACCTGCCTCCACTGACTGGCTTTTCTCCTGGTTCTGGGTCACGTTTCCCTGTTCCTCTGCATGCCTGGCCTTTTTTTTTTTTTTTGCAAATATTGCACAGTCCGTTGCTAGATTTTGTTGTATTCCTTTAATTGCTGTCGGATTTTGTTCTGGCATCCATGAGTTCCTGATACCCATCGGATCTTTGGAGCTTTGCTTCTATGCTTTGTAGGGTGAATCCAGGGCTGCCTTTAGTCTAGGGTTGGTTTAGAATCAGCACTCAAGAGAGGCTCTTATGAGGACCCTTCCCGACATCCTGTGTATTATATAGTTTTGTGGGAACACAAACTGTCTCCAGACCGTGTGACCTGAGCTACGGGGGTTTTTTCTCTGGCCTCAGGTGGTTTATCTTCATGCATGTGTGGATCCATATTCAGCCAAGGACCTGAGGGTCTCTGCAGATCCCTGGAGTTTTTTTTTTTCTCTCTCTCTCTCTCTGTATCTCTTTCTCTCTCTCTCTCTGTCTTTCTCTATCTCTCTCTTCTCCCCTTTCTAACTCTCTCTGCCTAGTTATCTCTCTCCCTGTCTGTATCCCTGTTTCTCCCCCTTTCTTCATCTCTTCCTCCCTCTCTTCCCCCTCTCTCCCTCTCCCGCTCTCTCTCTCTCCCTCTCTGCGTATCTCTGCCTCTGTCTCTCTCCTCTGTCTTTCTCTCTTTCCCCCACCTCCTCTTCAAAGATCTACCCTGAAAATTCTAGTTGCCTCATCCTCGCTGAGCTCTGACCTCTGTCTCCTCACCTCAGTGAGACCCAGGGCCCAGCCCAGAGACTCTCGGTCGGCTGGAAGATCACCAGGCTCCCCCGGCTGGTTTCACGTCCTTCACAGACCACCCACGGCGCGCTGTCCAGCGTTTGAGAACTTGCCTCACAAACTGTGTGACTGCATCCTGGTTGCTGGTTGTGTGCAGTGAAGGCCACGTGTGGTCCTAACTGCTCTATCACGGCCCAAAGAGGAAGAAGGACCCGGCAGTGTTAACTTGGAACACGGTTAAAATTGTAGCTGGCAGGTTTCTCCAATGTCACGTTGATGTTCTGTGCTTTGTAATTTCCAGTTTGTGGGGAGAAACGTGATGCCGTGTAACTTCCTGTTGCTTCTTAGACTTTTACTCACTCGTTTTAGCATCAGTTGAGGATTTGTGCCTAAATAATTGCTGTGCTGGTTGCCAAATGCCTTCTATGTTTATTAGTTGGAATCCTACTATATTTATGAGTTGGGAGGGGAGATGGGAGGGGAGGGATAAATATGTTTTAAGTGTTAAAGGAAAGGGGAAGGGAAGGGAAGAGGAACGCTTTCCTCTTCTTCCACGGTGGGCGGCAAGCCATCCAGGTGCCGAGGCAAGAGACCGAGGGCACGAGCTGTTCCAGTATAATAAAATATATAAAACAACAAGAGTTATACTAGATCTCGAGCATAGACATGATTATATATGAATATCATTAATCATTAGTTTGTAGCAATTACTCTTTATTCCAATATTATAATAATCCTCACTGTATAATCATAACCTAGGAAAAACCAGGCCATACAGAGATAGGAGCTGAGGGGACATAGTGAGGAGTGACCAGAAGACAAGCATGCAAGCCTTCTGTTATGCCCAGACAGGGCCACCAGAAGGGCTCCTTGGTCTAGCGGTGACGCCAGCGTCTGGGAAGACGCCCGTTGCCAGGCGGACCGTGGTCTAGCGGTAGCAAAAAGAGTCAAGGAACAACATCCGCTACTTAGCAGACCGGGAAAGGGAGTCTCCCTTGCCCTGGTGGAGTTTGGAGAAGACTCTGCTCCTCCACCTCTTGTGGAGGGCCTGACATGAGTCAGGCTCACCCGCAGTTATCCGGAGGCCTAACCGTCTCCCTGTGATGCTGTGCTTCAGCGGTCACGCTCCTAGTCCTCCTTCATGTTCCATCCTGTACACCTGGCTCTGCCTTCTAGATAGCAGTAGCAAATTAGTGAAAGTACTAAAAGTCTCTGATATGCAGAAATAATGGTGTAAGTTGTTTCTCTCTCTGTCTCCCCTCTCTCTCTGCCTCGGCTGCCAGGCAGGGAAGGGCCCCCTGTCCAGTGGACATGTGACCCACGTGACCTTATCTATCATCGGAGATGACTCACACTCTTTACCCTGCCCCTTTTGCTTTGTATCCAATAAATATCAGCACAGCCAGACATTCGGGGCCACTACTGGTCTCCGCGCATTGGTGGTAGTGGTCCCCCGGGCCCAGCTGTCTTTTCTTTTATCTCTTTGTCCTGTGTCTTTATTTTTACACTCTCTCGTCGCCGCACACGGGGAGAGACCCACCGACCCTGTGGGGCTGGTCCCTACATTCCACGGCCTGGGATGGCCCAGCCAGGGCCAGGCCCTGGTTCCTCCCCCAACACACTGCCCGACGCAGTCACCGTCACTTCAGGTGGAGCCTGAACTCATGGGCATACCTGCGAGAATGGAAAGGCAGCAATCTGATCATCACATTGCATACAGACAAGAACTGCTGAAAAACATGAACTGTGAGGCTAAAGCAATCCTGGTAGAAACTCAAAAACATGGCTGGGTGCAGTGATTCATGCCATAATCCCAGCATTTTGGGAAGCAGAGGTGAGCGCATCGCTTGGGCTGAGGAGTTCAAGACCAGCCTGGGTAACGTAGCAAGATCCCATCTCTACAAAACATACAAACATTAACCAACCATGGCGGTTCGTGCCTGTTGTCCCAGCTACTTGGGAGGCTGAGGCAGGAGGATTGCTTGAGCCCAGGAGATTGAGGCTGAGTGATCCAAGATTGTGCCACTGCACTCCAGACTTGAAAGAAAAAAACCCTCAAAAACATAAGGGATGGTGCTGGCACAGTGTGAAATGGGATGAAGAGGCATATACAAGGAGCTGGGGGAAAATACTGAGTGTGAGGAAGATGCCAGTTCAACAGTGAATGGGGTACATCACAGCATGGGTGCTGCTAGGAAACAAGTGAGATAAAATATCAAGTGTGGTGGAATTGTTCTAGAAGGTTCAGGAGCAATAATGAGAAAAAAACTTAAAAGGGAAGCAGAGACGTTTGAGGAGAAAAGGAGAAAGTAGTGGATTGGCTAGGAAGAGTCTCAGAAAGCAGAGGAAGAGAGGAGGTATTTAAAGAAATAATGAAAATAAATACCCCAGAATTACAGAAACACACGCAAGGGCTCTTGACAGGCCGGCGAGGACAGATAAGAAAGAACATAGATGCGTTACGGTGAAGTTTTAAAATATCAAAGTCCTGAATTGGCCCATAGAGAATCGGCAGAATTGCCTAAAAAGAGCAAGAAAGAATCGCATCATTCTTCTCAAGAGCGATACCGGATGTGAGAAGACAAAAGAATAATATTTCAAAGGCGTGGAAGGTAACTTTGAACACAGGATTTTACGGGTATGATTATTGTTTAAATGCAGCAGCGAGATGAAAATACCCTTAGGCACACCAAGCCTCAGAGAATATTAGGAATATTTGCCACTGAAACACTCACTTTGCAAACACTCAAAGCTGACTGAGCTACTCACGGACTTCTACACTTCGATCTTAGTGTTGGAGTAAGGTCGTGGAGCGTTTGCCACACCCCAGCTGAGATGTGGACTGGGATTGCACTGGATCCTTACGTTCATGTAGGGGGGTTTGACAGCTTTGTAATATTAAGGCATTCCCACACGAAATGTCTGTCTGCGTACTCTCCGTAAATCTACCAAAGTCCTCAGTTGAGTATAGCGTTTCCACAGTGATGTCTGGCATATGCCTGTTACATGTCAACTTTGATTGAAAAGAACAAAAAGAGAGGAATTTGCTCTGTCTGATATGAAGACATACAGTGAAGCCTAATAGGAAAATCCCATGGGATTGGCATAAGAGGAAAGTTAGACCAAAGACAGAGGGGTAGAGAGTTTGGAGGCAGACTCCTGTATGCACATATTCCACACTTACAAACATCCATTTAGGCTGGGTGCAGTGGCTCACATGCCTGTGATCACAGTGCTTTGGGAGGCCGAGGCAAGAAAATATCTTGAAGTCAGGAGTTTGAGGCCGCAGTGAGCTATGATCGCACCACTGCACTCCAGCCTGGGCAACACAGTGAGATTCTGTCTCTGAATATATGCATGCAATACATATTATATATATATTATGTATACTATATATGTATTATATATATGTATATGTATTATATAGAGATATACATTCATTCATAACTGCCCTTCTGTGAAAGAAAAAGCAATTAAACAAAAATATTTCCAATATTTTTAATGTGAAAAATTATGATATGCTCCATGCCAACCTGACACTTCTCAGATTTTTACAGATAAAATGTCAGTTGAAGAACGAAAATACATTCGTATGGGAAATTAAGAATTTACAGATTTTAAAACCATTTTGCCAGTTTCTACAAAGAAGCCTTCTGATATTTTTTTTATTTGAATTGTGTTGAATTCATAGATTAACGTGAGGAAAATTGACATCTTAATACTGAATTTTCCAATCCATTAACACAGCATATCTCTCCACTTAGATAAGTCTTCTTTAATGTCCCTCATCAATGTTTTTCAGTTTTCAGTGTACAGGTTTGCAAATCTTTTGCCATATTTATAGCTGAGTATTTAATATTTGATGTTTTTGCAAATGGCATTTTTTACTTCAATTTCCAATTGTTCTTTGCTACTATATGGAAATACAATTGATTATCTAGATTGATCTTGTATCCTGCAACCTTGCTAAACTCACTTTAATTAATGTAGTGTTTTTGCAGATTTGGTCAGATTTTCTTCACAGCTGATCATTTTCTGTGAATGAGGATAGTTTTACTCCTTCCAAACTGGAAGGCTTTTGTTCCTTTTTCTTGCTTTGTTCCACTGACTAAAACCTCTAGGACATTGCTAAATAGAAATTATGAGGACACCTTTGTCTTGTCTATGTGTTTTAGCAGGAAAGTAACCAGTCTTGTACCATTAAGTTTGATACCCTTTACAGGCTGAGAAATTGTCCTTCTTTCTATTCCTAGTTCGCTGAGATTTTAAAAATCATGAATGGCCACTGGATTTTGTCAAATGCTTTTTCTGTGCTATTGACATTATTATATGGTTTTTCTTTTTAAATTTAATATGGTCAATTCGTTGAGTTGATCTTTTGAATGTTAAACCAACCTTGAATTCCTTGAATAGGCCCCACTTGTATATGGTTGGGTTCAATTTGCTAAACTTTTTTTTAGAATTCTTGCATCTACGTTCATGAGGAATATCAGCCTGTAGTTCCTCCTTGTGTTGTGATTGTCTGGCTTTGGTATCAGGGTAATGCTGTTCTTATAGAATGAATTTAAAAGTATTCCATCTTTTTCAATTCTTCTGGATTTATTTATGTAGAATTGGTTTTATTTCTTCCTTAAATATTTGATAGAATTCACTAGTGATATCACATAGGCCTGGGGTTTTCTTTGAAGGAAGGATTTTACCTACACATTTAATTTACTGAATAAATATGGTGCTATTCTGGTTATTTAATTCTTCTTAAGTAAGTGCTATTAGTTTGTGTCTTACAAAGATTTTGTCTATTTCATCTAAGTCGGTGAATTTATTGGTATAAAGTTGTTCCTAATATTCTTTTATTATACTTTTAATACCTGTAGGATCTGTAATGATGACATCTCACTCATTCATGATATTGGCAAATAGCATCTTTTTCCTTTTCCTCCTGACCATTCTGGCTTTTATTGATATTACTGACCTTCTCAATGAACCAGCTTTGTGTTTCACTGATAGCTCTATTTTTTTCTGTTTCACTGATTCTACTCTGATTCTTATTTTGTACTCCTTGCACTTACATTGGGTTTGTGTTCCTAGTTTCTAAGGAGCTGGTGTCATTGATTTCAGGCTTTTATTCTATTCTAATATATGTGTTTAGCTGTCTAAATCCCCCTCCAAGTACTGCATTGCATAAATTTTGAAATGCTGTGTTTTCATTTTTACTTGGTTTAAAATAGTTTCTAATTTCTCTTTTGATTTATTTGTTAAACCATGGGTTATTTAGATCTATTTTATTTATTTCCAAATATTTGGGCATTTTTCATATATCTCTGTTATTAGCAGAATTTAACTTCATTATGGTCAGAGAATATACTTTGTATGACTTGAATCCTCTTTTACATTTTCCAAGACTTGTTCTATTGCCCATAAGACAATTTACCTTGGTAAATACTTCACGTGCACTTTAAAAGAATGTGTATTTTGCTGTTAACAGGTGGGATTTTCCATTAATGTCAATTAGGTCAAGCAAGTTGATAGTGTTGTTTACCTTTTCTATATTTTTTATGATGTTCTGTCTATTTATTCTATCAAGTATCTAGAAAGGAGTGTTGAAGACTCTGACTGTAATTGTGGGTTAATCTATTTCTCCTTGTAGGTCTATCATGATGCTTTTGCTTTATTCGTTAACATTTGGGATTGTCATGCCCTCATGAATGGCCCCTTAATTGTTCTGAAGTGACCTTCTTAATGCCTGGTAATATTCTTTATCCTGAAATCTATTAAAATGGCCACTTCTGCTTTCTTTTGATTGGTTTTGACATAGAATCCTGAACTTCATACTATCTACTGCTGTCTAACAAATACCCCAAAACTTAGTAGCTTAAAACAACAGATACTTATCTCACAGATTCCTGTGGGCCAGGAAACTAAGCACAGTTTATCTTGGTGCCTCCGAATCAGGGCTTCTCAGAAGGCTGAATTTTCCCTTTTGCTTCAGGCTCCAACAGAGGCTCAGCATAGTATGGTACTGTTACTCATCCTGTCTTTATTTAAAATTCTGAAAATTTGGTCTTCATATATTTTTGCATTAATTTGTATTTTTAAAAATATTGCATTGAAATATTATTTGTCTTGATTACTGAATTTTCTGGTCCTTCTTTGAATTTCATGACCGAGGCAAGTGGCTTACTTGCCTCCCCCTAGTCCCAGCCATGGATGTGAATACTAAGATGCTTCGGGCCTCCTTAAAAGCCACTTACCATAGCACCATCTTACATTAAACATATTTATATATTTATATTTGAAGCATGTTTCTTGAAGGCAGCAGACAGTTAGGTATTACTTTGTTATCCAACCTGACTATGAGGTTTTAACTGGGTATTTAGACCATTGACATTTAATGTGTTTATTGTTATGGTTAGGCCTGAGTATATAAACCTGTCATTTCTATTCGTTCTATCTGTCTTTGTCCCATTTCGTCTCTTTTTCTGTTTCTTTTTTTTTTTTTTTTGGTGGTAAGAATTAATTGAATAATTTGTTAATGATTCCATTAATTTTTAATTAATTTATTTACTGTAATTCTTTTTTTTAAATTTAGTGCTTCCTGTAGGGTATATAGCTTACATCTTCAACTTATCACAGTCAACCTTAAAGTGAAATGATACAACTTCACATACAGTATAAGAATTTTATAATAGTATACCTCCATTTCTTCCCTCCTTGCCTTTGTGGTATTGCCATATGATCTATTTTTACATATGGTATCAACTCCCTATCAGTTACTGTTTTTGTTTAAGTAGTCACCTATTTTTTAAAAATATTTAAATAGCAACAAAAATTTATATGTATTTATCCATATAGTTACCATTTCTGGTGCTCTTCATCCGTTTGCTAATTCTATAATTCTATCTCATATAATTTTCCTTCTTCCTGAAAGACTTCCTTTAATATTTTTGTAGTGCAGGTCTGCTGGTGATGAATTCTTTCAGCTTTTGAATGTCTGAACAAACGATTTCATCTGTACTTTTGAAAGATATTTTCACTGGGTATAGAATTCTAGGTTGACAGTATTTTTTTAGTTCTTTAAAGATGTTGCTCCATTGTCTTCTCCTTGCATTGTTTCCAGTGAGAAATTTGTATCATCCTTTTTTATTTTTGTATTTTGTCTAATTTTTTAATTGTGGTAAAATATACATGACATACAAATTTACTACCTTAATCATTTTTAGGTATATAACTCAATGGTATTAAGTACATTCATATTGTTGTGCAGCCATTATCACCATCCATCTCCAGAACTTTTTCATCTTTCCAAACTGTATCTCGATCCCATTAATCACTAACTCCTATGCCCTGGCAACCACCATTCTACTTTCTGCCTTTATGGATTTAATGATGCTACCTCATGTAAGCGGAACCATACAATATTTGTGTCTGGCTTATTCTACTCAGCATAATGTCCTCCAGGTTCATCTATGTTGTGACATGTATCAGAATTCCCTTGCTTTTTAAGGCTGGATAATATTCCACTGCATGGATGGACCACATTTTGTTTATTCATTCATCATCAATGGATAGTCGGTTGCTTTCACTTTTTGGCTATTGTAAATAGTGCTGCTATGAGCACAGGTGTACAAATATTGTTTCATCCTTATTTCTATTCCTCTGTATATAAGTCATTCTTTTGTACATATGTAAATGTATCTTTTTTCCTCTGGTTGCTTTTAAGGTTTTATTTCATTTTATTTTATTTTGCTTTACTACTGGTTTCAAGCAATTTGATTAAGATATGTCTTCCTGTAATCCCAGCACTTTGGGAGGCCAAGGTGGGAGGATCACCCAAGGTCGGGAATTTGAGACCAGCCTGACCAACATGGAGAAACCCCATCTCTACTAAAAATACAAAATTAGCTGGGCATGGTGATGCATGCCTGTAATCCCAGTTACTCGGGAGGCTAAGGCAGGAGAATCGCTGGAACCCAGGAGGCAGAGGTTGCGGTGAGCCGAGATCGCACCATTGCACTCCAGCCTGGGCGACAAGAGTGAAACCCTATCTCAGAAAAGAAAAAAAAAAAAAAAAAAGATGTGTCTTGATGCTGTCATTTTCTTCAAGTTCCTCCTTATCAGAATTTGTTGAGCTTTGCAGATCTGTGTGTTATAATTTTCATCAACTTTGGAAAATTTTCTGTCATTTTTTTTCTCCAAATACTTTTTCTGTCTCTTCTGTCCTTTCATTCAGGGACTTTGATTACATGTATATTAGACCACTTGAATTTTTCCATAGCTCACTGCTGCTCTCTTCACTTTTAAACAATTCTGTTTTCTCTCTATGCTTAATTTTGAATATTATCTATTGCAATGTCTTCAAGTTCATTAACCTTTTCTTTCATAATATCCTTACTGTTTTTCCAGCTCAGTGTATTCTTTGTCTCAGACATTGTAGCTATCATCTCTAAATAAATAAATAAATAGTCCCAAATGAACCTGTCCTGTCCTGAGTATATGGTCACTTTCTGCATGATCTCATATCCGGACAGCTTCTGGTTGCATGGGAGAATGACATGAGGTTGACAGAGGGGCAGCCTCTCCTCTTCCAGCAGGCTGGGGGTGCTGCCTCTGGCCAGTGATTGGCCAGTCTTTGGAGTGCAGCCATAGAATCCCCCTAACTAGAGACATAGAAGAGACATATGTAATATATATACATCTCTTCCATGTCTCCACTTGGCTTTCAACATAGGAAATACAGTCATAACACCTGTTTTAATGTTCTTTCCTTGTTAATGCCTTTGTCAGCTCTGGATATTTATTTACTTTTTATCTATATCCTTATTAGATGGCATATTTTTCTGCTTTATGCATGCTTGGCATTTTTTATTAAATATCATACATTGTAATCTTTATCTTTTTAGATGCCAGATATTTTTGTATTCCTATTTTTTAGTTTTGCCTGGGGCATAGTTGAGTTACTTAGAAACACTTGATTTTTTGGGGTGAGGTGGGATTGGAACGGTGTCCAGTCTAGGGCAAATGATCCCCGCCAGTGAGGCAAGAGCCTGCTGTATACTCTGTCCACGGCCTCATGAACTATGAGTTTCCCATGTGGGCTGGTTAGGACAGCCCTCCTCCAGTCCTGAGTGAGAACTGGGCACTTCTCTCTGATCCTTCCGGACAATTTCTTCCCTAGCCTCTGGCTCTTCACACACATCCCTGATCAGTTCTCTGCTGAGTCCTTGGAGGAACTTTCTGCAGCTCTCTAGGGCTCTCCCTCTATGCAGCTCTCTCCAATCCACTCCTCTGTCCTGAGAACCCAGCTGCCTGGGCCTCCTTGGCTCTGAGCTCTGTCTCCTCCTCCAAGTACTCCACTGGGCTCTGCCCAGGTACCTCCTTCTGGGCCATGGTTGGGAAACTCAGGGGAGCAGCTGGGAAGCTGTAGGGCCCCGTTCACCTGTTTGCCATCTCTTGAGGACTACTGTCCTTTGTTGTCGTATGTGCAGTGTATTGAAAACTGTTGTTTCCTGAATTTGATCCTTTTTGTTGTTATTGTTGTTTTGGAGGGGGCGGGAGGAGAGCAGTAAATTCAGTCCCTGTTACTCCATCGTGGTCATAAATGAACATCCTGTTTTTAATCTTTTACATATTTGTACTTAAGTCACCTTTCACCCTTTCTGGTATTTTAAAAATGTGTCTTCTTTCTTATTTAAATGCGCCTATTTTGTTGGTCTTTTAAAAAACAGCAGTTTTTCATTATATCAACTTAGTTAACAGTTCACTTTTCTGCCTTGTTAATTTCTCTCCTCCTCATCATTAATTAGCCCTTATTACTTCTTTCACACATATTTCGGGTTTTGTTTTCCTGATCTCCTAGAGTTGAATGCTTTGTTCACTTTTGTTCAGAGTTTCTTGTTTCGGAGGAATTTGTTTGAGGTTATAAAGTTTTTTGGCTGTTGATTTTCGAAAGGCCCATGATCACTGTTTTCATTCTTCTTAAACCTAAGAGTTGTTTAGAAGACTGTTCTTTTCTTCATGCATTTGCCATGTTAGAGCTGGGACTTTGGGGTTTTCTTTCTAGCCTTATTGTACTGTGGTTAGGAAACGTGGCCCAGAGAATGAGACCTGTCTTCTCCATGGTCTCATACCCGGGCAGCTTTCAGTTTCATGGGGGAATGACATGAGCTTGACAGAGAAGCAGCCTCTTCTTTTCCAGCCAGCTGGGAGTGCCGCCTCCTGCCTGGAACTGGCCAGTCCTTGGAGTGCAGCCACAGAATCTCCCTCTCAGCCCCAAGCCTCCACGGTGGGGTAAGGGGACGGATGTAAAGGAGGCTGAACCAAGGGAAGCCCATGATCCACTCCTGAGTCTCTGCCTCTCACTCACTGGCCAGCCTTGAGCACGTGGCTTTTCTCTGGGCCCCAGCTTCCTGGTCTGTCATGCGAGGCAATGGCTTTCTACTGGCTTTCTAAAATGTAGTTCCGTTATTATTCAGGTATGGTGAGGCCAACAGATCGAGAGTCAATTGCCATAGAAGAGATAATTGTTAGCTCACAGTTCTCAAAGCGGGTGGCATGCCACAGGCAGCGGGGCGGGCACAGGCACAGGGTCGGTCAGAAGGTGGGGGAGCCACAGGGAGACCTGGGCAAGAACCTTTCTTGTGGTTTCTGTAGAAGGAATGGGCAAGGCAGGGTATATGGGTTTAGGATTGGCCAGGCTGACATAAGTTCAGAACTCTAGGGCCTAGGGGCTGCTGGTTGTCTGGGACCTTCCCTTGGGGTAACAAGGGCAGGTGTAGTGCCCTCAAAGGTAAGACCCTGATAGAGGAAGGGGTTGGGCTCTGCGTTGGTGGGTTTGCCCATGAAAAGGGTCTCCTTCACTGTCTCTAGGAATTAGTTTATCCTGGGAGGGGTGGCCCTTCATAGTCAGCAAGTCCCCAAGATGTCACACTGTCAGATACAGAGACTAGAAAACTGGTATCACAGGGGACCTGAGGCTCTCCCGGTCCAGATGTGTGTTGTCTAAGACGGGAGCCACCAGCCCTGGGTGCCACTGAGCATTGAGACGTGGCCGGTCCACAGTGAGAGGTACTGTGAGTGTAAAAAGACGCACGCCGGATTTCAAAAACCTTGGTATGAAAAGAAAATGTGAAACAGCTCTCAAGTAATTTTTATACTGATTACATGTTGAAATGCTAATATTTTGGGTATGATGTTGAAGTTCATTCCACCCGTCCCTCTTCAGGTATTTTTTAAGTGTCGCTACGAAACGATCTGAAGTTACTGATGATACCTCCCAGCCCGCGGCCCACACTGGCACCCCCCAGATCCCCCCTGTGTCCTACCGCATCTCCCCAACTCCCGCCACACATCTGCCTGACAATCAGTCAGGCTTCGTGACTCCCCAGGGTGCCCCACACTTCCAGCTCCTGCACCCCAGTTCCAAACGGCCTGTGGGAGACTTCAAAGTCAATTTGAGCCTTGCTCATCCCTGGAGCAGGAGCCGGCTCCCCGGGGGGACAGCAGGACCGAGGGCTGCAGCTCCCGGCTGGCCAGCTACAGAGCTGTTCTTGGACGCTCTAGGCTCATCTCATGTGAGTGAGGCTCACGTTGACTTTGAAGTCACCCTTGGTCACCAGGAGCTCTGACCAACCAGGCCGAAAGCTTCCCCTGGGCCATCGCCAACCCCGGAACTGCCTGCTCCTGCCCCTCTTTGCTGGGCCTGGGCTCCCCAACATCCACCCAGGTCATGAATACACATGAGCAGCACCTTAGATGTCGAAGGAGCAGGTCAGGTTAGCCTATTGGACAGAGCAGGCCCGGGCAGCACAGCTCCCTGTGGAGCACAGGGGCGAGGAGGCTTCAGGAGGCCACTGGGATCAGGGAAGGCTTCCAGGAGATACAACGTCCGAGCTGGAGAGGAGGCAGTGAGTGATGGCACGTGAGGGTGCTGGGCCTGAACCCCGAGGGCCCGGACATGATCTAGCTGGGCTGGATGCTGGGTAAGGCCCCCCCACTTCCAGGCGGTGCACAGACAGAAGCAGCAAACTGAGAACCCAGGAGACCAGGGCAGAGGCAGGGGCAGTGTCCAAGGCAAGATGGGGACCTGGCTGGAGAAGCGGCTGGGCTGACGTACAGCAGAGGGCAGGGGAGAGGAAGGGCAGTGCCCACACTGCCGACCTGGTGTTCTCTGCTGCGGAGGGGATCTTTCCTTAGAGGAAAGGAGGCCGAGTTCAACCTGCAACAAGTTGAGTTTGAGGAGCTGCAGGAGGATGGGGGTCGGGCCAGGTGTCACGTGGACATACCAGTCCTCTGGAGCAGCTGTCAGCAGACCGAGGCCCATGGGCCAGATCCAGCCCCTGGCCTGCTTTTGTATTGCCCAAAAGCTAGGAATTTTCTTTAAATTCTTAAGTGGTTAAAAAATTAAAATCCATACCCATTAGCTATCATCAAAAAACTATTATCACCTCAGCCAGGCTGGGCAACATAGTCAGACTCTATCTCTACAAAAAATAAAAATTTGGCCGGGCATGGTGGCACGTATCTGTAGTCTCAGCTACTCGGGAGGCTGAAACTAGAGAATGGCTGGAACTCGGGAGGCAGAAGTCGCAGTGAGCCAAGATTGCGCCACTGCACTCCAGCCTGGGAGACAGAGCGAGACTCCGTCTCAAAAACAAACAAAAACAAAACGAAACGAAACAAACCCAGAAAGCACCAAGTGTGGGCGGGGATGTGGAGACATCAGAACCTCGTGCGCAGCAGGAATGTACTGTGGGCAGCCACTGCGGAAAACAACATGGTGGTCCCTCAAAAGGTTAAACAGAGGTTTGCCGTATGACCTGGCAACTCCGCTTCTCCGTCTATCCCCAAAAGAACTGAAAGCAGGATCTCAAAGAGATATTTGTACCCCCATGTCCACAGTAGCGTCACTGACGGTAGCCCAAGGGTGGAAACCACCCCAGCATCCACTGACGGAGGAACGGATCAACACCGTGGTCTACCCATACAGTGGAATATTATTCACCCATAAAAAGAGAGGAAATCCTTATGCAGGCTACGACATGGATGAAGCTCGAGGGCATCAGCATCAGTGTAAGAAGCCGGTCCACAAAAAGACAGATGCTGTAGGATTCCACTTACAGGAGGTCTCCAGAGCAGTCAAATCTACAGACACAGAGTGGATGGTGGGTGCCAGGGGCTGGGGGAAGGGTCATGGGAAGCTGCTGTTTAATGGGGACAGACTTTCGGTTTGGGAAAATGAGAAACTTTTGGAGATGGATGGTGGTGATGATTGCACAGCCACATGAATATACTGAATTCCACGGAACCGTGCACTTACAAATGGTTAAGAAGGTCCATTTTATGTCATGTGTATTGAACCACAGTCTGAAAATTCGGAGTATTTTGTAACAGTGAGTGTGACCTGGACTTCATGTTTCAGTGACCAGGAAGCAAGTTTTGTTATTTCTTCCCTGCCCAAGCCTGCATTTGCGCCCCAAGGCAGACGACTCGTGGCAGAGACATGTGACCGTCAAGGCCGAAAATACTTACCACGTGTTCCTTTGCAGAAAAAGTTTGCCTTACCCCTGTTCAAGAGCTCAGGAATGAAGTCGGAGATAGGTAGAGCCTGGGAGAGGTGCCAGGGTGCCCAGGCAAAGGCCCCATGAGGCCGCATGCTTATGTTCGAAGGTCTTCTAACTGCTTTATCAAGATACAGTTCACATTCCACAAAGTGTACATTTCAATGGTTTTTTTGTGTGTTGTACAGAGCTGTGAAGCCAACAGGACAGGCCATGTTAGAACGTTCTTATCCTCTGGGAAAGAAACCACGTACCCTTTCACAGTCACCCCCATCCCTCTGTTGTCACTCCCCAGCCCCTGGCAACCGTGAATCTCCTTTCTGTCTCTGTGAATTTATCGACTCCGCACATTTCATAGACTGAGAGTCTCACGCTACGTGGTCCTCGGTGTCTGGCTTCGTTCACGCGGCCTCGTGTTCTCGAGGTTCACCAGCTTCGTCTCTTTTTAGGGCTGAGTAATCTTCCATTATTCTGGACCATGTTTTGTTTATCCACTCATCTGTTGATGGACATGTGGCTATTTTGAATCCTGCTGCTGGAAACATTCATGTGGGCACCGTGCTTACCAAGGCTGTATTCTCAGAACGGACTGAGAGGCCAAGAGTTCCAGAGAAGACGGCTCAGATAGTGTGGAGACTCACCAGTCCAGGAGACAGCATGCTTCCGAATTAAGGGGGGTGCTGCAGTGTCAAATGCTGCACAGCCGGAGGCACCCAGGAATGAAGGAGGGGCCGAGGCAGGGAGAGACACAGGTCCCTAGGGAATTATTTTTAAGCTAGGCTTTGGGGGCAGACGGGGTTTCCACAGCGGTGGGAGGACCAGATTGGGAAGAGGATGAAGATAGAGAGAGGTGTTGGTGGTGGGGGGGGACTGGCCTGGACATGGCACAGCAGACGCAGGTGGGTGCAGGACTGTGCCTGAGGGCAGGGTAGCAAGAAGCCATGCCTGGGCAGTGAGAGGCTTCAGTTTTTAGACAGGAAGTTCTGGGGTGATCTGAAGAGGGCTTGCAGGTCCTGCTCCGGAGATCTTACCAGCTGTGGAGGGGCTTGGACGAAGACCGGGTAGAGAGCAACCCAGCCGCTGTACCGCTCGTCCCTGTTGACCCCCGGGGTGTATGCAGCCACACCCAGAGCAGCAGAGGGCCCACCCATCAAGTCACAGAATCCTGAGAAATAATACATCGTTGTTCAGACCGCTAAAATCCTGGTGGCTCCTTACACAGCAACAGATGACCGAGGGGCTCCCAGCCCGGGAGGTGGAAATCCAGCAGGGATTTCCAAGGCCTAGTTTGCAGGGCTCCAGGATCGTTCCTAGATCCTGGTCTTGCAGCCTTGACAAGGGGAAGGAGGGAGGCAGCAGAAGGAGGGCAGAACAATCCATGCCAGGCTGTGATTTGCCAAGTGACCATCTGGGAAGAATGGGCTCTCAGACCAGGGACAGGGAGCAGAGGCAAGCCCGCATCTGCCCTGGTTGCAGAACCCGGATTCAGACTCAGGGCCCCGATTTCTGCCTGGATCGCTCCACTGGGCGGAGGAGTGACTGTGGACACATCCAGGGTTCTCTCCAAGTCGGCTTCCTCATCTGCCAAATAGAGACCGCAGACCACCAGCTCCCAGGCAGGTGCTACTCTTCCGGCCCCTCCCAAGGCAGGAGGGCCAGGCGTACTCGAGACACAGGTGTGCTGGGGGCCCAGGTGGGCCAGCCAGCAGCATCCTGCAGGGTAATGGGAGCAGGTGGGCACCCCGAGGCTGGCAGTAAACACTGGCTATCTGCCCCCAGGCTCCCAGGAGGGGTCTTGGGCCTCACCTCCTCCGGCCGGAACAGGAAAGCAGCTCCAGGCAGCTGGGTCCACAAAAATCTCCGTTCCCTGAGGTCTCAGAGGCAGTGGCCCAGGAGCATCTGGTCACCTTCGGGAAAAACCGGCTTGGCAAAGGCTCCCCCGAGGGCACGCGTTTCCCGGACAGTGAGGCAGGACCTAAACTCTTCCGTTAACACTACATTTTTCGCATTTCTGCAGTGTTTGCACTCTCAGGCCCCACCATTTCCCCGCATCTCTTAGGGAGAAGTTCTCGACGTCCCACCTCCCCTGGAAGGGTGCTGCTCCCAGAGACCTTCAGGCCAATGGCCCAATCTCAGTGCCCTCAGGGGAGAGGGGGGTGCAGAAAAACAGCCTGGGTCACAAAAGAGGTGCGAGGGCTGTGAGATCCCGGAGGCACCGACGGGAAGCGAGACGGAGAACAGGAGGGCAGGACGGGCTGGAGGTGGGGGATACTGCAGATGGAGGGAGCCACGGTGGGGGAGGGCGTGGACCTGACCGTCCTGGCACAAGGCGGTCGGGTGCAGACCTCCAGGCCCTCCGGGTTAAGGTGCCGCCCAGAGCCCTCAGGCCGGGGGCGCACGGAAACCACAGGCAGGGTGCGCGTGGAGGGACGGGGAAAGCGGGGCGGGTTGGGGAAGGCGCCCCGGGAACCTGAACCTCCCACCCCGCCTCAGTCTCGACCACTCCTTAAGCCCCACCCCGCCCCAGGTAAGGCGCAGTCCACCCCCATTCCCAGTAGATTAACGCACAGGTGGGGGCGCGCTCGGGACATAGCTGCGCTAGGGGACAGCGCGCCCAGCCCAGTCGCGGGGGCGAGGAGCAGGGCGGGGCCCAGCAGGAACCCAGCTTTGTTAGCGATGCTCCCCGTGAGCCACGCGCCACGCGTACGCGCTTCCTCAATGGGGCCGGGCGTGGAGCCGCGCCCTGCGCGATTGGCCAAACGGGTGGCCCACGATTGGCTGAGACCCTGGCCCCCGCCTCCTCGGCCCCAGGAGGGTGGGGCGTGGGTGTGGGCTGCGCGGCGCGTGCTGCCCCCGGGGATCTTGCGCGCCTCCCGAACAGCCGTGTTGTCGCCAGGGCCGCGCCTTCCCTCCCACAGCGCGCGCTGCGCGTGCGAAGGTCTGGCGGCTCTTGGGACTGGCGGGGCTGCGCGCGGGGTTAGGGTGGGGGTACGGGAAGGCTCAACCCAGGACCTGCGTACCTTGCTTTGGGGGCGCACTAAGCACCTGCCGGGAGCAGGGGGCGCACCGGGAACTCGCAGATTTCGCCAGTTGGGCGCACTGGGGATCTGTGGACTGCGTCCGGGGGATGGGCTAGGGGGACATGCGCACGCTTTGGGCCTTACAGAATGTGATCGCGCGAGGGGGAGGGCGAAGCGTGGCGGGAGGGCGAGGCGAAGGAAGGAGGGCGTGAGAAAGGCGACGGCGGCGGCGCGGAGGAGGGTTATCTATACATTTAAAAACCAGCCGCCTGCGCCGCGCCTGCGGAGACCTGGGAGAGTCCGGCCGCACGCGCGGGACACGAGCGTCCCACGCTCCCTGGCGCGTACGGCCTGCCACCACTAGGCCTCCTATCCCCGGGCTCCAGACGACCTAGGACGCGTGCCCTGGGGAGTTGCCTGGCGGCGCCGTGCCAGAAGCCCCCTTGGGGCGCCACAGTTTTCCCCGTCGCCTCCGGTTCCTCTGCCTGCACCTTCCTGCGGCGCGCCGGGACCTGGAGCGGGCGGGTGGATGCAGGCGCGATGGACGGCGGCACACTGCCCAGGTCCGCGCCCCCTGCGCCCCCCGTCCCTGTCGGCTGCGCTGCCCGGCGGAGACCCGCGTCCCCGGAACTGTTGCGCTGCAGCCGGCGGCGGCGACCGGCCACCGCAGAGACCGGAGGCGGCGCAGCGGCCGTAGCGCGGCGCAATGAGCGCGAGCGCAACCGCGTGAAGCTGGTGAACTTGGGCTTCCAGGCGCTGCGGCAGCACGTGCCGCACGGCGGCGCCAGCAAGAAGCTGAGCAAGGTGGAGACGCTGCGCTCAGCCGTGGAGTACATCCGCGCGCTGCAGCGCCTGCTGGCCGAGCACGACGCCGTGCGCAACGCGCTGGCGGGAGGGCTGAGGCCGCAGGCCGTGCGGCCGTCTGCGCCCCGCGGGCCGCCAGGGACCACCCCGGTCGCCGCCTCGCCCTCCCGCGCTTCTTCGTCCCCGGGCCGCGGGGGCAGCTCGGAGCCCGGCTCCCCGCGTTCCGCCTACTCGTCGGACGACAGCGGCTGCGAAGGCGCGCTGAGTCCTGCGGAGCGCGAGCTACTCGACTTCTCCAGCTGGTTAGGGGGCTACTGAGCGCCCTCGACCTATGAGGTAACAGCCGGGAGGCAGGGAGGAGGGAGGGCCGGGGGCCGGGGTGGAGGGACGGGGTGGGCAGGCCCGGCGGGTCGCGCCCCCAGGAGCCCGCGGAGCCGAGCGCCAGGCCCGAGCGATGGCTTCGATTTCGCTCACTCTTCATTTCCCCCAAAGTTTTTCAAGCCCGTGCAAGACCGGCGTTTGTTTGTCCGGGATTGCAAAACTTCCCCTCGCGGCTCAGCCGCCGACGAGGGAGGGGTAGACGAGGGGAGGGGAGCGGCCGTCGGGCCGTTGAGGTCTCTAGTGCTGGCGGATCCTGGGGCAGATTGGGGTGCTGGAGGCGGGGTGACTTTGCATTGCAAATCGCGCTCCCGGGCCGGGGCGGCAGAAATGAGTCGGCGGGCGCGGAGCCCTGACTCACCGCGGCTCCGAGCGCCCGCCCCGCCCCCGCCGTGTCTCAGACCGAGTCGCGGCACCCACGGACTCAAGACTCCAAAACCAACCGAGCAAACGAAACTGCCGACTTCGCTTGGGGGAGGTGCGGGCAGGGCCGGCCCGGGCGGGGTCTGCCCCGGGCCCGCGCCCGCGTTGACGCGCGTTTGGTTCCCCACCTTCCCCCCGCAGCCTCAGCCCCGGAAGCCGAGCGAGCGGCCGGCGCGCTCATCGCCGGGGAGCCCGCCAGGTGGACCGGCCCGCGCTCCGCCCCCAGCGAGCCGGGGACCCACCCACCACCCCCCGCACCGCCGACGCCGCCTCGTTCGTCCGGCCCAGCCTGACCAATGCCGCGGTGGAAACGGGCTTGGAGCTGGCCCCATAAGGGCTGGCGGCTTCCTCCGACGCCGCCCCTCCCCACAGCTTCTCGACTGCAGTGGGGCGGGGGGCACCAACACTTGGAGATTTTTCCGGAGGGGAGAGGATTTTCTAAGGGCACAGAGAATCCATTTTCTACACATTAACTTGAGCTGCTGGAGGGACACTGCTGGCAAACGGAGACCTATTTTTGTACAAAGAACCCTTGACCTGGGGCGTAATAAAGATGACCTGGACCCCTGCCCCCACTATCTGGAGTTTTCCATGCTGGCCAAGATCTGGACACGAGCAGTCCCTGAGGGGCGGGGTCCCTGGCGTGAGGCCCCCGTGACAGCCCACCCTGGGGTGGGTTTGTGGGCACTGCTGCTCTGCTAGGGAGAAGCCTGTGTGGGGCACACCTCTTCAAGGGAGCGTGAACTTTATAAATAAATCAGTTCTGTTTACCAGTGGCTCCTATCACCTACACTTCCCAGGTGACGGCCAGACTTCCGTGGTCACTACTCCTCAAACCCTGCTGCCTCCTCCGTAGGGTGGGTCTGGGTGAGATCTGGAGTGCAGCCAGGCCGTTGATAGCGGAGCCATTGGGACACCTTGTGAGGCTGGGGGCATCCTCCAGGAGGTGGTGGGCTGGTGGGTTGTCCAGACAGGGCTACTCGCTGGCTTGGAAGCTGCAGGCTGGAGGCTGCTGACCCATCCCGAGGGCTGGGGTAAGTGCTGGGTGTGGGGCTAGGCTGAGGTGGTCTGACCAGAGAGCACCGGCTGTGGGGCTGAGGGCATGGGCTCCTGCGCAGGCCACCACGCTCAGATCTCCACTAACGTGGCAGCTGGGCAGCCCAGGGCAAGTGGGTTAACTTGCAAATGGGTTTGACCAGACCCACCTCAACGGCCTCTGGGAGGAGTTAGTGAGAGGTGCCTGGAGGCTGCCCTCTCGCTAGCTTTGGGTTTTGCCCGCACTGGGGAGGCCCTGCAGGTCTCCGCTCACCTGAATTCTAAGAGCGGCTCTTGAAAGGAACAAGGAAGGCTTGGAAGCTTTGCGCCAGGCTCCCCGCAGCCGGAGAGCTGGCACTGGGATATTACACGGCTATACCTTTGACTCAGGGCCTAGGAGGCTTTGATGTCTCACTGTACCGAAAGCTGCCTTTTAGTGTCCTGGTGGGGGAGGGGTTGTGGGGCTCCCCCGGTTTCTTTAGGGCGCAGAGGCACCCCTTCCTTCAGAAAGGAGTGGTTGGGACAGAGCCGTGGGAGCCCTGCGAGGTGGGAGCAGCTGGTGTTGTCCCAGAGTGGGTGGCTCCTGAATAACCACGGCAACAGGACACCCAGGCTACCGGGATGCCTGGGTCTCAAACGTCAGGCTGGCCAGGTCCCTTCTTATCAGAGGAGCTCAGGGCTCCTCTCTCGCCAGCTGCAGCCTCAGTCCAGGTGGGGGCTCCTCAGCAGCCAAGGTCAAAGCCGAGTCTGTAGCGGGGGTCAAAGGGGTCAGCTGGTCTGATGAGGACCAGGCTCAACTGGGGTCAGTGGACCAGCTGTGGCTTGGGGCTGCAGGGCTCAGGGAACTGGCCTTGGCCAAGGGACAGGAGGGGGCACATTGCCGTGGTCACCCAGGGAGGGACATCCCACAGGCTTCTCCCAGAATCCACACCCGGGTCGGTGGCCTCCCTGAGCCCTCCCCAGGACTCCACACCTTGACCTCAAGGAAAGGCCCACAGCTGCCAGGACCACAGGGGGCTGTTGGGTGGGTGAAGAGGGTAGGGGGGAAACGATGGAAGGCCAGGGCAGAGGAAACGACTGCCACCCACTGGCGTGAAGCGGACAAAACTCTGCAGAGGGTAAGTAGTGCTGCCATTTTTGTTTTCCCATTTTCCCATTTTTCATTTTATTATGGAAAATTTCAAACATACACAAAAGCACCGAGGCCTTTGTTGAGCAGTCTCTGTGCCAGGACTTAGGGTGCATCCGTGTGCCACACAAGCCCGTGCTCGTGGAGCCTGGGTCCTAGCAGTGGACACAGGATCCAACCGTTGTACAGTCTGGCCGGTGGAGGACGCACTGGGCTCCAGGGCAGCCCTGGGAAGCCTCCAGCACCAGTTTCAAGGCCCTTCCTGCCCCATCCATCCCCCACGCCATCCCTGCGTTGCTTTGAAGCAAATCCCAGACTTTGAATCCTTTCACCCGTCATGTTTCACGTGTGCCTCTAAAGGAAACCGCAAAAACATCACCCGCTCAAATGAACCACCGTTCTTTCATATCATCGGGGACCCAGCCAATGGCGCAGTCCTCAGGGGGTCTCGTGGTTTTGTGCAGTTGGCCTTATAGAATCGGGATCCGCCGCAGGTCCACACATCAAGTTTGCTTAATAGGTCTCTTAAGCGCCTTGTAAGCAATTTCCCTCCAGTGTCTTCATTGAAGAAGCGGAGATGTCTGTTCCGTTGAGCCCCCGTGTGCGTGGTGGTGTTGATGGCACCGTGCTGGGTGTTGTTATTGGGAGCCTGTCCCTGTATTTCCTGTAGGACAGGGTATGGGGTGCCAGAAGCGGACCTTTGATCAAGTTTGGGGTGGCCTGCAAATGGGGTTGACACCAGGCCCACCTAATGAGTGTGACAGAGATGCCAAGAAAGATCCGTTCCAGGGAGACAAGGGACTCCCTTTCCGAGTTTGCCTCGAGAACTACCCAGCAAGCTTGTGGAAACTTCCATAGACCTCACAGCGATCTAGGCCCAGGCTATCCCCTCGCCTTCACTGGGGCAGAATCGCGTCGTGGTCTAGTGGCTTCCCACCCGTTGCCACCTCCTTCCTGTGTATTTCCTTTCACACGGGCGTTTCCCCGAATGCAGTCCTTATCCAGTTCATCCCACTTGGCACCTGCTGCTCAGAGGATGTAGTGCTGCTGGACTGCATCTCCCAGGAGACAGGACTTGTAGCGACGATGTAACTTGCTGTCCCAGCGGGGACATTTTTGAGACTGGAAAGGGCTGTGGTTGATAACCAGGACCACAGGCGAGTCTCCTGGGCACAGTGGGCTGCTGATTGCCGTGTTATGAAGACCCCTCCCCACACTGTCATTCACCCAGTGCCCAGTAAAGATGAAGTGCCTGAAGTCACAGGCAAGCTGGTCCAACCCACCTTCTCTTGCTGTCGTTTTGTTTTAGGCTCTCAGCAGCCTAAAGTCATGGTTTTAGTTTCTGTCTCTAGTGATAAGCAGAAAAGAGGGATGAGGAAGGGACCCTGCTGGCTCAACCAGAAACAGAAACTAAGAATCCATGACTGTCTTCTCTCCCTTGGACTCAGCTTGAAAATGATGAGAATTGAGATTTAAGCCCTGGACTCTTTCACTTCCACATTCTTGCAATGTTCACGCCTTCCAGGAAGTGAGGCTGAGCCTGGCGGCTCCTTTGGGGACATGACATCCTTAGCAGTTCAGCATTTGAGATCAGTGAGCCTGGACAGAGCCTCACCTGGCCCAGGTGCCAGCCTGTCCTGGGCTCTGCTGTGGGGGCAGCAGGGCTCTGCTAGGAGCTCATGGTCCAGGCCTAGTCCCCACCTGGAAGTTAGAAACTGATTCCAGGGAGAAGGTGATCGTGATGTCATGTTCAAGGTGCTAAAATATAAAGCATTTTTCTTTCTTCTATAGTCAACCTCTTGACTTACTATTTTATACTTCTTATTTTATACTCACTATTTAATGCCATTCTGAGTAAGAAAGATTAGGAATTTAAGTGACTAGCGTGAATGTAGTTATCCATCTTTATATTATGTGATGCCAGTTTAAAATGCAAGCATAAGAGCATTTAACTTCTATGCGGAATCACTGGAATGACACAGTGTGTGTTTTGTCCTGGCACAGGCGTCTCTATTTCATTTGCTACTAGAACAGTGGAAACTGCACAAAAATGAAATCAGCTGATTTCACTCCTTGACGCAGGCTTGTTCCACCAGCACCCTCCACCTCCTGCTCGCTGATGGGCGAGGAAGGAGGGAAGGGACAAGTTCAAAGACAAAAGGCACTGTGGGTAGATCCATCAGCAAGAGACCTCGGCTAACACAGAGAAGTCGCACAAGTAAGAAAGGACATGACAGGTTCCCGGGTCCTGCACGTTTGTTAGAACACCACTGGCTTCCTGCTGCATCCTTAGCAAGTGCGGATTTGAATGGAAAACGTGGCTGCTCGGTGGCCATCAGCGCCCGGCTTGCTCATGCGTAGGTGTGACACGCTGCCTTGCACTGCTGTGGGTCCCTGGCACCTTTTCTGTGTGGCCTGGTGTCTGTGGGCATCGTGGATGCGCTACTCAAGTGGGGGGACGAGTGAGGGTGGATATACATTTGGCGCCTTGTGCACGCTCTCCTTTGCTTATGTGAGTGCTGCTGTATGCCGTTGGCCTGCACCTGCAAAACAAGTTAGAAGATAAAAGTAGTCAGATTCCAAAGGCCAGGCAAGGTGGCTCACACGTGTCATCCCAGTGCTTTGGGAGGCTGAGGCCGGAGGATTGCTTGAGCCAGGAGTTCAAGACCAGCCTGGGCAACACTGGGAGACCCCATCTCTAATAAAAAATAAAGCAAAATAAAAAATAAAAAAAGAACTTTAAGATGGCAGTAGCAAAGCATTAAACCAAGGTTGGGGCCCTGTTCATGGCGGGGCCTACGTGCCCTACGCTGGTGAAACCCACTCTGGTGCTACCCCTCAGAGCTGGGGCAGGGGGGCCATGTAGAGAAGCCCCTCCACATCACCTAATCTCTGCCCCACCCTAAGACAAGTGGAATAGTCAGATGGCGATCCCCCAAATGGAAGCAAGCTTGTCCCACTCAATGCAGAAAGGGATGGGGCAGGGACACTCGCTGTGAGCAGGGTCCCTGGTGTCCATGCACCTTCGCTTCTCCCAAAGTGGCCTTCAAAGACCTTCAGTCATCCCAGAGACCTCAGCAGCACAGCTGTGCCCAGAGGTGATTAGCCAGCCGGAGAGAGCCTTGGACAGAGCTAGACAGGGCAAGGTGGACGGGGTTGGAGGCGGCCTGCCCCTCAACGCCATGTCCTCAGCTGTAGCACGCACAGCCCAGAGGGCTTGTGGGGGGAGACCCAAACTCTGCTGACCCTTTTCCCAGCAGCGGGGCACTGGGGGAGGGGTGGTTCCTTTGGGGCCACACCTTCAGTCTTTGTTCCCATAAAAATCGGGAGTGGGGCCAGGTGGGCCCAGAGGCCTGTCCAGTGCTGTCCTGAGCCTGTGGGCTATTAGCTGGCCTTGAGCTCTTCGGGGTCTCAGGGGTGGCCCAGGTCCACCTGGGAGCCCACAGAAGCTGGGGAGGACCCTGAAGGCTGGGAGGGCAGGGCAGTAGGTGGAGGGTGGGGGCTGCCCATCAAGAGGGGCCCTTCCTCCTCCCAGCCCCCTCTGAGGGGTCTCACCCCGACTTCCAGATGCAGGGAGGCTCAGTGATCTGCCCGAGGCCCACAGGTATCCAGAGGTGCAAGGCTTAAACCCACAGTACAGAGCTTGAAGCCCTCACACCGATGCCTCCCTTGGGTCTGCCTGGAGGGGGGTGCTGTTCTTGCTGTTTTTCCACCGAAATGGAGGGTCTTGTCTGCAAGCCAGTGAGACGGAAGCCAGCACTCAGCCCAGGCCTCCTGACACCCTCAGCCTCCCAAAGGGTGGGGAAAGCGTCCTGTGCCCTGGGGCCCGGGGAGGTGCAAGTGGGGCAGAGGCCTGGGGAGCATGGGAGGGGCTCCCTGAGAGCTGGGGAGGGGTTAAAGACTGAGCCCTTAGCACCCCATGCTCTGGCCCCTCCGAAAGGAGGGAAGAGGGCTGGGCCGGAGGGCTGGCTGCAGGCAGGTGCAGGCCTCTGCCAACCTCCCAGGGCCTCCCGGCTGTGGGCTCCTTTTCCCTTCACCGCCTTCCTACCCCCTCCCCAGCTGCTGGCTGTGATTAATTGGGTGAATCAATCAACAGGAGGCCCCAGTGCCACAGAAACCTTCCCACCCACCCACTGGCCTTGCCCCCAGCGATGTCCCCCGCTGAGGATGAGACCTTGCTCCCACTTACGTATTTGAAACAGGCCATTCCCAGGGGCTCCACAGAGGTGGATTCCCAGCCCAGAGGCAGGGAGGGGCCTCCTGGGGGGGTCACCTGTCAGCTCCCCCAGAGTAGCCCCTGTCCAAGGCCACAGATCAGCAGAGGGAGAGACAGATGTGTGCCTGCTCAGCCGTCCTGCCTGTTGTGATCCAGGCAGGGGCAGCGTCACAGCCTTCAGCCCCAGACCCGCTGTCCTGCGAGAAGGACAGGGAGGGCTGGGGGTTCGCAGCTAGGCCTGCCTCCGGGTCCCTGTTCTGCCTAGGAGGTGACACCATCAGGATAAAAAGTTCCTATGTTAATTAATGTCCCTGAGGATGGACTTGGGGTCCTAACAGCAGGAGAGGCTGCAATGGGTTGGCCTGTGCTGCGTGAAAAAGCCCCGCACACTAGGGGGCCTACACAGCAGAAATTAGTCTCTCACCATTCCGCAGGCCCCCCACCTCCGAAGGCCTCTCTCCTTGGCTTGTAGACGCTGCCTTCTCCCTGTGTCTTCACGTGGCCATCCCTCTGTGCGTGTCTGTGTCTTCACCTCCTCTTACTAAGGATATCGGTCACATGGGATTAGGGTCCCCCCAATGACCTCACTTTAACTTAATTACCTCTTTAAAGGCCCTGGCTCCAAAAACAGCCACATGTGAGTCTGGAGGGCATAAAATCCAACCCATAATGGGCAGGAACAAGAGGGCTTTCTAAAACTCCAGCCCTTAGGGCCACTTCCCCCTCCCAACCTCTCCATAGTTACAGCCTCTTCTTCTTGGGTCAAGCACTGCCCCTTCTGGACCTCTCTTGTAGAGGGTAGAGTAGACAGGGCTGAGGACGGAAAGGCCTAGGGCCCCGTGTGGCCTGGGATGAGGCATCTCCTGGGACCAGGACACCCTGGGATGCCGAGAGGGTGGACCAGAGGGTCCCTGAGCCAATCTTCTGAGAGCCTGCCCTCCAAGGTTCCAAGCGCCTCGGCGAGCACACGGGCCGTCCCACAGGCTGCAGGGCTGTCGGAGGGTGGGCATACGTCATGTGACAGGGACCCCAGGGCTACCCTGATTGACCATGGAGGGGCTGCAGTCCCCGGTGGGGTGCTGGGAGCTGGTGTTAGGGAGAAGTTGGCCTGGGAGCCCTGTTTTTGGGATCCACTTTTTTCTCTGCTTGTCCTGTTGTCGTGCTCAGGTCCACATGGATGCCAGGTCGTGGCCCAGGGCCCACGCTGATGGCCCGCAGCCTAGCCCAGGCTTGCTCTCCTGATACCATTCGGGAGGCTCCTGGGTCCTCTGCCCACCCCCTCCTCCTGGCATTTGCCTACGAGCCTTGGGATTCTGTCCAGGCTGGCCAGGCCCCCACGGCTGGCCACCACCCGCGTGATAAGCATGCAAATCTCTAAACGAAATGCAATTAATACCCAAATGAGAGCCTGGGAGCAGCTTGGGCTGGGCCTGAGAGGCTGGGCTGGGCTCAACCTTGGGGCCCCAAATATTTGTCTCTCATTTGAATGTCTTTTGTGGGCTGTCAGGCAGGGCCTTGAAAAGGGGTCTCAACGGCTCTCACAGGCACGCCAGGTTTCGGGAGCTCTGAGCCATTTGGTGCTCATGCAACACTTGTTCCGGGACCCGCCTGGACTACCTTCCAAGGCCTTCTGGGCCCCAGAGCCCGGCCCCTCCCTGAGCACCCCTTCCAGAGTCCCCAGCCCCCACCAGGCTGGCTCTGTGCTGCCCACACCGCCATGCAGGGTGGACAGAGCAGAGAGCTTGAGACCCATTTGTCGGAAGTGGAGACTGAGGCTTGAGGCAGGATGAATTTGTGGGAGGACCCGGGGCATTGAGGGGAAAGCTGGATGGGTCTGGGCTCCCTGTGTCCCGGGCCAGAGCCAGGCTTTGTGGGAGGGGTGTGGCAGCTGGCAGGCTGGCATGGGGCAGCCCCTCAGGGCCTGTGGCTTTCTCTGGCGTGGCTGTGGGTGTGCACTGATGTGTGTGTGCATTAGTGTGGGGCAGGCGCCCACTGCCACTCCAGCGCCACTGCACGGGTATGCGGCCCTGGGGCATCCCCCGGAGGTGACGGCCTCTCCATCCGTGGAGGGCATGAGCCTGGCACTTCTGCAGTCAATTGTCCTCTGTATAGGTGGCTCCCTGCACCACCCTCGCCGGAATCCCATCGTGGGGCCCATCTGGCACTCATGTGTGCTTCGGTCCCTGTCGACCTCCAGCAACTGTGGAACCATCCCCCTCACAGCCCCTGCTGTGGTGCCAGGCCAGGGACTGCTTTCCTGGCCCGGCTTCTGTTCATCCTGGAGTGAGTGCTGTGCCCATATTACAGGCATGGAAACTGAGACTCCAGGGTTGCTGGACGAACTTCCAAAGCCACTGGCTGGTGGGGGGCAGAGCGGGATTCCCAGGCAGGGAAAGCTCTTCGTGCGGGACACAACGGGCAGCTCTGCCTGGGGTAGCAGGGCCTGCGGGCTGGGATGCTCTTCCCCACAGCAGCCACCCCTGGCAGCCACCCCCTCAGCCCTGACATGACCTCTCTAGTTGGCCTGTATCTAGTCGGGCTGAGCCTTTAGGGCTGAGCTAGGAAAACCCGTAGCGGCTCCAGGTGGGGGCAGGGGCTTCCTGCAGCCTGGTAGGGTAAGGTGGGGTCAACTGAACTGCCCAGGGCCGCCTGCCAGGTCTCCCGACATCCCTCTGCATCTTTGGGGGAAGTGAGTCCCACTTCACACTGCCTTCGCCCCCTCGGCCAGGGCTGCCTTTGTGCCAACACAAGTTCACACTGACCTCCCTGGAGCCCCTCCCTCATGAGAGAGAGGCACTCATCTTCCTCCAGGAAGCCTTCCCAGATGCCCCTCTCCCGAGACCTCAGGTAGCATCCTGGGGGAAGACGCATGGGCAGAGAGGATACATTCGGTCTGCCCCCTCACCCCTCAGCCCTCCATGTCCTCTCTGCTCCAATTTCTGCTGGGCTCCCCGCCCCCCTGCCATCCCCCAGGGGTGTGAGAAGCACCAGGAGAGCAGCAGGCGGCTCTTGGAGGCTGGCAGAGGGATTCTGGAGGAGAGAGAGGACCATGGGTTTTAGGATCAGGGCTCAGGTTGAACACCTGGTCTTCTGGGGGCAGCAGGATTCTGCTCTCAGAAGGGGCAGTCCTTTGAGGACTCAGGTCTCAGCCATGGCCCCAGGGCTGGCCAGGCCCACACAGAGCTGGGACCTGTAGACGGGAGGGTCCTGCAGGGTGAAGGATGGATTGGCAGGCCCGGCTGGCACATACAGGCACGGGTTGCAGGCTTGCAGCAAGGGACCTGACCCTGGCGCATCTCCTATCCCACTGCCTGGGGCGGGGGTGACCCCAGCCCTGCCCGCCTCTCCGAAGCACAGGCTGCATTTCCCGACTGCCTTCATGGACAAAAAGAAGAGGTGGGATTGAGAGGGGTCAGTAGAGGTTATGCAGCCTGGAGGTGAAGGTTGTCTGGGGGAATGAGACTTCATACTTGGCCTTGGGAGCCCTGGGCCAGGACGCCCTATCACAGAGGCTCCCAGGCTCTCTACGGAGGGGACTGGGTGGGCACATACCCCCATGAGGGTGCGTCCTCGTTAGCTCCCAGTGACTGGGACACAACGGCCAAGCTGGGCTGCTCTGGAAGCCTGTGGACCACCGGTGCCCAGCCTGGAGTCCCCTTTCCTCCTGGGCCTTCTAAGGCACCCTGCAGAATGCGGTCCAGGGCAGTGGTTGAGCAGCTCTGTCCGTCATCTTTCCACTGGGGTACAGGCACCTCAAATGCAGGACCTGGAGAGCATGCTGACAAGTGTGCACGGGTGACACTCCCAGAACCTCCACCCGAACCCCTGTGCAGAATGTTTCCAGCAGCAGCAGCAGGCATCCCTGAGACCCGCTCCAGCTAACAGGCCCTCCCTCCCTCACCCTTCACCCCTCCTGACATCTGTCACCGTAGGTAGGGTTTGTCCCTGAGCTGCAGGTGAACATCACCACACAGCATGGACCCCCCGTCTCTGCGTCTGTGAGTCGTCCATGTTCCTCTTTGCTGCGGTCGCGTAGACGGCCACGGTGCCCGTAGCAGGATTCACCTCTTGTGCTCCCATCGATGGGCCCGAGGCAGCTCCAGGGTTTGGCTGCCTTTAAGGGTGTTCTTGGGGCTTTCTTTTGTCTGGGTCTTGGTGGATGTAAGCTCTCTGCTCTGCCCTGAGTTTGTGCGCAGGAGGGGACAGGCTGGGCCTGACCATTAACCGTGTTTGCATCCAGGGTGGCCACTGAGGGCCCCATGGGCAGGCTTTGTCCCGCCGCTGAGGAGCTGTGGTCAGCAGGTCACGCTGGGCAGGTGGGGGCCCCCCACTCCTTGTCCCTTGGCCCTCGCTGCTGTGCACCCTATGCCATTGGCTTCTCCCTGTGCCCTCTGAGCAGGCATCCTCATCCTTGTGGTGGGACAAGGACAGGCATTCAGGAAGGGGCGTTTCTGCTCACCTACCTGATACCCCTTTTGGAGTGAGGCAGGGTCGTGAGAAGGATGCTTGTGACAAGGATCCTGCACATCCTGCACTGGTACCCCTGAACTTCACAAACAAGCTGGAGATAAAAATAAATAAAATGAAACAGAAAGACAGAGGCCAGGTCATTCTCTGAGGTCTCAGGGTAGGGAAGTGGCTGTGGGGATTCACAGGCTGCCTGAGTGCTCTGCACACCCACTCCGCGGTTCTGGCCTGGATGGGGCTTGGGATAAGGACGGGGACCTGAGGACCCTTCGTGACCGCCACAGTTACCCTCTCCCACTCTCCCTCAGTCCTTCATCCCTGCCTGTGTGGAAGTCAGGGAGATGGGTGGGTGGAGGGTCTCTGGGACCCCATCCTGTTAGATGTCTGGGATTCTGGGACTTTCTTTTTTTTTTTTTTTTTTTTTTTGAGACGGAGTCTCACTCTGTCTCCCAGGCTGGAGTGCAGTGGCGCGATCTCGGCTCACTGCAAGCTCCGCCTCCCGGGTTCACGCCATTCTCCTGCCTCAGCCTCCCGAGTAGCTGGGACTACAGGCGCCCGCCACCGCGCCCGGCTAATTTTTTGTATTTTTAGTAGAGACGGGGTTTCACTGTGTTAGCCAGGATGGTCTCGATCTCCTCACCTCATCATCCGCCCGCCTCGGCCTCCCAAAGTGCTGGGATTACAGGCATGAGCCAGGGCGCCCGGCCGATTCCGGGACTTTCTGAAGCCCCCATAGGCGTGGGAGGTGACCTGTGTCGGGGCTGCAGACCTCAGCCAAACACTCCTGCTGTGCAGGCAGGGAGGCATTCCAGAGTGGGAGGGAGCGCCCCGGGGAGGGAGGAGAGCCTTCGGGAAGGCAGTGCGCCCAGGGTGGCACGTGCTGCGGGCTAGGCAGAAGCAGCCACCGGGCCACTGCTGCCTGAGGCGGGTCTCCTGACGTGGGCCTCGGGGTACCCTGGAGGAGGCAGGCAGCAGCAGGGCCAAGGCTGTGGGGAGGGTGCGGGGGGGACCCTGGGCTCCAGTGATGCCAAACCCTGGGAGTGGGCCCAGCGAAACCTGGGCCAGCAGAACCACAGCGGGTGGGGCGGGGGTCTCCGGCAGGGGCGGTCGTTGAGGGCAGGCAGCTCTGCCAGTGCCGGGCCCCCACCCCCACCCTCTGGCTTCCCTTCTCTGTCTCAGCCTCCCTAGCCCCAGGGCAGCCGGGCAGTGCCGGCTCAGGTCGAACCTGTTCTGGGCAGGGCCGGCACTGCTGCTGCCGCCCGCCCGCTGGGGCTGGATTCCAACTTCTGTTTCTGCTCCACTTCACCTGAGCGCCTGAAACCACCTTTGCACCAGCCTCAGCCTCACTGCCCTCCACTCCCAGAGCCCCAGGGACTCTGCTAAGGCCTGAGCCCTCCCTCCCTCCTGCACATATGCATGCACACACGCGCAGACACAGTAACACACTGCGACACACACAGACACATGCACATATACACGTGTAGACCCACAGACACAGACCGCACACACAGAAAGACACACAGACACAGACATATGCACACATAGACACACACACACATGCAAATACAGCACATATATTCATAGAGACACATGCATGGACACACACACACACACACACGCAGAAACGCACACGCCCCTGGAGCAGGTTGAGACTCGCTGTCTCAGGCAGCACTGGTGCAGGCCCAGGCCATCCTGGCTGGGTGAGGAAGTCCAGCACCAGGAGGCTGCTCTGCCATCTCTGCCAACCTCTTCTTTGTCCCCCTGTCACCCACAGGCCCCCCAGGCACACACAGGGGCTGTGCCATAGTGCACTCTGCAGCAGGGCGTGAGGCCCACTTGCTCCCCATCCTCGCTGGCACTAGGTTGTGTGCTGTGAGTTTTCGCTGTTTTGCTTCATTTTACCCTTCGCAGCAGGAGTACACAGGAGCACACGGGAGCACACAGGAGTAAGCAGGAGCACACGGGAGCACGCAGGAGCACACAGGTCTCTTGCGGTTTGCATTTCCCTGAAACGAACCCTGTGGCACATCTTTTGGGGCTTCTTTGCCATCTGCCTCCCTTCTTTGGTGACATGTCTGTCAAGCCCTTTGCCGATTTTTTTAATTGGGCTGTTTGTTTTCTGATTGTTGAGTTTCGAGTTCTTTGTGTATTCTGAATACAAATTCTGCATCTGATAATGTAATTGCAAATATTTTTTCCCAGCCTGTGGTTTGTCTTTTCAATATCTTAACATGGCCATTTACAGAAGAAAAGTTTTACATTTAACAAAGTCCCGTGTATTAACTTTTTTTTTTCCTGTTATGGGTTATGCTTCCACGTCACAGCTGAGAACTTTCTCTTCTCAATTCAGGCCTGTTTTGCCCCCAGAGGACATTGGGCAGTGTCTGGGGACATTGTTAGTTGTCACAACTGGAGCACACCGCTGCTAAACCTCCCTGGTGCACAGACCAGCCCCCACACAGGAGCTACATCCCCAAATGGCAACAGTACCGAGGCTGAAGACCCTGGCTTTCCTAAGGGCACAAAGATTTTCTCTGTTTTCTTCTAGAAGTTTTATAGTTGTATATTTTACGTTAAGGTCTATGATTCATTTAGAGTTAATTTTTGTGTAAGGTGTGAGATATGTGTGTCCAGGTTCATTTTTTGCATATGGACATCCAATAGATCCAGTTCCGTTTGTTGAAAAGGCTGCCCTTTCTCTACTGATTTCCCTTTGCATCTTTGCCAAAATTGACTTGACTATATTTATATGGATCCACTTCTGGGCTCTCTATTCAATCCCACTGAGCTGAGTCTACGCCTTCACCAATACCTCAGTGTCTTGATTGCTATAGCTTTATAGTCAAATCAGGTAGTAAATAGTAAATATATAGTAACATATCAGTGAAATCAGATAGTGACCAGAAAATAATTTTCCTAAATTATTTTGACTATCCTAGAGCATTTTAATTTCCATATGAATTTTTGAATCAACTTGTCAACATCTACAAAACATTCTGCTGGGAAAATTATTGGGATGTATGAATATCTAGATCAACGTGGGGAGAACTGACATCTTAATAATATTGACTCATCTAATCCATGAACATAGTATATTTTTCTGTTCGTTTAGATCAGAATACTTTTTTTGTTACATCTGTGCCCAAGTTTTTCATATGGGGAGCATTATTATAAGTGGATCTATTTTGAAAATGTAAAATTCTAATTGTTTGTTGCTAGCAAACAGAAATATTAATACAACTCACTTTTGTATATTGACTTTATACTGAGATCTTGCTCAACTCTCCTGTTCATTTGAGGAGTTTTCTCTAGTTGTTTGGGGAATTTTCTATGCAACATTCATGTCATTGTGAATTGACTTAGTTTTATTTCTGCCTTTCAAATTTGTATACCATTTCTTTCTTTTTCTTGCCTTAATATCTTGGCTAGGCCTTCCTGTAAAATATGGAATAGAAGTGTGAGAGGGGCCCGGGTGCAGTGGCTCACGCCTGTAATCCCGGCACTTTGGAAGGCCGAGGCGGGCAGATCATGAGGTCAGGAGATCAAGACCATCCTGGCTAACATGGTGAAACCCCGTCTCTACTAAAAAAATACAAAAAAAATTAGCCAGGCGTGGTGGTGGGCGCCTGTAGTCCCAGCTACTTGGGAGGCTGAGGCAGGAGAATGGCGTGAACCCAGGAGGCGGAGCTTGCAGTGAGCCGAGATCGCGCCACTGCACTCCAGCCTGGGCGACAGAGCGAGACTCTCAAAAAAAAAAAAAAAGAAGTGTGAGAGGGGATATCATACCTTCTTTACAATCTTAGGGGTACTCAGCCTTTCACCATTTAGTATGTTAGCTTTTTTTTTTTTTTTTTTTGTATTTCAGCTTCGCCTTTTATTAGGTTCAGTTCTCTTACATTCCTTGTTTGTTGACAGTTTTTTAAAAATCATGAATGAGTGTTACATTTTATTTTATCATTTTTTGCTTTCTGTGTTTTCAGCCTTTGTTGGTAGGTGCCTACACACTGAGGATTGTTTTCTCAGAAAATGCAACTCCTTTATTGTTATGTGAGGTCTCACTTATCCCTTGTAATAGTCCTTGTTCTGAAGCCTACTTTGTCTGAGATGAATGTAGCTGCTGCATCTTTATTTTGACGCATGCTTCTGTGTCACATATTTTCCATCCTTTTACTTTAACCTTATTTATGTCTTTATATTTAAAGTGGGTTTCATATAGATAGCATATAGTTGGGTCTTTTGTTTATTCAAATTGATCATCTCTTTTCATTGGTGTGTTGAGATTAATATAATTATTTATTTATGTATTTGGAGTGTTTTTCTTTTTTTAGAGATGGGATCTCATTCTGTTGCCCAGGCTGGAGTGCGGTGGTATGATCATAGCTCATTATAGCCTCTGAACTCCTGGGCTTAAGGAATCCTCCCACCTTAGCCTCCTAAAATGTTGGGATTACATGCCCGAGCCACTGCTTCTGGCCATATGCTTGGATTTAATTTACCATCTTGCTAACTCTTTTCTATTTATTCCGTCTGTTGTCCCCCCACTCCCTTTTCTGCCTTCTTTTGGATTAACTGAGTACTTTTTATGATTCCATTTAGTTTCCACTATTGGCTTATCATTTATATCTTATTTTTTAAATTAATAGTTGTCTTAGGTTTTATAATATACATCTTTAAATAATCATTGTCTACCAAATGATATTACCTTGCTCTGTGTGTTATATAATAAATTTACAACTGCATATTCTCAATTCCTTCCTCCCACTGTTTGTGCTATTATTGTCATACATTCTATTTTACATTATACTATAGACATATAATACGTGACCACAATTTTTTCTTTAGTCAGTTATCTTTTAGAGCAATTAAAAATGAGAAAGAAAGAAATTCTATTTGTACTTTCATTTATTCCATTTCTAGTGCACTTTGCTTCTTTGTGTAGATCCAAGTCTCTGTCTGGTATCATGTTTTTGCCTGAAGAACTTCCTTTAACATTTCTTATAGTGAAGGTCTTTCAGTAACAAATTCTACAGTTTTTGTTTGTCTGAGAAAGACTTTATTTCTCCTTTTTTTCTGAAAGATATTTGTACCGGATATAGAATTCTGAATCAACAGTTTTTTTGTTGTTGTTTTTCTTTCATCCCTGGCTGACTTTGTTTCTGACGAGAAGTTTAGAAGTCTGCTACCATATTTCTGTTTTTCTTGTGTCTCTATGGAATGTACCTGTATTCTCTGGTTGCTTTCAAGATTTTCGCTTTTGTCTTGGGTTTTCAGCAGTTTAAATGTGATATGCCTTCAGTTTTTAAAAAATGGTACTTACCGGCCGGGCACAGTGGCTCACACCTGTAATCCCAGCCTTTGGGAGGCTGAGGTGGGTGGATCACCTGAGGTCAGGGGTTCCAGACCAGCCTGGCCAACATGGTGAAACTCTGTCTCTACTCCGGGCCTGGTAGCAGGCACCTGTAATCCCAGCTACTTGGGAGGCTGAGGCAGGAGAATCACTTGGACCCAGGAGGCAGAGGTTGCAGTGAGCCGAGATCACACCATTGCACTCCAGCCTGGGCGACAAGAGCGAAACTATGTCTCAAAAAAAAAAAAAAAATGTGGTACTTATCTTGCTTGGTATTCTCTGAACTTGGCCATGTGGCTTATTGTTTGTCAATGATTTTATAAAATTCTTACCCATTATTTCTTCAACTCTGTCTTTTTCACTGTGTTTTCTATCTTTTCTTTCTGAGATTCCATTCACACATATGTTAGATCACTTAATATGTCCCACACTTCTTGAAGGATTTGGGATTTTTTTCCCCCTTTTCAATATTTTTTCCTCTGCATTTTAGGTATTTTTTACTGACCTGTGTTCAAGTTCAGGGACCCTGTCCTGCTGTGTCAAGTACATTCATGAGCCCACCAGAGGCTTCTTCTCATGGCTGTTACTGTTTTTTATTTTAGCTTTTCCATTTGATTTCTTCTTCTAGTTTCCATCTCTTTGCTGAAGTGACCTATCTGAGCTTGCATATTTTCCCCCTTCTCCATTAGGGTCCTTAGAGTCTTTAGCATATTTATTGTATTTAAAATGTCCTGTCTGACAGTTCCGACGGCTGTGTCATATCTGAGTCTGTTTCTTTTTTTATCATTATTATTTTGAGACAAGGCCTCACTCTGCTGCCCCGGGCCGGAGTAGAGAAGTACAATCTTAACTCACTGCAGGCTTGACCTCCTGGGCTCAAGTGATTCTCCTGCTTCAGCCTCCCGAGTAGCTGGAACCACAGGTGGGCACCACCATGCACAGTTGATTTTTTTATTTTTATTTTTTGTAGAGGTAGGTCTCTCTGTGTTGCCCAGGCTGGTCTCAAACTCTTGGGCTCAAGCGATCCTCCCACCTCAGTCTCCCAAAGTGCTGGGATTCCAGGTGTGAGCCACTGAGACCAGCCTTTCAGTCTGATTATTTTGCTTGCTTTGTCTTGATAGCACGTTATCTATTCATCTATTATTTATTATTTATTTATTTATTTATTTTTCGAGACGGAGTCTCACTTGTTGCCCAGGCTGGAGCGCAGTGGCGCGATCTCGGCTCACTGCAACCTCTGTCTCCCGGGTTCAAGCGATTCTCCTGCCTCAGCCTCCCAAGTAGCTGGGACTACAGGCGTGTGCCACCACACCCGGCTAATTTTTGTATTTTTAGTAGAGATGGGGTTTCACCATATTGGCCAGGATGGTCTCGATCTCTTGAACTCGTGATCCACCTGCCTCGGCCTCCCAAAGTGCTGGGATTACAGGCGTGAGCCACAGACCCTGGCCTATTTATTTATTTTTTTAATAGGCCTCATCAATTTTTTGAAATCCAGACATCGTGCAGAGGACAGTAGAGACTGAAGAAATTCGTTTTGTGCTTTTGGAAATGGGCATACCCTTCTTTTTGCTGTTCCTTTACTGCGGGGCTTGGGGCTAATCTCGTCCAGAGTTGAGCTGGGTTTCAGTTTGGTGTTGTCATGGTTATCTCTGGAGCACCACAGTCATCAAATCCCTCCAGCACTACTTTGTGTTTACCATAGAGAGGCTTTTCCCAGTGTCCAACCAGCCTTCGGCTATAAGCTTACCTTGGAGAGGGTTTCCACACTCCGCAGACTCTCCCAGGCCACACTCTGCGGCCTCTCCCACTCCAGGGTCACTTGTTACATGGTGCTTGTCAGCAGGTGCTGGAGGTGGGGGGCTGTTCGGTTTTTTCTGATTAACCCTATGTCCTTTGGGTCTTGTGGGTGAAGCATTCTTGGGACTCCTGCCCTACGCTCAGCTGTAGCTCTGGGCCCACCATGTAGCTTATCCCTCCCCAGGGCACAGGGCTTTTAGGATTCCCCCAGTTTCGATGGTTTCTACTCGTGCCCTAAGTGTGACAGTGTTTTTTGCCTTTTTTGCCTTTCCTCCAGCAATCTAAGGGTTTTGTTCCATTGAGGAGAATAACCTATGTAGGTTTTGTACCTTTGGGACAGTGGCTGCTGTTCCCCTCTGCTGGGCCTACACCACAAAGAGAGCATCCCGTGAAATCCACGGGGACCTTCCAGTGGATGTGGATTTCCCTTCACTCCGCAGCCCCTGGGGCTTCTGTGCTCTCCCATTACCCCACACCGACCCTTGCCAACTCATTAAACATTTTGGCTGTGTTCTTCTTCCTGGTGTCTGGCCTCGTCTGTCTCGGTGACAGCCTGCATCCCGTCTCCTCCTGCAGGCGCCTGCCTTCCCTTTGTTTTGGGTTAGTTGGTTGCCCTGTGACCTCAGCTCTCAGAGAGTTTTGAGAAAAGTCCTGACTTTTCAGGTTGCTTGGTGCCTTTTGTTGCTGCTGCAGTTTAAGGATGGGAGCCGGGCTCTTTCCAGCTCTCTATGTCCTAAGTGGAAGCTGGGAGTCACCTCTGACCTTCACTTTCCCCAGAGTTTTGCAAACACCTTCACACTGGGCTCCTGCTAGGTCCTCCTGGGTGGGCAGCAGGCGTCGTTAGCTCCTGTACAAGTGGGGCAGATGGGGACCCAAGGGAGGGGACCAGCCCAGCTGCTGCATGACACTGGTGGAGACGGTCCAGGGCCCTTTCTCATCTTGGTGGTGCTGGTGCTGGCTGGTGTTTCAGGTGTGTTTTGAAGGAGGTGGGGGATCTGGAGCTTCCCCAGCCCTCTCTGCAGCTCCTTGGCCTGGCCCTCCCCTGGGGTCACCTCTTAGGCCTATCCCTGCGAGCTTCTGATACCACCTGGGCCACGGCACTCCAGGCCCACACCTGGAAACGGAGGCCGACTGGGAGGCTGACTTTGACGTATGAGGCCTTTCTGGCAGCCTGGGAGTCCGTTGAGCTGGTGTGGAGGGTGGGATGGGGTCAGGATTCTGATTCTCCTGGGGGCCCCTTGTTTCACTGATGGGCTCAGGGTCTATCTGCAGGTGAAGGAACATGATGTGTTGTCTGACCAGGGCAGCCTGGAGCCCTCAGCCTCCTCCCTCTAGTGGGCTCTCTGCATTTTGGGGGGGATCATAATGGGGTGGGGCGCGGCGGGGTGGGAGCCCAGGGAGGAGAAAGGGAGGCAGCTCCGGGCATCACTGAGTCATGGATCGCTGAGATTGAATGGAGTCGGGTCTGTTTTAATTTCATCCCTGTCCCCGCCACGGAGGTCCAGCAGGGACCCGCTGAAGGACCTGCAGCCAGTCCCGCCCTCACCAGCCCCACCTACCCCCACACAAAGAACACCAAGAGCTTAGCCAGCCCAGCCTGCCGGTTTGCCCACCTGGGGGCTGTGCTGGGGCCATGTCCTGGTCTCCTTTTCCAGCCTGGTGGGAGGATAGTGCCAGGGTCCAAGGTGAACCTTGCAGTTGTCGTCACACCGGGGTCCCTGTCCACCAGAACCTACCCCCTCGTGCTCTCGAAGCTCAAGCGCTGGCATCTCAGGGCACACTCCCTAGAAACAGAGCCTGGGCTGGAATTCTTGTGCAGGAGATACAGATAAGCCAGGAGGCAGGGCTTCAGCATGGTCTCCCAGGACTGGAAGCAAGAGGCTGCCTTCTGTTCCTCCTTGTCAGTCATTTGCTGTGTGTCCCCCAGGGCACACACGTCCCGGATGTGGGGCTTCCCTTTAGCTAAACAGCTCTTCATTGAGCCATTAGTTGTCAACACTTAACAGCTGGGGGATAGGCACACGGTCCAGATAAAAGGAGTTGGGGAGGACACCAGTAGCACCCATGACCCAACACGCCTTACTCCACCCCCACCCCCCGCACAGCCCACCTGTGTAGGAGGTTTGCTCCCCTGAGGAGAGCTTCTCCAGGATCAAATTGGTCCCAACACCAGGGGAAATTGACACTAACAGGCTGAGTGGGATGAACGCCAGTGCCTACTCCTGCCATTGCCATTGCCATTTTCATTGCCTGGGGCCCTGACTGATAGCCACCGCCCCTTCCTCCTCCATCCGTGTCAGATAGCCGGGACCTTGAGCAGCCTGTGGTCACCATGGCCTTATCATGCTCACACTGTGGCGCTTGCTACTTGCGGGAAGATCTGTGCATGGCAGCACCAAGAGATGCCCCTGGTGGGTCACCTGCCCGCCCCCATTGATGACTGTATTCATACCTTCTCATGATGCTCCCAGCCAGTTACCCCTGCCAGTATGGGAACTTCATTCTCTCTGCCAGATTGTTGATACCAGGAGCCCGAAGTGACCAGGTGGAAGCTGTCTTAATAGCGTCTTCCGGTGGAAGCGTCCCGCTCTGGGAATGGCCCTGTAGAGCCTAAAACTGCTAGAAATAGAACCACTGATTTGGTTCGCTTCTCTCCCTACAAGTGCACGACCAGGTCCTGCACTCAAAGCTCGGCCCCCTGGGAGGGTTACCCCATCGCCACCATCACCACCACCTGAGTGGGCTGCAGTGCAGGAGCAGTCCTTTGGGGGCTCACTAACGTTTCTAGCTAACCTGCCAATGAGTGAAGCTCAGGCCCCTTCCTTCTCCATCGGCTGGTCAGAGGGACCTCTGCAGGAGGCCACAGGTGTGGACTGAAGAAGAGGTGTCAGTGCAACACTGGTAGATGACGTGGGGGTTCCGATCCCCGGATTATGTCGCTTTCTTTTGCCCTCTGCTTGTTCGCAGTCCCAGGAGGTGTCTTTTCCCATGTATACTGGATGCTGCTGGGCTTGCCTGACCTTCTGATTTGGTGGGTTTAACAGATCCTAGCTCAAGATGGGCATCTCTGACCACATGGTCACTTAACGTCCATGACCAGAAACTCTTTCTCTAGAGGTTCCCACAGGAGAGCAGGAACCTCTTTCTGAATGGTATCGTTCTCTGCACGGCCTTCTTCCAGAGCCCAAGGAGTCTGGGCCATGACTCTTCTTTGAAGTTCTCCAGGGGCTCTGTGTGTGTGGTGTCTTTCTCCATTGCAAATACCTCTTGTACCATGGGATTTGCCAGATTTTATGGCAATAACTTCATGGTAATAAGATCATGATGTAGCAGGCCTCTAAAGCTTCGTGGAATTTATCTCCCAGCCTGGCTCGTGTGCCTTACTTGGGGCGTCCAGAGTACTTTCCCCTGCTTGCTCGTCAGATCCAGTTAACAGACTGCCATCAGTATAGTGAACTAACGTGATAATCTGTGGAATGTCCAGAGGGCCTTTTCCCTTTGGACTATACTGTGACAAAGAGCAGAAGAATTAACATATCCCTGGGGCAAAACTGTGACTGTGTACTGTTGTCCCTCCTGTGCGAATGCAAATTGCTTCTCACACTCTCTCCTGATGAGATGGAAGAGAATTCATTCACAGAATCCGTAGCTACTGATACCGGGTACCAGGGGCAGTGTTAATTTAATCTTAGATTAAATGAATCTAATTTAATCTAAGATTAAACGAAGATACCACATCTGGCCTGGCAGCCCATTTGGTGTTGCTACTTGGTTGAGTTTGAGGTCTGCAATCATCTATTCTGATTCAGCCAGTCTGCAGAGAGGCCAGAGAGGGGAAATCACGAGAGAGATGGTGGGGGTTACTACCTAGGCCTTCTTTAACTCTTTGAAGGTGGCATCAATCTCAGCCATTTCCCCTGGGAAGTTATAGGTTTATTGGGGGCTAACTGACATACAATAAACTACACATATTTAAAATATAGAGGTTTTTTTTTGTTTTTTTTTTTTTTTTTTTTTTTTTTTTTTTTTAGATAGGTCTCTCTCTGTTGCCCAGGCTAGAGTGCAGTGGTGCAATCTCGGCTCAATGCAACCTCTGCATCTAGGGTTCAAGCAATTATCCTGCCTCAGCCTCCTGAGTAGCTGGGACTATAGGTGCGTGCCACCACGCCCGGCTAAGTTTTTTGTATTTTTAATAGAGATGAGGTTTCACCACGTTGGCCAGGCAGGTCTGGAACCCCTGACCTCAGGTGATCCACCTGCCTCAGCCTCCCAAAGTGCTGGGATTACAGGCGTGAGCTACCACACTGGGCCAAAATGCAGAGTTTTATGAATTTTGACATATGTGTACAACAGTGAGACCATCATCACCGTCAACAATTTCTTGTAAGTTTTAAATTCGTAATTAAATTACAACTGTGTAATCCCTTCCTCCCACCCCTCCTCCCCAGCCTTAGGTAACCACTGATCCGCCTTCTATCAGGTATTCTTTGCATTCTACGGTGTTATGTCAATGGACACATACAGGATGTATTCTTTTGTCTGGCTTATCTCATGCCATATACTTATTTTGAGATTCATTGATATTGTTGCAGGTATCAATCGTTCATTTATTTTTATTGATAAATAACATGAATGGGTATATTTGCTTATACCTTCACTTGTTAGGCGTCACTTGGATTGTTTCTGGTTTGGGCTATCTATGATCCAATGCTATAAACATTCATGAACAAGTCTTTGTGGAGACAAATGCTTTCATTTTTCTTGAATAAATACCTAGGAGTGGAATGGATGGATCATATGGCCGGCCGGTGTGTGTTTCACCTTTTAAGAATCTACCAAATCATTTTTTAAAGGGGTTGTACCATTAATCTTCCCACTCACAGTGCATGAGAATTACAGTTTCTCCTACCTTTGCCAAAAGTTGGTATGATCAGTTTTAAAGCAAGAAAATTTAACCATTCTAATAGGTGTGTAGCGATATCTCATTACGATTTTTAATTTTCATTTTCCTAATGATTAATGATGTTGAGCATGTTTTCATGACCTTATTTATTATCCATATATCTTCTTTGGTCAAGTGTGTAGGAGATATCTGTATATCTTTTTTGCTCATTTTTATAGGGTTGTTTTCTTACTATTCATTTTTGAAAATACACAGAGAATATGCAATGAATATTCTGGATATAAGTCCTTCATCGTAATATGATTTGTGAATATTTCCTATCAGCTGATGGCTTGCTTTCTTTATTCTCTTATGACTGCCTTTCAAAAGAGTGGAATTTTTAAATTTTGATGACATTCCATTTAGCCACCTTTCTTTTATGAATTGTGCCTTTGCCGTCATATCCTTTCTGTGACTAATCTAAGGTCACAAAGATTTTCCACCATGTTTTCATCTAACAGTTTCACAGTTTTACATTTATATTAGGTTACTAATTCATTTTACATTAATGAATTTGAATACAGCTTGAGGAATTGGTCAAAGTTATTTTGTCTTTTTGCAGGTGGATATCCAATTGTTCCAGCATCATTGGTTGAAAAGATACAATTTCTCTATTAAACTGACTTTGCACCTTTGTCAAACTAGCTGTCCTCATGTGTGAGTCTATTTCTTGGCTATCTGATCTGTTCCACTGATTTACTTCTCTATCATTATGCCAGTAGAACACTGTCTTAATTATTATAATTTTATAACCTTGAAATCAGATACAGTAAGTCCTCTAAGTATGTTGTTCTGTTTCAAAGATGTTTTGGTTACTGTAGGTCCTTTGGATTTCCATAGGAATTTTAAAATCAGTTTGTCAGTTTCTACAGAAAGCTTGCTGGGGTGCTGATTGAGATTACGTTGAATCTATAGATGAATTTGTCAGAAACTGACATCCTGATAATAATTCTGAGTCTTTCAATCTAGGACTCAGTATATTTCTTTATTTATTTGGGTATTACTTGTTTTTTCTCAGGAATGTTTTATAGTTTTCAGTACACCAGACTTGTACATATTTTTTTAGATTTCTCTCGCAGTATTTTGCATTTTTATGCTAGTAAAATTTCAATGTCTGATTGTTCTTTGTGTGTTTCATGTAGATTCTGTTTGACCATCTACATAGGCAATCATTTCTTGTATAAATTAAGACAGTTTTTCTTCTTCCATTCCAATCTGGGTGTATTTGTTTCTTTTTATTTTCTTATTACACTGGGTAGAGCAGATATCTTCACCTTGTTTCCCATCTCAGGAAGAAAGCTTTCAATCGTTTACCATTAAATATGTTAGCTGTAAGTTTTTCATAGATACTCCTTATCAGGTTGAAGAAATTCCCTTTTATTCCTAATTTGCTGAGAGTTTTTATCAGGAAAGGATATTGTATATTGTTTGTTAGATACTTTTTCTTAGCATTGCGGTGGTTGATTTTATGTATCAAATTGGTTGGACTACTGTGCCTAGATGTCTGGTCAAATATTATTCTAGATGCTTCAGCTAAGGTAACTTTTGGATGAGATTAATGTTAAATTGGTGAACTCCGAGTAGGGCAGATTAACCTCCACAATGTGCAGGGTCCTTGTCTTAGTTCATTTTGTGTTGCTATAAAGAAATACCTGAGACTGGAGATCTATACAGAAAAAAGATTTATTTGGCTCATGATTCTTATGGCCGAAAATTTCAAGATTGGGCATCTGCATCATGGTGAGAGAGAAAGCAAGAGCGAGCAAAGAAGGGGAGATGCCAGGCTCTTTTAATAAACAGCAACCAGTAAAGAACTGACTCATCCTTGAGGGAGGATCTATTCAGGAGGGATCTGGCCTCATCACCAAAACACCTCCCATTAGGCCTCACCTCTAACATCGGGGATCAAGCTTCAGTATGAAGTTTGGAGGGGACAAACATCTAAACCAGGGGTGTCCAATCTTTTGGCTTTCCTGGGCCACACTGGGAAAAGAAGAATTGTCTTGGGCTACACATAAAATATACTAACACGAATGATAGCTGATGAGCTAAAAAAAATTTTGCAAAAAAGTCTCATGTTTTAAGAAAGTTTACTAATTTGTGTTGGGCTGCATTGAAAGCAGTGCCTGGCTGCATGTGGCCCATGGGCCACAGGTTGGACAAGCTTGAACCATAGTCCTCATCTAAGCAGTTGACGAAGGCCTTAACAAAACAAAGATTGACTTTCTCTAAGCCAGAAGGAATTCTGCCAGCAGACTGCTTTTGGATTTGGGCTGCAGCTTTTTCCTGGGGCTCCAGTCTGCCACTTACCCTGCCGATTTTGGATTTTCTCTCTCTTTTTCTCTCTCTCTGTGTGTCTCTCTCTCTCCACACACACACACACACACACACACACACACGCACACACCCCTGTTGGTTCTGTTTCTCTGGAGAACCCTAACCAGTGCACATATGTATATTGATAATAATATGCTTTTCCTTTTCTAGTTTCATTAATATGAAAATTTATATTGATTGATTTTTGAGTGTTAAACCAACCTTGTATTCTGAAACCACACTTGATCATGAGATATTATCCTTTTTACATATTTTCAGGCTTGATTTGATAAAATTTTGTTTAGAATTCTTGCATCTATTTTTATGACAGGTTTTAGCCTTAGTTTTCTCTTCTTGTAATGTCTTTGCCTACTTTTGGTATCAGGGTAATAATCCTGGTCTCATAGAAATGGTGAAGGAGTATTCCCTCTTCTTTAATTTTTAGAAAGAGTGTTTCTAGAATTGGTATCCTTTTTCTTTAAATGTTTGGTAAAATTTACCAGTGATGCTGTGATGTTTTCTTTGTGAATAGAATTTTTACTAGAAATTTAATTTGTGTTTGTGAGTGTATTTAGGTTATCTATTTTTTCTTGTATGAGTTTTGGTAATTTCAGTCTTTCATTGAATTTGTTCATTTTGTTTAAGATGTCAATTTATCAGAATAAAGTTATTTGTAATAGCCCGTATTATCCTTTGGATATCTGTAGAATCTGTAAATGATGTCATCTCTCTTACTTCCTAATACTGGCAGTTTCTGTCTTTTTTTTCCTGATTAATCTTGGTAGAAGTTCAGCAATTTGATTGATTTTCTCAAAAAGAATCCATTTTTGGTTTATTGATTTTTTTCTCATTTTTCCCTGTGCTTTGTTTCCTTGATTTACTTCTCGATTTTTATTGTTTCCTTCTTTCTGTTAACTTTGAATTTAATTTTGAATTGTAATTCAATTTCTTTTTGGTCAGAGAGCATACTTTGTGTTGCTTGAATCCTTTTGAAATTACTGAGACTTGTTTTATGGCCCATAGTAAGATCTGTCTCAGTAAATGCTCCTTGTGCACTTGAGAAGATTATGTATTGTGTTGTTATCAGGTGGAGCGTCCTATTAGTGTCAGCTAAATCAAGTTGATTGTTTTGTTCAAGTCTCTTATATCCTTACCAATTCTCTGTCTACTTGTTCTATTATTGAAAGAGGAATATTGAATTTCCTGTTATAATGTGAATTTGTCTATTTCTCCTAGTAATTTGGTCAGTTTTCTGCTTTATTTGTTTTAAGGCTCTGTTACTGGGTGTATAAACATTTTGATTACTAAATCCTCTTGATGGACTGACTCTTATATCATTATGAAATGACCTTTTTTGTCCCAGTAATATTCTTTGCTTTTAAATCTGCTTCCCTTATATTACCATAGCTATTCTGGCTTTGATTGGTGCTAGTTTTGCTTATGCTTTTTAAAATTCTTTTACTTCTAACCTACTTATGTCTTTATAATTAAAGTGTATTTTTGGTAGGCAGCATATATATATTTATGGGTCTTGCTTTTTCTATGCAACCCAACAATCTATGTATATTAATGAAGGTGTTTAGATCATTTATATTTAATGTAATTGTTGATATAATTGGAATTAAGTCCATTATTTTGTAATTTGTTTTATATTTGCTTCATCTGTTTTTTTCTTCAGATTGAGTATTTTTCATGATATCATTTTCTTTCCTTTGTTGGCTTATGATCTATAGCCATTTGTTTCATTATTTTAGTGGTTGCTTTAGGATTTCTAATGCATATATTTATCTTATCAGTCTTTCTTCAAGTGATATTTGACCACATCATACATAGCATAAAAACTTTACAATAGTATATTTCCATTTCTTCCCTCCTCACTTTTATGCTATTATTGTCCTGCATTTTACTTGCATATTATAAACCTCACACTATATTGTTTCTCATTATTAAGTTAATATTTAAATAAATTTTTTATTTTAGAATAGTTTTAGCTTTTCAGAAAATGTGTAAAGTTAGTACAGAGAGTTCCCAGTCTATGCCACATTCAGTTTACTCTATTGTTAACATCTTGAATTATTTTGGTATTGTTACAACTATAATTATCTTTTAAAGATATGTAAATAGCAAGATAAAAAGTACATATTTACCCATGTAGTTATCATTTCTGTGCTCTTTATTGCTTTGAGATCCATATATTTATTTGATATCACTTTTCTTCTGCGTGAAGAAGTTCCTTTAACATTTCTTACAGTGCAAGTCAGTTGACAATTAATTCTTGTAGCTTTTGTATATCTGAAAAAGTCGATTTCACTTTCATTTTGGAAGATATTTTCACTGAATAGGGAATTCCAGTTGGCAATTTATTTGCTTTCCCTATTTTAAAGATGCTGCTCACCCTTTTATTCTTTGATTTATTTCTGGTAAGAAATGTCACTCTTATCTTTCTTTCTTTCTTTGTATGTAATGTGTCTTTTTCCCCCTCTGGCTGCTTTTAAGATTTATTTTTAATACTGATTTTGAGAAATTTGATTATTATCTTCCCTAGTGTAATTTTCTTAGTGATAGTGATTCTTATGCTGGGACTCATTAAAATTTTTAGATTTGTGTGTTTATAGGTTTTCTCAAATTTGGATTTTTTTGCCTATTATGACAGTTTCAATAAAGTTTTACATTTTAGAACAGTTTTAGATTTACAGAATTGTTGCAAAGATAGTACAGGGAATTCCCATAAACCCCACACCCAGTTTGTCCTATTATCACCATCTTACATTGGTATGGAACATTATCATGGTTAATGAACCAATATGTATACATTATTATTAAGTAAAGTCTATAGTTTTTTTCAGATTCCTTCAGTTTTCCCCTAATGTTGCAGGATTCCCATCCGGGATACCATGTTACATTTAGCAGTCATGTTTCCATAGCTTCCTCCTGCTGGTGACGTTTTCTCAGACTTTGCTTTCTTTTGATGACCTTGACAGTTTTTGAGAAATACTAGTCAGGTGTTTTGTAGCATTTTCCTCAATTGGGATTTGTCTGATTTCTCAGGATTAATTTGGGATTATGGGTTTGAGTAAGATGACAGAGGTAATGCCATTCGCATCATATTAAGGCTCTATATTATCAACATGGCTTATTGCTCTTGATGTTGACTTTTATCACCTGGCCCAGGTGCTGTGATATGGTTTGCATCTACATCCTCACCCAAATCTTATGTTGAAACATAATCCCCAGTGTTGGAGGTGGGGTCTGTTGGGAGTTGATTGGCTCCTGCGGGTGTATTTCTCATGAATGGTTTAGCACCGTCCTCTTGGTGCTATCCTTGTGCTAGTGAGTGAATTCTTGCAAGGTCTGGTTGTTTAAAAAAGACCCTCCCTGTCTCTCTTGCTCCTGCTTTTACCATATCATGTACCCACTCCCCCTTCACCTTCCGCCATGATTGGATTGTAAGCTTCCTGAGGACTCCCCAGAAGCTGAGCAGATGTCAGCACCATTTCCTGTAAAACTTGCCAAACCATGAGCCAATTAAACCTCTTTTCTTTATAAATTACTCACCCTCAGGTATTTCATTATAGCAATGCAATAACGGCCTAACACATGCTGTTTGTCAGGTTTCTCCACCATTAAGTGACTCTTTTCTCCCCTTTTAATACTGTCCTCTTTGGAAGGATGTCACTAGCACAGCCCACATTTAAGGAGTGGGGAGTTATGCTCCACCTTGTTAAGGGTGAAGTAGCTACATAAATTGTTTGAAATTCTTCTGCATGGTAGATTTGTCTGTTGTCTTCCATATATTTATTTATTCAATCATTGATTTGTATCAGATTGCACTCCAGAATATTTATTTTATAATTTGGGTTATAATCCATTACTACTTCATTTATTTTGTTTTATTCAAATTGTTCCAGCTTTGGCCACTGGAAGCTCTTTCAGTTGGCTCCTGTATCCCTTTGGCATATCCCCATAATTGTAGGTATTGTCTGCAGTGCTTTCTTACTTTTTGGTACTACAAGATGCTCTAACGTGGTCTTTTTCTTTTCTTTTAACTTTTATTTTAAGTTCAGGGGTACATGTGCAGGATGTGCAGGTTTGTTACATAGGTAAACATGTGTTATGGGGGCTTGTTGTACAGATTATTTCATCAGCCAGGTAATTAAGCCTAGTATCCACCAGTTATTTTTCCTGATCCTCTCCCTCCTCCCCGCCTCCACCCCCTAGTAGGCCCAGTGTGTGTTTCCCCCCCAACCATGTGTCAACGTGTTCTCATCATTCAGCTCCCATTTTTGAGTAAGAACATGCAGTATTTGGTTTTCTGTTCCTGCATTAGTTTGCTAAGGATAATGGCCTCCTCCATCCACATCTCTGCAGAGGACAGGATCTCATTCTTTTTTGTGGCTGTGTCGTACTCCATGGTATGTGTATCTATATATACCACATCTTCTTTTTCTTTTTTTTCTTTTTTTTTTTGAGATGGAGTTTCATTCTGTCACCCAGGCTGGAGTGCAGTGAAGCGATCTTGGCTCACTGCAACCTCCGCCTTCTGGGTTCAAGCGATTCTCCTGCCTCAGCCTCCCGACTAGCTAGGACTACAGGCGTGTGCCACCACGCCCAGCTAATTTTTTGTATTTTCACTAGAGACGGGGTTTCACCGTGTTAGCCAGGCTGGTCCATGTTTTCTTTATCCAGTTTATCACTGATGGGCGTTTAGGCTAATTCCATGTCTTTGCTATTGTGAATAGTGCTGCACTGAACTTACGTGTACATGTGTCATTATGGTAGAACGATTTATATTCCTTTGGGTATATACCTAGTAATGGGATTGCTGAGTCAAATGGTATTTCTGTCTCTAGGTCTTTGAGGAATCACCACACTGTCTTCCACAATTGTTGAAATAATTTACATTCCTACCAACAGTGTAAAAGCATCTAGGGCCATCGTATATATTTCCTGTGCTATTCCTAGAATCAGCTATTTTTTCCAAGATTTCTTTTACTGGAGAGTGGTATTTGATACCAAGATCTGGTGCTCATTGCTACTGGGATTTCTTTGCTTTTAGGCCCTCTCAGCGGACAGAGAAAGGAAATATATGTGTATACATTAGCATGTGTATATGCACACATCATAGTATTTCTAAATGTAACCATCTGTGTCTATATTACGCTAACCATCGGTTGATACTGATGTCTCTAACTGTACTCCTGCCCCACATGGATTTTTCTAGTCTCTCCTTGCTCATCTGTAACCTTCTACTGCAACCATAAGACACTCGGTTCCCACCATTTTACTTCCACTTACTTAACTGTCCAATTCCAGAATACGTATTCTGGAATGATATCTGATATCAGGATGATATCAGAATTGTTAACCCATACAAGCATAAGCAACAACCTTACCAACTAGGGTACAGTGTTTATGTATAGTTATTTTTGCATTGAGTCTTACAGACTCCACTCATTTCCAAAGTTACTTAGGCCAGCACTTTATTCCCAGCTCCCTCAGTGAGGTTGTTTCATACGTAGATAGCACAGTAAGATGACTGCATCGCATTCTGCTTTCCATCCTGGGATCTCCTGACCTGGTAAATTATTATTTTTTAAAATTTGCATGCATTAAGGTTTACTCTTTGTGCTGTAAAGTTTTATAGCTTTTGAGACATGCTTATGCCTTGTAGCCACCACTACAGTACCTTTTAAGGTAGTAAGAATAGTTCTACTGCCCTAAAAAAAAAACCTCCTGTGCTTCACCTACCTCTCTCCTCTACCAGCCCCCTGGCAATGACTGATGCGTCTACTGTCTCTCTCGTTTTGCCTTTTCCAGTGTAGCAGGAGTGGGGACCACGGGCATTTGGGCCACTTCTTCATGTAACTTACTTGTGTCTTCAGGATGTGCTCAGGCCGGATCATGTATATACCTCTCTGTTGGATGACGGAGCACTGCTGTGCATGCCCAACTTTATGGCTACGTGGGTCAGATAATTCCCCAGTTCATGGTGGGCAGCTCAGATCACAGGGTAACTTGGTGGCCCATGGTCAAACATTCAGTTTCTACTAAGGCACGGCAGCAGGCCAAGCCCTGTCTCTCCAAAGGAGAGTGGTTATCTGTGGATGGTGGCAGGGCCTCGCCGCAAAGTCCTAAAGGCCCGTGCTGTGATCCACCTCCGGCACCCCTATCTAACACCACACGCCAGTCACTATTCACCTCCGGCACCCCTATCTAACACCAACCAGTCGCCATTCACCTACGGCACCCCATCTAACACCAACCAGTCACCATTCACCTACGGCACCCCATCTAACACCACATCCCAGACGCCACTGCATCTGCTGGGTCACATGGCCCACAGGGCAGAGCAGCTTGCACGGCAGCCTGGATCTGCCATAGAGCCTTCTCCTGCTCTGGTTTCTACTCAAAACTGGCAGCTTTTCAGGGCACTTGGGCCAGATTAACTACATGAGAAATGTGTTGCTCTAAATTCAAAGAGGGCCGGCGTGGCGGCTCACGCCTGGAATCCCAGCACTGTGGGAGGCTGAGGCAGGTGGATCACCTGAGGTCAGGAGTTCGAGACCAGCCTGGCCAACACGGTGAAATCCCGTCTCTACTAAAAATACAAAAATTAGCTGGGCATGGTGGCGTGCACCTGTAATCCCAGCTACTCGGGAGGCTGAGGCAGGAGAATCGCTTGAACCTTGGGGGGTGGCAGAGGTTGCAGTGAGCTGAGATTGCACCACTGTACACCAGCCTGGGTGACAGAGTGAGACTTTGTCTCAAAAAAAAAAAAAAAAATTCGAAGAGGCCCCATTCAGCATTGTCTCTTAGTTATGACTAAGAAGGGGCAGATGCAACTGCTTATCCTTCCCCTTAGAACGGGTAACTCCACAGGCCACACGCCATTGGACCCCTAGACGTTTCCCTGAGGTAGAAGGCTCTGAATTCCAGTTGGGTTTATTCCCCACCCTCCGACACCAACAAGTCTAGGATGGAGGCTACTTCTTGTGCCTTACGTCCCGTCAGCATGATGTCACCAGTGTAATGGGCCAGTGTGACATCCTGGGGAAGGGAGCGGTGATCGAGACTCCTGAGAATTACCTCTGACACGGGCTGGAGAGGCGAGAGGCCCCTGAGGTGGGGCGGCGAGGGGGCATTGCTGGCCTGGCTTCTGCTGGGCCCTGTGGACAGGGGTGGAGGAGAACGCATTTGCCGGATCAAGAGCTTCGCACCAGGGAGCAGGAGATGTGCTAATTTGCTCAAGCGATGGAACCTCGTCTGGCCCAGCAGCTGCAGCTGGAGTCAAACTTAGGACAGTCCCCTGTCATTCTCCAGGACCCGCCTGTCTCTCCTACGGGCCAAATAGGCGGGTGGAATCGGCTGTGGTGGGGATCACCGCCCCTGCACCTCTCAAGTCCTTGGTGGTGGCACTGATGTCTGCAGTCCCTTCAGGGATGTGGGATGGCTTTTGACTGACGGTTCTAGGTAGAGGCCTTTCTAATGGCTTCCACTTGTCCTTTCCCCCCATAGCAGACACCACACCCCAGGTCAGGGGACGCATGTGGGGACTCTGCTGGCTGCTGAGTGTGTCTGTTCCACTTACACATCTGGAGCTGGGAAGATGACCACAGGATGGGCTGGGTACCCACTGGACCCACAGAGTCAGATCTGAGCTAAAACTCCATTGATCACCTGGATCCCTAAGCCCCTCCCTAACTGGAGGGCCACAGTGTCCTTCCAGCGTCTCCTAGAATCAATGTCAGGACAGAGCCAGTGTCCAATCGTCCCGAAATGTTGCAGTATTTTCTTTTCTCCAATACACAGTCTCTTTCAGGAAGACTGCGGAAAAGATTATCAGGATAAATTCTGGGGACTATACAGGCCCGTGCTGCTGGGGGCGGGGAGGCTGCTTCCACTGGGGCAGGGACGCTGCTGCCTCTGGGGCTGGGAATGACACTTATGCTGGTTGTGGGGAGACTTTTTCTCAAGGGTACCCGCCTTTCTTGCATTCGAGGGTTCTGGGTCCGTAGACTGTCTCAAGTCTGTGAATGACCAAGGCCATGATTCTCTGTGTTTTTATGACTGAACTTAGACTTTTGTCCACTTGGCCTGGAAGTTTACTGCTTGTATCCAGTAGGAATTGAGCAGATTTCCTGTTTATTTCACTGCTAGGAACATGATAAGCAGCCAGTGCCATAGGTCTGCATGGGTCAGACCAGTGACCCAGGTCTGATTGCTGCTTCGCTTCTGCTGTCCATCATGGTAACCACACCCACTTTTTCTTTGGCCCCTGCTACCCCAGGATCCGATTATTCCCCGTTGCATGTAAAGTTTCGCAGTTGATTGACTGCAATTCCCACTGTGAGTCTGGCCTACAGAGAAGAACAATTGCAGAGCTCTTCAAGGAGACTGGGCTCCCTCACAGATCTATGTCTCAGTGTTGTGAGAGGCCTGCATCCTGGGCCCTCCCAGGGTGGGTGAGGAGGTTTTCATTGTCACATTCCCATCTCCCTGAGCCTTTGAACCCCTTCCTCTATGTTAAGCCAAGGGAGCTTGGGTACCTCCAGCTCGCTCACTGCGGGCATCCTTTGATCCATGTTTCAACCGACCAGCCAGTTAGAGCTTTTCCAAGTCCCCTAGCTGCAGCCTGGAGTGCGGCCTCTGCTTGGTGGACACGTCTGCACACCCGGCCCCTCCACCTCCGTGTTCCTCCCCCAGTGCCCACACCCAGTGTCTGCTCCCACTGATGCCCCTGGGTGTCTGTCTGTGTAAATCAGAGAGGTCAAGTGGCTCTTCTGGGGTGTGGCTCGCCTCCTCCTGTGTCACACTGTGGGCCTCACCTTCAGGGGCCTCCTGGGCTGCGAGTCTTGTTATAGGTCCAGAAGCAAAGGGAGGTGGTGGGGGAAGGACCGGAGGAGAATCAGCACTGACTTGCCTGGCAACCGCCTTAGGGGAAGTCCTTACCCTTTCCTCAGGCAACGCAGGTTAATGCCCCAGAGGAGGTGGAAAGGCCAGAGCTGCTGGGGGCGGGGAGGCTGCTTCCACTGGGCCAGGGACGCTGCTGCCTGTGGGGCTGGGAATGTCACTTATGCTGGTTGTGGAGAGACTTTTTCCGTGGTAAAAGAAGGCTCAGTATTTCAGGGTGCAATGTCCCCAGCTTCATCAAGGCCCCCCTCCCAGGTCCCCATTCCAACATATCAATTCTTTCTCAACCAATGCCTTCCCTTTTTTTTTTAAATATCAATTTAATTGGTTTTATTCATTTCAGGCAACTAATTTTACAACAGAAGTAAAGCTTTTAAATACAATTTCTGATATATATCAAGTATGAGAAATTTGGCTAACCAAACTTTAATGCTTTATAAACATGTAAGCAAAACCAAATGTGAGATCAATCCCATTAGGATGTAAATTTATCAACATTTCTAGACAAAATTCCACAGTTAAGAATCACCGTCTTTCCAGTAAATGCCATTTACACACAATGTGAATTTTTAGCTGAATATTCTAAAATTTCTAGATTCTTATTTTGTATTTCTGTGCACAATACAGGATAATCAGAGTTTCTTTTATTTCTCTGTGCTTTCTTTTTTTTTTTTTTTTAATAGAGGAGTTGTTTAAAACACAACATCAGCAACATAAACAACAAAAACCTTTCCTGGGGCTGTGATAAAAACGTTGCATTTATCTGAGCCTACCACAGACACCCAGCAAGGCCGAGAACTGCGTGATGAGGGCTTGCATTTGACTTGCAGCAATTCCGACCCTGTGGCTATAGGACCTAGGTTCTCCCTAGGGACACACCTAGCCGCTGTTAGGTCATTTATGCGGTGCTTGAGCTGAGAATCCAAATACCTGATCTCATTCTTTTCCTTCATCACTTTGTCCTGGAACATTAGGAGTAACCAACAGTTCATTCATTCCTTCGTTTTCCACAAATGCTCCAAAGTATCATATACAGAGCCTCTAAGTTCCTTGCCTCTTAAAAGTGGCTGCTCACTTTGGGAGGCCGAGGTGGGAGGATCGCTTGAGCTCAGGAGTTCGAGACCAGCCTTGGCAAGATAGTGAGACCTCATCTCTACAAAAAATAAAATAAAATAAAATAAAATAATAAAATAAAATAAAATAAAATATAAAATAAAATAAAATATAAAATAAAATAAAATAAAATAAAATAAAATAAAATAAAATAAAATAAAATAAGAAAGGATCACTTGAGCCCAGGAGGTTGAGGCTACAGTGAGCTGTGATTGTGCCACTGTACTCCCACCTGGGTGACAGAGAGAGCCCCTGCCACAATAAAAAATAAATAAATAAGGAAAAAAAATTAAAAAGTGGTTGCTTAGGAGTACTTAATGCATGTATTTTGCGTATCTTTATAAACAATTTATGGAATGACTATCGGTACTCTTGGTACTATTGGAAGTAGAGTCCTTAGCATTTTTAAGTCTAATCAGACTAAAGACCCAATTCCAGAAACTCTAAAACCAATTTAGGGAACTCACTCTTAAAATTCTGTCCCCACTAGAACCATTCCTGGTACGTAGTATGAGTTACCCAGAGAGACAAAACCAGTAGGATGCAGATAGATACAGATATAGATGTAGATATCAAAATTGATAGAGCTATATGAGACAGGATTTATTATGGGAATTGGCTCATGCAATTATGGAGGCTGAGAAGTCCCACAATGTGTTTCCTGCAAGACGGAAAACCAGGGAAGCCAAGAGCATGGCTCAGTCCAAGTGTGCAGGACTCAGGACCAGGAAAGCTGGTGGTGTAACTCAGTCTGCAGATGATGGCCTGAGAACCCGGGGGACACTGGTGCAAGTCCTGGAGTCCAAGGGCTGAAGAACCAGGGGTTCCAATGTCCAAGGGCAGTGGAAGATGGGTGTCTCAGCTCCAGGAAAGATAGGTAGGTAGATAAATAGAGAGAGACTGAGCAAGTAGACCATTGACCTTTCTGCTCTATCTGGGCCCTCAGACAATTAGATAGTGCCCACCCACATCAGGTGAAGATAGATCTTCCTTATTCAGTCCACGGATTCAAACGCCAATCTCTTCTGGAAATGCCCTCACAGGGACACCCATAGATAATGCTTTACCAGTTATCTGGGTATCCCTTCAAGTTGACAACCAAAATTAACCTTTACAAGGTGTTATATATATTTTGTTAAATTTATTCTTAAGAATTATGTTTTTGGGGGTTCTATTGTAAATGGTATCTTTTTTTTTTTATCATTTCAGACTTCAGTTGCTCATTGCTAGTATATAGGAAAGTGATAGACTTTGGTGTATTAATGTGTATCCTGGGTCCTTGCCATAGTTGCTTTTTAGTTCCAGGAGTATTTTGTTGATTTCTTAGAGATTCTCTAGATGTAAAATCATGGCATCTGCAAATATAAACAGTTTTATTTCTCTCTTTCCAATCTATATACCTTTTATTTCACTCTCTTGTCTTATTGAAATAGCCAGGACTTTGAGTCCTGGTGAATCAGGAAGTGTGATGCCTCCACTTCGGTCCACTTGCTCAACATTGCTTTAGCTATTTGGGGTCTTTCATGGTTCTGTAAAAATTTTAGCATTGCTTTTTCTGTTTCTGTGCAAAATGCCACTGCAATTTTGATAGAGTTCGCATTGACTTTTAGATCACTTTGGGTAGTGTGGAAATTTTGACAACATTAATTCCTCTGATCTGTGAACACAGGACATCCTTCCATTTGTTTGTTTTCATCAATTTCTTTCATCCAAGTTTTAGTTTTCAGTGTACATATCTTTCACTTCCTTGATTAAATTTATTCCTCAGTATTTTATCCTTTTTGATGCTATTGTAAGTAAATTGTTTTCTTAATTTCTTTTTTGGATAGTTCATTGTTAGTACATCAATATGCAACCAATTTTTGTATATTGATTTTGTGTCCTAAAAATTTACTAAATTGATTAGTTCTAACTTTTTTTCATGGAGTCATTAGGGTTTTCTATGTATGTAATCATGTCATTGGCAAACAGAGATAATTTTACTTCTTCTTTTCTGATTTGGATGCTTTCTTTTTTTTGCTTTTTTTTCTTACCTAATTTCTCTGGCTAGGACTTCCAGTATTATGTATAACAGAACTGGCAAAAGTGGACATCCTTTTTGTTGTTCCTGATCTTAGGGAGAAAGCTTTTCACTTTTTATTTTTGAGTATGTTGTTAGAGGTGAGATGTCATATATGACCTTTATTGTGTTGAGGTACATTCCTTCTATACCAAATTTATTGATACTTTTTTATCATGAAATGGTATTGAATTTTGACAAATGATTTTTCTGTATCTATTGAGATAATCATATAATTTTTATGTTTTATTCTGTTAATGTGATGTATCACTTTTTTGAGTTGCTTATGTTGAACTATCTTTGCGTCTGAGGGATAAATCCCATTTGATCTTGGCGTGTCACTCTTCTAATATGCTTTTGAATTTGGTTTGCTGCTAGTATTCTGTTGAGGATTTTTGCATTTATGTTTATCAGGGATATTGGTTTGTATTCTTTTCTTGTAGTGTCCTTGTCTTTCACATCAGAGTAATACTTGTTTTATAATATGAATTTGGAAGTATTCCAAAAATTTAGTTTTTTGGAAGAGTTTGAGAACAGTTGTTATTAGTTCTTCTCAAAACGTTTGGTAGAATTTACTAGTGAAGCCGTGAGGTCCTGGGCTTTTCTTTGATATGTGATTTTGATTAGTTATTCAATCTCCTTACTTGGTCTGTTCAGATTTTCTATTTTTTTATGATGCATTCTTAGTTAATTTTATGCTTATAGGAATATATCTGTTTCTTCTAGATTATCCAGTTTGTTAACATATAATTGCTCATAGTGGTCTATTATGATCCTTTGTATTTCTGTAGTATCAGTTGAATGTCTCCTTTTTCATTTTTATTTATTTTAGCTTATCTCTTTTTTTCTTCATCTAGCTAAATGTTTATCAATTTTGGTTATCTTTTCAAAAAACAACTCTTAATTTCATTAATCTTTTCCACCTCTGCTTGTTGTTATTTTCTTCCTTCTGCTAACTTTCAGCTTAGCTTGCTCTTCTTTTTCTAGTTCTTTGAGGTATAAAGTTAAGCTGCTTATTTGAGATCTTTCCTTTTTCTTCATGCAGGCGTTTATCACTATAAAGTTCTCTCTTAGAACTGCTTTTGTGGTATCACATACATTTTGGTATGTTGTGTTTCCATTTTCATTTGTCTGAGATATTTTTGGTGTCCCTTTTGATTTCTTCTTTGACCCATTGGTTGTTCAGGTGTGTGTTGTTTAATTTACATATATTTGTGGATTTTTCTGTTTTTTTCTGTTATTGATTTCTAGTTTGATACCAAACTAGAAATTGGAAATGGTTGGAAAAGACGCTTGATATAATTTCAGTCATTTTAAATTTGGTAAAACTTGTTTTGTGGCCTAACATATGATCTATCCTAGAGAATATTCTGTGAATACTTGAGAAGAATGTATATTCTGCTGCTGTTGAATGGAATGTTCTGTGTATGTCTGTTAGGTCCATTGGTCTAAAGTGTAGTTCAAGTCCAGTGCTTGTTTCCATATTGATTTTTCTGTCTGGGTGATCTATCCATTGTTGAAAGTGGGGTGTTGAGGTCTTCTATTATTATCATTGCATTGCTGTCTATTTCTCCCTTTAGTTAGTTATATATTTAGGTGCTTCAATGTTGGGTGCATATATGTTGAATATTGTTATATTCTCTTGGTAAATTGATCACTTTATCATTATGTAATAATCTTTTTCTCTTGTTAGTTTTTGATATAAAGTCTATTTTGTCTGATATAAGTACAGCTACCCCTGCTCTCTTTTGGTTTCCATTTGTATGAACTATCATTTTTCTTCCCATCACTTTCAGTCTATGTGTATCCTCAAAGTTGAAGTGAATCTCATGTAGGCAGCATATACTTGGGTCATGCTTTTTAAATGCATTCAGCCATTGTGTTTTGTTTTTTAATTTAAAAGATGAGATCTCACTATGTTTCCCAAACTGGACTTGAACTCTTGGGCTCAGTAATCCTCCTGCCTTAGCCTCCTCAGTAGCTGGGACTACAGGAGTGCACCACACTTTGGCTATTCTGTGTCTTTTGATTGTAGAATTTGATCCATTTACATTTAAAGTAATTATTAATAGGTAAAGACTTACTATTGCTGTTTTGTTCATTGTTTTCTGGATATTTTATACACCCTTTGTCGCTTTCTTCCTTTCTTATTGTCTTTCTTCGTGATCTGATGATTTTCTGTAATTGTATGTTTTGATTTTGTGTACCTACTATAGGTTTTTGATTTGTGGTTACCAGGAGAATTGCATTAAACATCATATAACAGTCTATTTTAAGCTGATAATAGCTTAAGTCCCATACAAAAACTACTTCACTCCTCTTCCTTCCCCACATTATATGTTTATGATGAAGTCTGCAGATAAATTAGTAGGGTCTATGGCCTTTCTCACCTTCTCTCAGTTTCTTGCAACCACTTAGCTGTGCCGACCACCTCAGTGTTCTCAGTGGGGTGAGAAACAGTGGGCCTCTTGGGCAGTTTGCCATATGGCTGGGGGAGCCTGGTGCTCACTCACTTTCCTCTGTGGAAAGGTCATGGACCTAATAGATTTATTTTGGCATTGAGCTATGCTGCCTTGAAAAAGGGGTGATGTGGATAAAGTCAAACGGTTCTTTTACCCTCTTCAATGCATTTATTATTAGATTTTTTGCTATAACTGTGCTAGAACTTCTCCACTGGACTCCTGGACTTCCACAAAGATACTGTCATCTATAGGTAGTTGAAACATCAATGCTTTTGTGGAGGGATGATGGTGGAAATCTCCTATTCTGCCATCTTACTGACTTCACTCTTTTTAACTCCAGCTGTTGGTCATAAGATACTTTGGACAAGATCACTAAAATCTTGTCACAGAAACTGGATATACCTATGGTGGCTGCAGCCACTTCTTACATACTTGGAGAGCTAATGTCTTCCCCCTTCAGAAAAGTGGAGTAGAGGAGAAGAGGAGTAGTAGAGGAGTAGTGGAGAAGAGGAAGACAGGGAAGGGGAAGAAGAGAAAGAGCAGAAAGAAGCCAAAGAGAGAAAAATGTTAAATAAATTTTCTGCTTCATTTGATATGGTTATATATTGTTTTCTTTAGTCTGTTGATGTGTGGATTACAGAGATTGCTTTTTGAATGCTGAACCCATCTTGCATATCTAGAATAAATCCCATTTGGATTGTACTTCATAATTCTTTTTATTTATTATTCGATTCACTTTGCTAATTTTAAGAAGGTCTTTGCATTTATATTCATGAGAGATATTGGTCTATAGTTTTCCTTTCCCATAATATCTTTACCTGAGTTTTGTTATTACAGTAATGCTGTCGTCATAGAATGAGTTAGAAAGTGTGTCTGTCACCTTGATTTTTTGGAAGAGATTTTTTGGTGGAGAATTTGGTATGACTTCTTCCTTAAATTTTTAATAGAATTCACTGCTAAAACCATTTGGGCCTGGTAATTTCTTTTTAGGAAGGCTACTATTATTAATTCAATTAATTCAATTTCTTTAATAGATACAGGGATATCCAGGTTATTTATTTCACCTTGTGTAAGTTTTGGTAATTTGTGTCTTTCCAGAAATTGGTCTATTTCATCCATGTGAAATGTGTGGGTATAGAGTTAATTATAGAATTTCTTTATTATGCTTTCACAGTCCATGGGATTAACAGTGATGATACTTTTTCATTTCTGATATTGATTATTTGTGTCTTTTCTTTTTTTCTTGCCTAACCTAGCTAGAGGTTTATGAATTTTATTAATATTTTCAAAGCACCAGCTGTTATTTCTGTTGATTTTTTTCTGTTTTGAATTTCATTCATTTATCCTCTAATTTTTATTAAATTTTTCTTCTGCTTGTTTTAGGCCTAAGGTGGGAGCTTAGGTTACTGATTGCCTTTCTAATTATAGTCAGTTAATGCTATATTCAGCATTGCTTTTGCTGAGTCCTACAAATTTTGATATACTGTATTTTCATTTTCATTTAGTTAAAAATATTTTTTAAATTTCTCTTGAGACTTCTTTTCAGCTTGGATTATTTAGAGGTGTATTGCTTGATTTCTAAATATTTGAGGATTTTCCTGCCAGCTTTTTGTTTTTTATTTCTAGTTTAATTCCACTATGGTCTGGGAACACTTTATATAATTTCTATTATTTTCAATTAAAGTATGTTTTATTCTAGAATGTGGTCTATCACGATGAATGTTCCACATGAGCTAGAGATTAATGTGTATTATTCTGTTGTTGGATGAGGTAGTCTAAAATGTGAATTAGATCAAGTTGGGCTATAACTGCTGTTCAGGTCAACTTTATCCTTGTCTATTTTCTGTCTTCTTGACCTATCAGTTACTGGCCGTAGGGTCTTGAAGTCTCCAGCTGTAACAGTAAATTTGTCTATTTCTCCTTGCAGGTCTATCAGCTTTTGCTGCATGTGTATTGGTGCTCTGTTGTTAGGTACATACACATTAAGGATTGTTGTATCTTCTTGGAAGTCTGGTTCCTTTATCATTATATAGTGACTTTTTAATATAATTTCAATTTTATTTTGGATTTAGGGGTTGCCTGTGCAGGTTTGTTACATGGGTATGTTGCATGAACCTGAGGTTCAAATGGTCTCATCACCTATGTAGCGAGCATAATATCCAATAGGTAGTTTTTAAGGCCTTGCCCCCTTCCTTCTCTCCTTTCTTGGGTAGTCCTCAGTGTCTGTTGTTCCCATCTTTATGTCCATGTGTATCCAATGCGTAGCTCCCACTTATAAGTGAGAACATGCAGTATTTGGTTTTCTGTTAATTCACTTAGGATAATGGCCTCCAGCTGCATCCATGCTGCAAAGGACATGATTTTGTTCTTTTTTATGGCTGTGTAGTATTCCATAGTGTATATGTACCGCATTTTCTTTATCTAATCTACCCTTGATGGGCACTTAGGTTGATTCCATGTCTTTGCTATTGTGAATCATGCTACAGTGAACATATGAATGCGTGTGACTTTTTGGTAGAATGATTAGTTTTTCTTTGGGTATATAACCAGTAATGGGACTGTTGCCTGGGATGGTAGTTCTGTTTTAAGTTATTTAAGAAATCTTCAAACTGCTTTCCACAGTGGCTGAACTAATTTACATTTTGATCAACAGTATATAAGTGTTCCTTTTCTTTGCAGCCTTGCCGTTATCTGTTATTTTTTGACTTTTTAATAATAGCCATTCTGACTGATGTGAGATGGTATCTTATTATGGTTTTGATTTACATTTCTCTGGTAATTAGTGATGGTGAGCATTTTTTCATGTTTCTTGGCCATTTGTATGTCTTCTTTTGAGATGTATTTGTTATTGAATTTTGCCCATTTTTTTTTTTTTTTGAGACGGAGTCTTACTCTGTTGCCCAGGCTGGACTGCAGTGGTGCAATCTCCGCTCACGGCAAGCTCCGCCTCCCGGGTTCATGCCATTCTCCTGCCTCAGCCTCCTGAGTAGCTGGGACTACAGGCGCCTGCCACCATGCCCGGCTAATTTTTTGTATTTTTAGTAGAGATGGGGTTTCACCGTGTTAGCCAGGATGGTCTCGATCTGCTGACCTCGTGATCTGCCCACCTCGGCCTCCCAAATCCTCATGCTAGGATTACAGGCATGAGCCACCGCGCCCAGCCAATTTTGCCCATTTTTTAATGGGGTTATTTGTTTTTCACTCATCAAATTGTTTAAGTTCCTTATAGATTCTGGACATTAGACTTTTGTCAGATACATAGTTTGAGAATATCTCCCCCATTCTGTAGGTTTTCTGTTTATTCTGTTGATAAACAGATAAACAGTGATTACCTTAGCATTTACAATATACATTTTAAATTTACCTAAGTCCATCTCCAAATAACACCATTTCACTTCATTAGTAGCACAGATAAGTCCTGTGTTAGTCCATTTGGCATTGCTATAAAGGAATGCCTGAAACTGGGTAATTGATAAAGTAAAGAGGTTTAATAGTTCTGCAGGCTGTATAAGAAGCATGATGTCATCATCTGCTTCTGGTGAGGCCTCAGGAAGGTTTTACCCTTGGCAGAAGGCAAAGAGGGAGCAGGCATGTCACATGGCAAGAGAGGAAGCAAGAGAGGTGCCAGACCCTTTTAAATAAACAGCTTTCACATAAACTTACTGCTGCAGAGAGGGCACCAAGCCATTGATGAGGGATCCACTCCCATGACCAAAACACCTATCACTGGGCCCAACTTCCAACATTGAGGATCACATTTCAACATGAAATTTGGAGGGAACAAATACCAAACTATATAAAGTCCCGATTCCTCCTCCCATCCCTTATAATGCTTGTCATTTATTTTACTTACCCATATGCTGTAATAACCCAATGCATTCTTACTAATATTATTTGAAACAAATAGTTATCATTACATTGATTTAGAATAAGAAAAGATCTTACTTTTACCTTCATTTATTCCTTCTCTGATGCTCCTTTTCTCTTTATGCAGATTCAAGTTTCTGACCTATAATTTTCCTCTGTCTAAAAAAGAATCTTAACATTTCATTCGGGTGTGGTGGCTCACACCTGTAATCCCAGCATTTCTTGTAGGGCAGATCTGGTGATAAATTCCTTCCATTTTTGTTTGTCTGCAAAAGTCTTTACTTTCTCTTCACCCAGCCTATCACTGTATATAGGCTGGGTGCAATGGCTAACACCCATAATCCCAGCACTTTGGGAGGCAGAGGCAGGAGGATCACTTCATCCCCAGAGTTCAAGACTAGCCAGGGCAACATAGTGAGACCTCATCTCTACAGAAATAAAAAATAAAAACATTGTCAGGTGTGGTGCAGCACATCTATAGTCCTAGCTACTTGGGAGGCTGAAGCAGGAGGATTTCAAAGTCCAGGAGGTCAAGGCTGCAGTGAGCTATGATCACACCACTGCACTCCAGCCTGGGCAACAGAGTGAGACTGATGCTGAAAAAAAATTTTTTTTAATGATAGCCTAAGAGCTGTGAGAATTAATGTGAATTGCAGGACACATGTATCATCAACACTTTGAACATACTTGTGGCCCTTGTTCCTCTCAGGGCTTTAAAAATCATTTTTATATAATTTAAAAATTATATGTAAATATATATGCACACATACACACACATATACACATGTGTATATATACATATATGTGCATATACATACATGTATGTATATACACACACACACATATATATAAAACTGGATATAGAATTCTAGGTTGGTAGTATATGTCTTTCAACACTTTAATTATTTCATCTGATTGTCTTCTTGCTTGCAGTTTTCGGACAAGAGGTCATTGTAATTCTTATCCATATTTCTCTCTAGGTAATGCGGTATTTTTCCTTTTGTGTCTTTCAAGAATTCTTGTTGTCTTAGGTCTTCTCAGATTAAATATAATATGTCTATGTGTAGTTGAGGGTTTTTTAATGTTTAAAAAATTCTGCTTGGTGTTCTCTGAGCTTCCTGGATCTGTGGTTTGATGTCTATCATTAATTTTGCCAAGTTCTAAGCCATTATAACTGCAAACATCTCTTCTGCTCCATTCCTTTTTTCTTCTCTTTCTGGTATTCCAACTACAAGTATGTTACATTTTTTAAATTTCCCTCAGTTTTTGGTTGCTCTGTTCTGGTTTTGTTTTGTTTTTTTCAATTCCTCTTTTTTCCTTTGCATTTCAGTTTGGAAAGTGTCTGTTGATCTGTCTTCAAGCTCCTCAATTCTTTCCTTAGACTTGCTTAGCCTATTGATAATCCCATTGAAGGCGGTCCCTGTTTCTGCTAAAATGTTTTTTATTTCTAGCATTTCCTTTTGATTCTTTCCCAGGATTATCATATCTCCGCTCGATTACCCATCTTTTCTTAGCATTTTGTCGATTTTTTTCATTAGAGCTCTTAGCATGTTAATCATAGTTATATTAAATTATCTATGTGATAATTCTGACATCTGTGTCATATCTCAGTCTGGTTCTGTCACTTGTTTTGTCTTTTGAAGCTGTGCCTTTTCTTATCCTTTGGTGTGCCTTGTAAATTTTTTGTTTATCAGGTAATAGAAACTGAGGTAAAGAGCCCTCTACTGTGAGGGTTTATGTTATTCTGACAGGGAGTCAGGTATGAGGGGGAGAATAGTGTTCTATATTCTCCCAATTAAATGCCTTACAGTGAGCCTGTGCCTCGGGCTGAAACCTTCACAAGTATTTCCCAGTGTCATAGCTTTTGCAACTTGGGAGTGACAGGAGAGCTAGAAGGGGCTGGAGTTGGGGAAATGCCCTTCACCCAGGTGGGATAAGGCTCTGGAAACATCTTTCCCCAGAAGAGTAGTACTTTGTTATGGAAATTGCTCCACAATTACTCTTCACCCCTGCCCCCTACCTGCCTCCTACCAGGCTCTTCTGCGCTCTTCACAGTGAGAAACTGGTTCCTGGAGGTAAAGTCCATGAAAGCGTGGAGCCCCCAAGACTGCACACCCCCAGGATCTCTTACTCTCAGGGTAGCCTGTCTCAGCAGTTGATCAGAACTACCATTTAAACATCTGTGTCTGTTTGTGTCTCCCGTGGCTTCTACTCCAGTAAGCCAGTCTTGGCCACAACTCTCTGGACTTCCCCATTTCCCTGATTTCAGGAGAGTGATTTGCTCTACAATCTCAAGTCTCTGATGGGTCTGAGAAAGTTAGTGATTTTCAGGTTGTTCTGCTTTTTCCGGTGGAAGGATGGGAGCTCTTTACATGTTGAGGGTGAAAATAAAAATCCATTCTTTTTTCAGAATGTTTTTGTCCCTCCCTATTCTTTCCTTCAGGCCCTCTAATTACTTGTATACTAGGCCACCTGAAATTGTCCCATAGCTCAATGATACTCTTATCATTTTAAAACAATTCTTGTTTTTTCATTTCATTTGGAATATTTTCTATTGGTATATCTTTAAGTAATCTCATCCAGTGTATTTTTTATCTCAGACATTGCTGTGTTCATACTGACAGCTCAATTTGGTTCATTCTTACATTTTTCACATCTCTCCACATCTCTGTTTAGCTCTTTGTACATAGGGAATGCAGTTACAATAACTGTTTTAATGTCCTTGCCTGCCAATTCTAACATTCATGTCTGTTCTGGGTTTGTTACAATGGGTTGATTTTTCTCCCCATTATGGGTGTATTTTCTTGCTTCCTTGCAGATCCCACAATTTTTTATTGGTTGCAGATGTTGTGAATTTTGCCGTGTTGGATACTGGATACGTCTGCATTCCTATGAACACGGCTGAGCTTTGTTCTGGGATGCAGTTAAGATACTTTGGAACAACTTGTTCCTTTCATATCTTGCTTTTATGGCTTGTCAGGCAGGCCTGGGACATTACTCCATCCAGGGCTAATTATTCCCCACTGCTGGGGCAAGACCCTTTTATTGGTACACTACCCAATGCCCTGTGAATCATGACATTTTCCAGTCTGGCTGGTGGGAACTGGTTCTTCTCCCAGTTCTGCATAGGTACTGGGTCTTGCAGCCCCGAACCCTTTCAGTTGGTCCTTCCAGGCTTGGGTCATTCCCTCCCAGGCCTGTGATGAATGTATCCTGCTGAATATTTTAGGGGGAACCTTCTGGAGATCTCCAGGGTTCACTCTTTGTACCACTCTCTTCTCTGCCCTGCAAACTCTAGCCACCTTGGTCTCCCCAAACCCCCAATTCTGTTACCTCAACTTGGATTCATTGGGCTCTGCCTCAATTTTCCTCCCTGTATTGCAGTCCAAAAACTCTCTCAGGGCAGCAAGACAAGGCAATTGTAGGGCTCACTTTGTTTTTCTTCTCTTGGGGATCACTGTCCTTCTTTGCCCAATATCCTTTCTTGAAAACCAGTGTTTCTTTTTTTTTTTCTTCTTCAATCTTTTTGCTTATTATTTCAGCTGAGAGGGGAAACCCAGTTCCTGTTACTTCGTCTTTGCCAGAAGTGGGTGAAAAGCCTTGGAGAGTGTCATCAGTTTTGACTTATTTTCTGGCTTTGGAGTAAAGGCAGGTTCAGGGACTTCTACTTGTTCTTTCCTGCCATAATAGGTCTTACCACAAAGGTCAAGGAGCTGATGAAGGAGTCTGCCTGCTTATGGGTCCATGTTGATTATTTGTGTAGGAACTGGGGGCGTAATCTTCAAATGGGTTCATGAACATAGCCCACCCCATGAGATAGACCTGGGCCAGATTTCCACTTATTATCTAACTCCCCTATGCTGCTTCTTTAATGGGGGGCCCATGATGGCACTTGGGTCCCCTAGTACCAGTGTTATGAGTGTTATGCAGACTCCATATGCAACAGCCCTGCAAAGATAGTTGTGTCCCTCAGTTATCAGCTGTGATGATCTGATTCAGTGGCTGTAGGTCCCTTGGGGAAAGGACTGAGGACATACCACAGGTTGCATTTGGTATGCTGTTTCAGGGTCCTGCCTCATGGGGACCCAGCTTCTCTTTCCATTGGTGAGTCTGGGTCTGAGAACTGGCTGAGGTCTGGAAATGGTCAAGGGGTCAGGATTGCATTTGAGAGAATGATCTCAGCCTCAGGCATCCAGTCTTGATCCCTTGTTTCTATATTAAAGGGTCACCTGGTTGGTTGCCCACCTGTCCCCTCTAGGAGCATCATGCTCTATTATCCTTCTCAAAGACCCCTGTGGGTAAGGCCAACTGGTGCCATTTCCTCTTTGCTGCCCGAATTCACTTTCTGTGGCTGCCATAACTAAGTACCATAGACTGGGGGACTTAATAACCAGAAGTTTATCCTCCTCAGTCCTGAAGGCTGGAATCCAAGATCAAGGTGTCACAGGGCTGGTTCCTCCTGAGGCTTCTCCCCTTGGCTGGCAGATGGCTGCCTTCTAGCTGTGTCCTCACAGGGTCCTCCCCCTGTGTGTGTCTGGGTTCTAATCTCCTCTTCTCACAAGTATATCAGTCAGGTTGGATTAAAGCTGCTAGAATTTGGATGTTTGTCCACTCCAAACCTCATGTGGAAATTTGATCCAATGTTGAAAGTGGAGGCCTAATGGGAGGTGTTTGGGTCATGGGAGTAGATCCCTCATGAACAGGTTAATGCCCTCCCTGGTAGAGCGGGGCAAATGAGGTCTCACTTTATTAGTTCCCTCAAGAGCAGGTTGTTAAAAAGAGGCTAGCACCTCCCTCCCATCTCTCTGGCTTGCTCTCTTGCCATACGGTCTCTGCACACACTGGCTCCCCCTCACCTCCACCATGAGTGGAAGCAGCCTGAGGCCCTCACCAGCAGCAGATGCAGGCCCCGTGCTTCCTGTACAGCCTGCAGAACCATGAACCAAATAAACCTCTTTTCTTTATAAATTACCCAGTCTCAGGTGTGCTTTTATAGTAACACAAGTGGACTGAGAAAATTGGTACTGAGAGTGGGGTGTTGCTATAAAGATACCTGAAAATGTGGAAGTGGCTTTGGAACTGAGTAATGGGCAGAGGTTGAATGAGTTTGGAGGGCTCAGAAGAAGACAAGAAGATGAGGGAAAGTTTTAAACTTCTTGGAGACTAGTTAAGTGGTTGTGACTAAAATGCTGATAGACATGCAGGCAATAGAGGCCATGCTGATGAGGTCTCTGATAGAAATGAGGAACTTACTGGGGACTGGAGCGAAGATCACCCTTGTTAACCCCTAGCAAAGGTTGCAACTGCATTGTGTCCGTGCTTTAAGGCTTTGTAGAAGGCTAACCTTAAGAGTGATGACCCAGAATGTTTAGTGGAAGAAATTTCTAAGCAGCAGAGTGTTCCAGAAGTACCATGGCTACTTTTAACAACTTACAATCACTACAACAGCAAAGGAATGATCTAAAGGTAGAATTTCTAATAAAAAGGGAAGTAGAGCATACAAATTTAGACAATTTTCAGCCTGGCCTGTGGTAGAGAAGCAAAGAATGTTTTCAGGAGAGGAATTCAAGGTCCTTTGTGACACCGGTTGCTAGAGGGGTTGGCATGACTGAAAGAGGGTATAATGCTAACAGTCAAAACAATGGGGAAAGGGCCCTGAAGGTATTTTGAAGGACTTTGAGGCCACCCTGCCCATCACAGGCCCAGAGGCCTAGCAGAACAGAGTGGCTTGGAGGGTCAGGTCCAGGGTGCCACTGCTGTGGACCACCTTGGGATGCTGCTTCCCACATCCCAGCCACCCCAGATCCAGCCATGGTCCCAATGGCCTCAGATACCGCTTGGACAGCTGCCCTGCAGAGCACGAGGCATGGGACTTGCTGGCTTCCATGTATTGTTAAGTCTGCAGGAATCCAGAATGCAAAAGTGCTGGAGGTTTGGCCACTTCCATTTAGATTTCAAAGGGTGTATTGGAAAGCCTGGGTGCCCAGGCAGAACCCTGCTGCAGGGATAGAGCCCTTCGGAGATATTCTTCTACTGGAGCTGTGGGAATGGGGCTGCCAGGGGGACCCCAGAATTACAGAGACACCAGCAGTGTGCAATCGCAGCCTGGAAAAGCCCCAGGCATTGGACTCCAACCTGTGAGAGTAGCCACGTGGGCTGGGCTCAGCAAAGCCATGGGGGCAGGGCTGTCCAGAGTCCTGGGAGCCCACCCTTCCTTCCAGCGTGGGATGTGGGACATGGAGTCAAAAGAGATTTGGGAGCTTTAAGATTTAATGTCTGTTCTGCTGGGTTTCAAGCTTGTGTGGGACCTGTCCTGCCTTTCTTTTGGTCAATTTCTTCCTTTTGGAATGGGAATGTTTACCCAATGTCTGTCCCACCATTGTACCTTGGAAGTAAATGACTTGATTTTGATTTTACAGGCTCATACCTGAAAGAAACTTGCCTTGAGTCTTAGATGAGACTTTGCACTTTGGACTTTTAAATGGATGCAGGAAGAAGCTAAAACTTTAGGGGACTCCTGAGATGGGATGATTGTATTTTGCATGTGAGAAGGACATAAATTTGGGGGGACTGGGGAGGAATGCTATAGTTTGGATGTTTGTCCCCCAACCTCATGTTGAAATTTGATGCCCAGTGTTGGAGGTGGGGGCCTGATGTGAGCCGTTGGGGTCATGAGGATGGATTCCTCATGAGTGGATTAATGCCCTCCCTGGAGGAGGGTGAGAACTAAGTTCTTACTTTGAGTTCCCATGAGCACTGATTGTTAAGAAGAGCCCAGCACCTTCCCTCTCTCTTGGTTCCTCTCTCACCATGTGGTCTCTGCACACCGGCTCTCACCCTCCCGCCATGAGTGGATGCAGGCTGAGGCCCCCCCCAGCAGCAGATGCAGGTGCCATGCTTCCTGTACAGCCTGCAGAACCATGAGCCAAATAAATCTCATTTCTTTATCAATTACCCAGTCTCAGGTATTCCTTTATAGCAACACAAACAGAGTAAGACAAAAGCCCACACCCATGACCTCGTTAGGACTCTCACACTGGATCTTGGATTGTGAATTTATAGATCTGAACTTGGGGTTTTCTTCCTTCAGGACCTTCATGGCTCTCAGCAAAAGCTGCCCGTTCCACAGCTCTTTGCTTAAGGTTTCCCCATAGTTCTCAAGTGCTGGGGACATGGCACCAGGTGGTCTGTGATCCCACAGTGTTCTGCTCTAGCCTGCCAGGGGCTCTATCCACTCCTCCCCTGCTCACCCCCATGAGGGGCTCCTCCTTGCCCTGGTCAGTGAGAGAGCTGATCACAGAGCCCACACCTGGGCTCAGCTTCCCAGTGCCATGCCTGGCACCAACTGTCTCAGGCCTGTTCCCCTGAAGAAGAATCTGCAGTGGGGTTTCTCATGCATGGGATTTGTTGGGGGAGGGGTGCCCTCCCAGGAAGAGAAGAGGCTGAGAACACAGGCAAGCAAGAGGGGGTCTCGGCAGCAGACAGCCTCAGGGAGCTCTGGGGCATAAATTGTACTATAGTAGGCTGGGCTTTGAGGTAAGGGGACTGGGTTTCATATTCCTGGGTGGTCACTCCTAGCGTGGGCTGCCCCTGGGCTGGGGCATAGCCTCCTGTTTGCCTGAGAACGAGTCACTGAGGAGGGGCAGCTGTGAGTACTTGCAGCCAACCTCTGTGGCTGGGAATGGTTGCAGAGCCAGTGTAGGAGTCAGGTGGAGCCGAGGGTGTAAGGGCCAGGCGGAGCAGAGGCTGGTATAGGGACCCAGTGGGCACAGGGCATGAGGACCCAGTGAGGCGCTGGCAGCATGCTGCAGGCTGGACAGCTCCAGGCACCTTTCTCATTACCACGTGTCCTCCTCGCACCGGGCATTGTGAAGCTTCCAAGGCTGGGTCCACAGGGCGTTGGAACAGGGGGAGCCCACAGAGAGCCTGCCAGGCATGGGGGCTGTCCTGGGAAGCTGCTCTGGCCCCAAGAGGTGCCTTGGGAAGGCTTGGCCTGGCCACAGTCCTGCAGCACCCCCTGGGCATGGGACGGGGGTGCCCAGCTCAGCCAGGCTCAGAGGTCCTGGCCCCCTACAGCAGGCAGCGGGCAGCATCCACACCTGTAGGTCTCCTTGTCCCAGCAGGTGGGACTCCAGGCACACTCGCTGCAGCAGCGGTGTCTGTCTGAGCCTGCCGGCCTGGGTGGGCACCGCTGAGGACGTTTTTTGGGCGTTGGTGCCAGGGTGTCGGTGCTGGGCGTTGGTAGTGGTGTCCCTGTGGGCAGGCAGCTGTGCTGGGAGGGCGGGTGTTGCTGGGTGCCCATGGGTGTGGCTGTGGCTGTGGGTACGTGTGGCTGTGAGAGGATGGGCACGTCTCTGCGTGCCTGTGTGTGCCCCTGTTTTGTGTGTCTGTGTGTGCCCATACGTCTCTGTGCACCTGCATGTGTCTGAGCATACCTGTGTGTGTCCGTGTGTGGCTGTGCGTCCCTGTTGTTTGTGCATGATGGTGTGTATTTGTGTTTATCTGTGTGTGGCTCTGTGTGTCTGTGTTTTGTCTGTTCATGTCTGTGTGGCTATGTGTACTGTGTGTGGCTGTGTGTATTTGTGTTTATCTGGGTATGGCTATGTGTGCCCATGTGTGGCTGTGTGTGTCTGTGTGTACCTTTGTGTGCCCATGTGTGGCTGTGTGTGCTGTGCATGGCTGTGTATATTTGTGTTTATCTGTGTGTGGCTGTGCAAGTCTCTGTGTGTCTGTGTGTCTGTGTGTGTCTGTGTGGCTGTGTGTCTGTGCGTGTCCGTGTGTGTCTTTGTGGCTGTGTGTCTGTGTGTGTCTTTGTGGCTGTGTGGCTGTGTGTGCTGTGCATAGCTGTGTGTGTTTGTGTTTATCTGTGTGTGGCTGTGCATGTCTGTGCGTGTCTGTGTGTGTGCCTTGCGTGTTTGTGTGTGTACCTGTGTGTGCCTGGTGCCCTCCAGGAGAAAGGGGGCAGGGAGCCCATTGCAAGGATGGGCGGTGTACGACCTGTCTCCCTGAGGATTTCTGAGGGTGTGAGGGTGGGGTAGCCACAAGTGTGTCTATGCCGGGCTCCCTGCTGTTTAGAGGGTGGGGTGATAGGCAGCTGAGAAAGGAGAAGGGAAGAAGCAGCTCTGAGCTCCCTCCTGACCTCAGGAGACCCTGCACCCATTGCTGACCGCCCACGGCACCCTGCTCTCCCAGGGGCCTGGGAGCAGCCCTGGGGCCTGGCTGTGAGCGGGGCCTGAGAGGTGGGGCGCGGCCCTCGGGGCTGCCCATCTGGCCCAGGTTACACCTGGCTGGTGCCTACTTTCCTCAGGTGAGGACCTGCGCATCCCAGGCTCAGGGTCCTCTCTGTGAAGGGGGCACGATGGTGAGACCACCCTGAGCATCCGGTGCGCCCAGTGCATCCCGCAGGGAGGCCCCATCCTCAGCTCCTCTGGGGGTCTGTCCGGAGTGCCTCTTGGTCCAGCTGCATCCATCCAGTCTGCTGGCACTGACTGAGCACCTACTGGACACACTGGGATATAGTGGGGGGATCTGGGCCGGGCAGGGACCCCCACAGGGCTTGTGGGTCAGGGCAGGAGAAGGCCCGGGGCAGTGGGGGCAAGCAGAAGCCAGGCTCCGCGGCCTCTGACACTGAGGGCCCCAGGTGGGCCTCCTGGGTGGCTGCTCTCCTGCACCCTCTGCAGACAGCTACCTCACCCTCACGTCTCCCCAAGCCCTGGTCACACACTTGGCCTGTCCACTTGAGGGCCTCGCGGGCTTCTGAAAACTCACTTGTCTGGGACTTGCTCCCGGTCCCCCCTCACCTACCCCACAGTGGCCGTCCTGGTCCCCCTTCCCCTATCCCCCAGCGCCCGTCCCGGTCCCCCCTCACCTACCCCCCCAGCACCCGTCCCAGTCCCCTTCACCTACTCCCCAGCGGCCTTCCGGGTCCCCTCTCACCTACCCCCGCAGCGCCTGTCCCAGTCCTCCCTCATGTACCCTCCAGCACCCGTCCCGGTCCCCCGTCACCTACCCCTCAGCGCCCGTCCCGGTCCTCCCTCACGTACCCCCCAGTGGCTGTCTCAGTCACCCTCACCTACCCCCCAGCACCCGTGCTCCCTCTGGCTACTCCTGGCTTCCATTCCATGGAATTTAGCACCTCGAGCTTCTGTGTGCTCAGTGACACCTCTGATCTCTGCTTCCTTTCCCCCAGGGTGGATGCTTTGCGGGTTCTAGGACTGGGTCTGTTTTGCTCCTGGCTGTGACCCAGTGCCCAGAGTGGAGCCTGGCTTGTGTATGAAGGGGACAAATGTGTACCCCTGAACGAGGACTGGGGTGTGTGGCCTGGCTGGGGAGGCTGCGGAGCCTTCCTCACAGGAGAGGGTCCAGTAGAGTTAATTTGGGCAAAATGCAGGTGTGCAAAGGCCCTGCGGCTAGTCAGGCATGGACCTGCAGAGGCTGGGGTGGGTGGGCACCACCCAAAGCCTGGGGAGGCAGGTGGGCCGGCCTAGTCCTAGCACAAAGGCTCTGTGTGGGTTCTGCCTGTGACTTTACCAAAGGCCGACGGATAGCCCTGGGGGCCTCTAAGCACGGAGACGTGCCCACTGATGCCCATGTTTGCAGAGGTCAGGCTGACTCCCCAGAGGAGGATGAGCAGAGGCAGAGTGGCAGAGCAGGAGGGTAAAGGGAGACCACGGAGATGTCACTGCCCTCCCGATGGCGTGTCTGAAGGACAGAATGTGGGGGCAGGAAGGAGCAGCTGCCAGCGGGGCAGGTGGCAGGGCAGGTGGCAGGGCAGTAGTACCCAGCATCAAGGTCCGGCCTGGCGAGGAGGCCCAGGCGGTGAGGAGCCCCGGGGCTCGGGCCTGGGGCAGCTGGACCCGTGCTGCCGTCTGTCGTCTGAGAGTGACAGAGGGCAGCTGGCTTCTGGGTTGGAGCACAGGGGAGAGGGAGGCGGCCTAGCGGGAGACGGACTGTGGCCTGCGTGTAGCCGGCAACTGTGGCAGGAAGATGAGAGGAGGCCGTCTGGAGCAGCTCCGGACCCAGTGGAAGAGGCCGTCCCGCAAGGACCTGGGGAGGAGCAGCAGAGCGGGGAAGAAACAGATGAGGGGCTGGGAAGGCAGGAGGAGGTCTCCAGGGCTGGAGGCCAAAGCACTGGGCCCCTTGGCAGTGCGGGAGCTGACTGACCTGGACTGTGGTTAGAAGAGAGGTGGCATGAGGTGACAGGGAAAGGGAGTGGACAGGCCTTCTCTCTTTCCAGACATTTAATGTGAAGTAAAGAGGTTGGCACGAGCTGTGTGGCAGTCTGTGGACTCAAGGGATGAGTATTTAAGATGGGAGAGAACTGAGCCTGTCTAGAAGCCCGTGGAAGAAATGAGTTACAGGCCACAAAAAGACAGGGAGAAACCGCTAACTCGACATGTGGAAGAGGCCAGGCTGCAAAGGATTGTAGGATCCTGTAGGGTTCTACCCTTAGGACATTCTGGAAACAGCAAAACCATGAAGACAAACGTCAGCGGCTGCCAGGGGTTAGGGAGGCAGGAGGAACAAACAGGTGGAGCATGGAGGATTTCGGGGCCGTGGAACCCCTCTATGGGGTGCTGTAACAGTGGATACAGGGTAGTATTAGTCCAAACCCATAGAACTTATAACACCGAGCTCCAAGCCTCATGTAAACTATGGCCTTTGCATAATAATTAAGTATTGATGTATTTCAAAACAACGTGTAGTGCAGGATAAATATATGCATTGTTATTTGTCAATTACATAAACAGAAATGTTTTTTAAAAAGCATCAGCGTGGATAAGCAAAGTGCGATCTTCTCATACGGTGGGGGATCCGGACCCACGCTGTCACGGGGTGGACCTGAGGCAGGGGCTCAGCGGGAAAAGCCAAACACGGAAGGACGGACGCTGTGTGCTGCCACTCACATGAGGCTCCTACAGTCATCAAATCCGCAGAGACGGGAAGTAGAACAGTGGGTGTCAGGGGCTGGGGGAGGGGTGGGGAGTTTGCTTTGAATGGGGACAGAGTCTCATCTCGGGAAGATGAAAGGGTTCCGGAGATGGATGGCAGTGAGGGCTGCACACCAGTGTGAGTGTCCCTAATGCCCCTGAACTGTGCATTGAAAAACAGTGTACATTTAGGACAGTACATTGATGTGATGTGTTTTTTGCCCCAATAAAAAGTATGCGACTTTAAAAAATGTCCAATGGGTTCCTGGCCACAGCGATGCAAGAGGCCAGTAACGGGGAGACTGCAGGCATGGGGGAGGGCTGGGCAGGGGGTAGAGCATCAGGGAACTTTCTGTACTTTCTGCTCCATTTTCTATAAACCTTAAAGTGTGTTCTTTAAAAAAAAAAAAAAAAAAAAAAAAAAGGCTACCAGTTACAAAACAGAAAAAGCCCAGAGGCCAATGAGGGCACCCGGCATAGCCTGCAGGCCAGTTGGCCGGAGGGGCTGGAGGAGGTTGGGATGGGGCTGGCCCCTGCTGCATGCCCTGCCTGCACCCCTCTCCAGGCTGCAGGTGGGGGTCTCCTGGGGTTTGCCTGTTGCCCCTGGGGCTGTGTGCTCCATGCTAGCAGGAGCCAGGGCAGCCTGCCCACTCCTGCGTTCCCCCAGCAGGGCCAGCTTCTGCTGCCTAGCAGGTCTTCAGGACATTGTGAGAAAGAGTGGATGGACTGGACAAACGTGCTCGGAGGAGTGTGTGTGTGGCCACAGTGGCTCCCAGGGAGGGCCATGCTCAACAGGAGCTGGGATGGTGCCACGGGAGGCTCAGGGCCACAAACCTGGAGATCAAGGCACAGATCAAGGCCGTGGCCAGCCCCAGGCAGAGCTGGGAGTGAGCCAGGCCGCCCGACTGGGGTCTGTGGCCTGGCCTCGGCCCCAGCCCGTCTTGGTTTCCCACACTCAGGGACCCACTGTTTGTGTGTCTGTCTCAGTGGGCTGTCATTTTTAAAAGGAGGTGAAGTTCACATACCCAGAATTAGCTATTTTCAGTGCACAATCCAGCGTATCCAGCACGATCTCAGTGCTGTGCGACCCTCACCTCGGTCTAGCTCTGGAGCACGTGCATCCCCCAGGCGGAAACCCTGTCACTGAGCGGTCACTCCCCGTCTCCACCACCCCCCTCCCTGGGCGGCCACCCATCTATTTTTGTCCCTATGGATTTGCCTATTCTGGACATTTCATATAAAGGGAGTCCATCACCACGCGGCGTTGTGTGCCCGGCCTCTTCCACCGAATGTGGCGTTGGTGAGGCCTGTCCATGCTGCAGCCTGCATCTGTCCATCATTCCTCGCATGGCCCAATAATGTTCCATTGTACAGGCAGACCACAGTGGGCTCGTCTTTTTTTTTTTTTTGAGACGGAGTGTCACTCTGTCGCCCAGGCTAGAGTGCAGTGGTGCGATCTCTGCTCACTGCAAGCTCCGCCTCCCGGGTTCACGCCATTCTCCTGCCTCAGCCTCCCCAGTAGCTGGGACTACAGGCGCCTGCCATCGCGCCTGGCTAATTTTTTGTATTTTTAGTAGAGACGGGGTTTCACCGTGTTAGCCAGGATGGTCTCGATCTCCTGACCTCGTGATCCACCCGCCTCGGCCTCCCAAAGTGCTGGGATTATAGGCGTGAGACACCATGCCCGGCCTGGGCTCGTCGTTTTCGTGGTTGGTGCATGCCGGGGTCGTTTCCACCTGTTGCCTCTGGTGAGTGATGCTGCCGGGAACATGGGTGTGCACGTGTCTGCCTGAGTCCCTGCTTTCACTTCTGGGGATAGACCTGGGGTGGGATTGCTGGTCACACGGTAGTGCTGGGGGTAACCGGCCTGCGTGGACCGGCCAGGGCATTTCCCATGGCAGCTGTGCTGCTGACGTCCCACAGCTGTGTGAGGCTTGCTCACGGGGCTCTAACTGCATGCCCACTCCTGGCCCGTGGGTCTGGAGTACACAGAGAGTGGCCGGCTCTCAAGCGTCTGAGCAGCTCCCACAGCCTGGGCGCCTGCCTGGTGTGGAGGGGTCGGGGCAGGTGTCTTGCTGGGGACTCCAGCAGCTTCCTCTGGACTTGTCTCCCGGCTCCAGGGTTGCTGGGAGGCTAGTTCTAAAACAGGGGAGAAGCCGTGTGCTCTCTCTGCCCACTGGGAGCCCCAGTGTAGGACGACTGTGCCCTTGTGGGGTGGGGGGAGCTGGTGCCCACACCACGCCAGGCAGCTCCCCCACCCTGGCCTCAGGCAGAGCTGCCATCCTTCTCCCCTTGGTTTAACCATTAACTGGTCGCCTGCGGTGCACCCGGAGACAATGGCGTGTTTGTTCAGCGCAGTCCGCAGGGGCCTGTGCAGGGTCTGGCACAGTCATCAAAGCTTTGCGATTAAGACTATTAGGGACGGGATTTGTGCAAACAAAGGGACAGGTGCAGGGGCCAGGCCAGCTGCTGGGGCCGGGTGCTCTGCTGGGAGGCCATAAACCTCCCTGGGCCATGGGGCCTCCCTTGCCTGCAGCCCGCTCACTGAGGCTTTGCTGTTTGCCCAGGCACAGAGGCCGGGCTGCACAGGGCAGTGTGTCCCCAGGGCATCCTGCTCCCCCCACCCCTTGGCTCCTGGGCTGCCTGGAACCTGGTTGGCTCAGGAGCTTTTTATCTACAGCTCCTCTGTCTATGTCCCCTTGGCAGGTCCTTTTTAACATGAGTCCTCCTCCAGTGAAGGAAAGGGTCATGCCAGGGCCTGCACCTAGGGCCTCCGTTCTCCAGTGGGTGTCTTTGCATGAAACGGCCTGGGCCCTGGCACTTGCCCCACCAGCGCTGCCTGCAACCTTGTCCCTGTACCTCGGGCCTCCACCACATCCCTGGACCTGCACGAAGGAGCCCTGAGCATGGAAGTCAGGGGAAGGGAGGTCTCGACATGAGCCCAGCCATGGCCAGAGTACTGAGCCCAGGGCCAGCAGCCTCGGCTGGCAGTGCAGGGTGATGGGTCTGTGGGCCGGGCTGCCCAGGGACCTCGGCCCTGGGGTCTGAGGGGCACCAATGCCTTTTGCAGGCCACCATTTCCCTTTCCACTTTCCAAATGTGATTGGACACAGGTGGATGCACCTGCCTGCCCAGCAGACAGCCCGGTTCTGACCCGTGTGGAGCTGCGTGGACTGGGCTCACCTGTGCCTTCTTGCATCAACCAGGTGTGGACCCTGACAAGGTGCCAGCCACTGTCCTCCAGGAGCTACCTCAGGGACACGCAGGGAGGGACTGGACAGACAGATGGAGCGCAGTCCTTGCTGCCCGGCCAAGCCCTTGTGGGCAGGGCAGACTCCTTCAAGATCATCAAATGAAAGCAGGCAAAAACCACGTCCTTTTGTGACCTAAGCTTGGAAGCAATGTTGTCACTTCTGCCTCATCCTATTGGTTAGAAGTGAGCCAGGAGGTCCTGTCCACATCCAAGGTGGGAGTCCCCGCAGGACGGGGCCTGGGAGGTGGGCCCATGGGCTCCAGAGGGGCTGGACCACAGCAAGAAGAACGAGGCCAACCTCCATGGGTAGCGCAGACCGGCTCAGGCCCTGCCCTTCCCGCCGGGGTCCCCTGTGACAGGACGCAAGGGCACAGCTGCGGAGCAGGGTGGGCTGTTAGAGCTGGGCAGAGGCCACAGTGGCCAGAGGGCTGGTGAGAGTGGCTCTCCTGCTGCCCTAGCCACTGGCTGAAGATCTGCCTGGGGAGGAGTGGGTTTGGGCGGCCGGGCCTAGGACCCCTTCATAGCTACCACTAATACTCATTCTCTGCTCCTGAGAAACCTCCTCCAGGGGCCTCTGGGGTCTTGGAGATGAGACAGAGGGACCTCAGGCAGGACAGACAAGAGACCCTGGTCTCGGGTGTCCACAGAGCGGGAGCCAGGCAGGCTGGGCGGAAGTCCTAGGCTTGGACCCTGTTACGGGACTTTCCCTGTCAGAATGGGCTCAGGAGGGAGTGAGTGCGTGGTCCTCAGGTGTGCAAGTGCCAAGGCTGGAGCCCACCCCCTGGGAAGCAGGGCCAGGGTGGCTGGGGCGGACTTGATCCCTGGAGAGGAGCGTGGGCAGCCAGGGCAGGGAGGAGGGCAGGCAGGAGGGAGGTCCAGGCCTGTGGGCCGACAGGGGGTGAGGAGGCAGTCTGGGGACCTGAGAGAAGGCCGAGTGGCTGTGGGGTGGGTGACCTGGGGCCCTGACTCTGCCTTACCCTTGGCCATGGGGCCACATTCATGCTCGGCCCCCGCCCAGCCTGGGCTGGGAAGGCATCAGCCTGGCCATGAGGCAAGGGGCCGGCCATGCCTGGGGCCAGAGGGGGTCCCCCAGCCCTTCGCCTTCTCTCCATCTCCTGAGTAGGGCCCCTGCCCTGCTCTGACAGGGTGGTCACCTTGCCCCGCTCCGTGCCCAGTCCTGAGCTGGCAGTGTCTCCAGCCTTTGCAGCGTGGCCCTGTCTGCCTCTGTGTGTGTCTGGGCTCCTCTCATTTGGCCGCCCTGCCCGTCTACACTGGTGCCCCCCCACCTGCACTGTCCACCGGGCCAGGCTCTGTCTCTGCCACCTGTTGGGTGCTTGCCAGACTCCGCCATCCTCTCCGCTCCCAGCTTGCGGCTTCTGCCTCCACTGGCCTGGGCCTGCCCTGCCGCCGCCTCCTTGTGCCCTGGCTGTCTGCTGCCCCCTCTGCTGCCCATTGGCCAGCCGCTGAGCTCCCTACCAGGAAGAAAAAGGGCCAGGCCATGCCGGACCAGGACTGGGCACAGCCTCCAGCACTCCAGGTGGACAGGCTGAGAAGCGCGGCGAGCGAGGCAGCCTGGGACGGGTGATTTCTGGAACATGGGGCCAGCCAGCCTTGGCGTGAGGTGTGGACAGCTGCCAGCTTCTTCTCAGGGCTGCTCACAGGCAGCGGGGGAGTGACCCCGTTTTCTGCTTGGCACCTGGCTTGCCATCCCGCTCTACCCCAGGGCACTCAGACCTCAAACTCCTCAGCTGCCTGGAACACCAGGGAAGCCCAGGCTATGTGAGCCTGTGCCCAGCAGGCCAGGGGGCACCAGGACATCCCCCTCTTCTCTGATATTCCAAACCTTCCTGCCTTTGAGGAATGCCTCCCGGTCCTTCTGGTTTTCTAGGCCATGGGCTCACCCTGGTCTGCCAGCTCTGGAGCTCTGAGAATATTCCTGCAAAATGCACATCCCAGGCCTGGCCGCAGACTGTGAGTCACAGGTAGGGCCTGGGATCAGCATTTTCATGGATTCTGCAGGCACTGCTGAGAGCAGCTGCCCGGGGTCAAGCCAGGGCGTGGGCTGTCCTCATCAGGCTCCCCTTCTCAGAGGCCGCCCTTCTGGCCTGGCCTGCACCTTTCCCCACTCACTGCCCACCAGCTGCAGACACACTCACTCCTGCCTCAGGGCCTCTGCACGGTGCAGACATTCCTCCCACAGCTTCCCAGGGAGGCTGAAGAGCAAGGAACCTGCCTCTCCTCACGGAGCCCTCTGCTCCCGCCACACGGCTGGATTTTTCTTGGATGCCAGCGTTTGACATCTCTATGTGAGATCTGCTTCTTCCCTGATCGTGACATTCCCTCCACCAGCAGGCAGCCGCATGAGGACCAGCGCCTGCTCACCGCTGTGTCCCTCCTACGTGCGGGGCAGGCACCCAGCAGCAGGTGTTCGGTGCCCACTGGGAGCGTGCCTGGGCCCCTGCTCCTGCTCCTCAGAGGGAACAAACAACTGACCTGCTGATGGAGGCTGTGAACCCACACGGGTTGTCTGCAGACGTAACGGGGCATCTCCTATGACGCTTCTGGAGAGGGCAAGGCTCCACGGCTGAGGGCTTTCTTTGGGTGACAACCATGTGAAATGCCATGACCTTGTGCCACCCCGTGGCAGATGACTCTCTCAGAAGGTGGTGCGTACCCTTTCCCCATTATGGTGTGGACACGCAGATGTGGGGCCTCTCCCACCTCTTACAACTGGGGCAGGCTGACAACCACAGTAGAAGGGACACCCTGGAACTCCCAGACCACATCATAAGAGGCCACGCAGCTTCCTCCTGGAGCTCTCGGGCAGCTGCCCTTGGAGCCTGACTGCCATGCTGTGAGGAAGCCCAGGTGCCACCGAGGCGGCACATGCAGATGTGCAGCCAATGGCCCTGGCAGAACCTGACAAAGTCAGCACCAGCCACCAGACCTGCCAGCAAGGATGCTCTGAGCCGACGTCCACTCCAGCTGTCGTCTGACTGCCCACGAGACACCCTGAGTGAGCACTGCCCAGCTAAGACCCGTCAACTCCAGAACTGTGAGAGGCGATGGTTCCACGACTTCCTGGCTGTAGTCACTGCTGTTGGGCAGCTGTGGGTGACCCTGAAGGGACACTCTGATAAGGGACATCTGCCTGCATGTGTGACCTGAGTCCCAGCCTCAGCTTTCTCATGTGAAAAATCAGGACCACGGTAGACCCTACCTTATAAGGCAGCTGCAAGAGTGAAATACAATGGAAAATGTACACAAGATAGGGTGGCTGTTCGACGCCCTCTTGGTTCTTCAAATCTAAGGCCCATGTCAAGTTTTACCATCATTTTGCCATCATGATGAGAAAAGAAATGAGACCAGCCTGACCAACATGGAGAAACCCCATCTCTACTAAAAATACAAAATTAGCTGGGCATGGTGGCACTCGCCTGTAATCCCAGCTACTGGGGAGGCTGAGGCAGGAGAATCACTCGAACTCAGGAGGTGGAGGTTGCAGTGAGCCGAGATCGCACCATTGCACTCTGGCCTGGGCAACAAGAATGAAACTCTGTCTCACAAAAAAAAAAAAAAAAAAAAAAAAAGAAATGGAACTTAAACAAGGAAATAGTGTTTTCCTTGTTTTGTTTCTTGCTTATTGAAAGCACCTTGCCTGATGGGTTGAGGGAGGGATTTTCATAAATCACTGTTGTATACACACGTAGAGAGAAAATACCAGCAAGTAAGGGTTACTGTCCCCACATTTGAGTCCACTTCCTCCGGGTCAATTTTGTCTAGAGTCATTGCACCGAGGCTGTCCCTCATACACTCTTCCTTTGGGCCATGTACAGGGCTGGGGGACACCCGTTCCCCAAGAGGGGCCTCCACGATTGACCCGGGAACTTTTGCTTGCTCTGCCGGTATCTAGATCTTACCAGCAGGTGCCAGCAAATGATCTCTGGACGGCGCCCCAGACTCACTGTCCTTCCCTAGATGGGCCCTTGAGGCTTGGGATGGAAGTGTAGAGGGGTCACTGCCAGGTGATACAGTCAGGTTCATCCGTGTTGAGCTGGGGCCACCATGTCATGAACCTGGCTGTTGGCAGCATTCACATGAAACCTGCTTTCAGAGACAATAAGTGTAAACAAATGTCTTAGGATCAGTGCATTGTGTCCCGGATAAGCCCCTTCTCCCAATGTCCCTCCACAACACTCACACGAGGAAAGGAGGCTGGGAGGTGGGGAGGCTGGGAGGTGGGGAGGCTGACAGGCTGGGAGGTGGGGAGGCTGAGAGGTAGGGAGGTGGGGAGGCTGGAAGGTAGGGGCGTGGGGAGGCTGGGAGGTAGGGAGGTGAGGAGGCTGGGAGGTAGGGAGGCTGGGAAGTAGGGAGATGGGGAGGCTGGGAGGTAGGGAGGTAAGGAGGCTGGGAGGCAGGGAGGCTGGGAAGTAGGGAGATGGGGAGGCTGGGAGGTAGGGAGGTGGGGAGGCTGAAAGGTGGCAGGCTGGGAAGTGAGGATGCTGGGAGGTGGGGAGGCTGAGAGGTAGGGAGGTGAGGAGGCTGGGAGGTAGGGAGACTGAGAGGTAGGGAGGTGGGGAGGCTGGGAGGTAAGGAGGCAGGGAGGCTGGGAAGTAGGGAGGTGGGGAGGCTGGGAGGTGGGGAGGCTGAGAGGTAGGGAGGTGGGGAGGCTGGGAGGTGGGGAGGCTGAGAGGTAGGGAGGTGGGGAGGCTTGGAGGTAGAAAGGTGGGCAGGCTGGGAGGTGGGGAGGCTGGGAGTTGGGGAGGTTGGAAGGCAGAGGGGCTAGGAAGTGGGGAGGCTGGAAGACTGGGCTGTTGGGAGGTAGGGAGGCTGGAGGCTGGGCAGTAGGGAGGTGGAGAGGCTGGGAGGTGGGGAGGCTGAGAGGTGGGGAGGTGGGGAGGCTTGGAGGTAGAAGGTGGGCAGGCTGGGAGGTGGGGAGCCTGGGAGGTGGGGAGGCTGGAAGGCTGGGAAGTAGGGAGGTTGGAAGGCAGAGGGGCTGGGAAGTGGGGAGGCTGGAAGGCTGGGCTGCTGGGAGGTAGGGAGGCTGGAGGCTGGGAGGGAGGGAGGTGGGGAGGCTGGAGGCTGGGAGGGAGGGAGGTGGGGAGGATGGCTGGCTGGGATGTGAGGAGGTGTGGAGGCTGAGCCTTGGCAGAATGTGGGCTTTTTTCAGCGAATCACTAGCCCCTGAAGACAGCCCAGGTCAGGTGCAGCACCGCCCCAGAGGCCAATTAGTGATTTGTCACCCTCTGCCTTGGGGAACAAGGCTGCCAGGAGTCCTGCCCCCAGCCACAGCATCCAGCTATGCTCCCTGCCCTCTGGCAGGAGGTAGGGAAACCTCTGCTTTCACATCTGTGGGGAGGCCCCCATACTTGGCCCCTGCCCTTCAGGCCCAACCCACCCTGTCATGGAATCCTCTAGAGTCCTTGAAGGGGCAGAGTCCCACCCCCACCAGGAATTCCATCGGTGATCCTAGGAACGGAGTCCCGGAAGGCCTGCTCCTACGGCCCTGGGGGCAGGAATTGAAGCAGGCGCTCCCTTTAGGCAGCGGGACAGGATGGTGCCGTACAGACACTCCAAGTCCCTCTCCGTGTGACTGGATGTCACCACCTTCTGACCCTCAGGCTCCGGAGGGTCCTAGGAGAGGATCCCCGCCCAGGGTTGTGGAGAGGAGCGAACCGGATCCTGGGGTCAGGCTGCGTCCTGGCACCTGGCACACAGTAGGGCTGCCATCAGGCATGTCCACCCATGCTGTGGACCTTTGCTACTGCCAGGGCAGTGGAAGGGGGCACCTAGGCTGTAGCAGGGGAGCTCTCAAGGGCCCCCCCTCTGTGCAGTTCAGCCGAGGCCAGGCCTGTCCCATCAGGGTGAGGCTTCCCTTGGGGTGAGGGGTCCTCCTCACCTCCTGATCGTAAAGGCCCAGGGCTGGGCTAGGGACCCCGGTGTTAAAAGGGCCAGAAAATGCCGTCCAGGCAGATAGTCCCAGGGAGAGGGCCCAGAGCACCTGCCGCCAGGCTAGGGACGCACGAGGGGGCCATGGTGTCACCCAGCACCCAGCACCCCCCAGAAGCTCCTGGATCCCCGTTAAAACTGGGTGATCATTAAGTGGAGTGCGGTTGTGTCACAGCCCCCAGAAGCCCCACCCACCACTCCCCAGCCACCCCTGGGAGCAAGGCCCTCACCCAGAGAGGTGGGGTGTCACCGGCCTGGCCAGAACCTCAGGGTGAGGCAGGGGCCTCGGGTCACTGCAGGGGGCCTCCAGTGGACCCAGGGGTGGGGCTGACCCCAGCCGCTCCCTCTGGAGATAGAGTTCTGGATGTTTCTACCCTTGCTCCGACTGCCAGCCGCCCCTTGGGTGGGGCCCTTTGATGTCCCCGAACTCACAGGTGGGCGGGGCCCCGAGGCCTCCCCTGGCCCTTTGAAGCTGGGAACTCTTGTGGCCCAGTCCCAGCAGACACAGGCTAACACCGCGTTCACCCTGGAGTCCACCGGCTCCCCCAGCCCAGCCCCAGGATCCCAGGCCTGCTCTCCTCAGGGGTCCCTGGAGGGCCAGTTCCCAGCCTGTGGTCCAACATCCTCACCTCCCTGAACCTCCATAGCAATAGCTGCTGGTTTGGCCCCTGGCTGAGCTGTCTCCTGGTCTCCCTTGTCTCCATTAGCACCCTGTTCTTTAGGTAAGGAAACTGAGGCACAGGGGCTTGGGAAGGCAGAAGCCCCACCCACGGGAGTCATCAGGCAGAGGGAGGGAGGTGGGATGGGAGAAATAGGAGGCCACGGGCTTGCAGGGGTCTGTATCCCAGAGTCCCCCTAACCTGAGGGTACCTGCCCCCCAGGCCTCCCGGTGACCTGGCGGAGGGGCCGGCGGCCAGGTCCCAGGCTTGCTGTGCCGGCACCCCACAGAGGCACAGGGGCAGGGACCAGGCCTTATCAGAGCGGCCGCCCGCCACCCGCCTGCAGCTGACAGAGGGATGGGGAGACCAGCCGTAAACCCGTCTGTTCCCCTAAAGGAGAGAGGGAACAAAGGCATAGGCTAATAAAACTCAGATCAAAGCTGACTTATCTCTTCATTTTGCTATTAAAATTTAGAATCAAAAGGGAAGGCGGCCCCTTTATGGTTCAGGATTACAGAGATTTCTGTGCCTGTGGGGCCCTGCAGGGCCCCCGCTGCCCATCCCAGCTTCAGAGCCCTAGCCTCGGGCTGCAAGGGTTCCTGGAGTTGACCTTCCCAAGGGCACTCCTGGGACATGGGCTCCAGGTCCCTCCTGGGCCTCGGGGGGCCACAAGGAGGGAGTGAACAGCTCTACCTAAGGCCCCCTTGAGACACCAAGACACCCCGTGGCTGACCTCCCCACACCGATGGCTCTGCAGGTGAAGGGGTTTCCTGGCCTGCGCCCTGCGCCCTCTTGTCTCTGCAGAAGACCTCCCTCGGTCCCCAGTTCCTGAAACTCCTAGACCCCTCTAGGAGGGAGACAGCCAGAGGGGCAGGGCCTCTGCCAGCTGCACCCAAGTCAAGCCTGGAGGCCACAGGGCTGGGTGGGTGGGTTCCTCTCCTCCATTTCTCGGCTGTCCCAGGTCTCTGGGGTGGGGGGCACCACTCAGCACCGGATGGAGTGGAACCCCTGGAATCTTGGGCAGCCAGGCAGTCACTCCGGCAGGCCCTGCGTCCGCAGCAGAGGCCCCTGTGCACTGCGCAGGTGACACGCGCGGACCTGTCTGCACCTACCCAGGCTTGCTGTGACACACGGTCCAGTCCCGTGTGTGAGCACGTGCCCAAGCTCCCGTCGGCCGGCGCCCCTCCCCCATGCCCAGGGGGGCCCCGCACGCTTCCTGTGCACGCTTCACCTCTTCTCTAACCAACGCCTGAGCTCCCTGCTCCCTGGTAGGAAGCTGGCGGCCCTTCCCTTCCAAACAGGCCTGACAGGTTATGACACTGAAGATTACAAACCTCCCCCAGGGTGGGTGGGGGAGGGGCGAGGAGGGAAGGTAGACTTCGGGGCAGGGGCTTTGAATGGCCTTCAGCCCCTACCCCAGATGTCCCGGTGCCCAGAGGCTGGACCCCGTAACCTTCATCTCCACACTCCAGGGGTGCAGGACATTCCTGGGTGGAGTGTAGGCCCAGGGCCAGGTGAAGGAGCCTTCCCTAGGTGGCTCTTGCAGGCACGGGCCAGGGCGGGGCAGGCGGGGCAGGCAGGGCAGTCCTGCCATGCCCCAGGTGCCCAGGGCTACCCTCTCCACCATGCTCTGAGCCCTGGCATGAGCTGGGTTTGGAGGGAGGGGTTGCCACGTGGATGCAGGTTCCAGGCATGGATGAGGGTGGGGTCTGGCCTCAGCCTCCTTGCTGCCCAGACATTGCATTTTTGGGCAGGGCCTGGCAGACACCTGGGATGAACCAAGCACTAGAGGACCATGTGGTCTAGAACTCATGGGGGTCTTAATGGCCCCCATGGGGGAGGGAGAGGAGGAAGGGTTGAGGGATCCCCTCTGTTTCAGAGGAGTAGAGGACCTTTCTGCTGGGCCTAGAAGACAAGAGTGACTGGACAGCACACAGCTCCTAGCATCCCCTCAGCGGGGTCCTGAGATTCCCCTACAGGGAGACATTGTACAGATGTGTGCACCCATTTATCTACTAAATCTTAATGTGGTATACTGATGCTTGGCAGAGGACTTAGAAGGTACCCAGTTAGCAGTGGGCAGCCCCCCTACCATGGCTAAGCCCCAGGTGGGCCAGGGTTTCAGGGTTACGTTAACTAGCTACCAAGTCTGACATTGGTAAGGATTGGGGTTTCAGAGAACTGGAGGTCTGTTAGGTCTGTTTACAAGAGGGTCAACCCAGGCAAATGTCCAAGCTGGCAGGGACCAGAGTTGAGTCTTTAGACTAAGGATATGGTGTTTGGAATACAGCAAAGGTCTTTCTTCTCAGTTTCCATCCACCCATTTATCCATCATCCCACTTATCCATCTATCCATCTATTCATCCATCCATCCATCCATCCATCCATCCATCCATCCATCCATCCACCTCATCCATCCATCCATCCATCCATCCATCCATCCATCCATCCATCTATCCATCCATCCATCCACCTCATCCATCCATCCATCCATCCATCCATCCACCCATCCACTTATCCATCCATCCATTTTGCCATCCATTCATTCATCCCTTTACCCATCTCTCCCTCTCTTCCTCCCGTCATCCTTTGATCTGTCTGTGCATCTATCTTTAGGCACCTATCTACACATTTATGTATCTATTCATCCATCTATCCATTAACTCTCACCACTTTTATGAGCAGATGGGCATGGGTTAAATCACAACTTATCTCTTATTAGCTTAAGAGCTTTTGGGGTCCAGAGAGTACATGTCTCAGTGTGCCCATAATCATATGGGAGGGGTCCCAGAAGTTCTTTCATGAATAAATCTTCCTAAAGCAGTTGGACTGTTTTATTAATTCAGTTGCTTTGAAAATATCTCTTTTTCACCTTCATAGAGAATTGACCTTTGGTTGTTGGTCGACTCTGAGTCCAGGTTTGTTCTGCAGTTGGGTGGTCCCCGTCCTCTCTTGTGGGGGCTGCTCGAGGGTGAAAAAAGGAACTGGCAGATGACAGGACACCCCCGGGAAGGTGGACAGATGTGGGTGGGCGGCTGGGAGGAAGGGCTGTTGGAATAGGCTGTCTGGGGCCAGGAGGCAGGCAACAAGCCCAGACGCCAGGGCAGTCCTTCCCCAGCTGATGGCCTTGCCCATGCGTCCACCTCTGCAGCCTCCGTGTCTCCTTGGTGAAGTCTGGGAGTGTCTGCTTTGTGGGAAGAGGGTGAGGATCCAACAGGACCGTGGCCCATCGTGGGGGTTCTGTAAAGGGCGTAGGTGTGGCCTTGGTGGAGGTAGTCAAGGCTAAATGAGGGCACAAGTGTGGGCTCTGACCCCATACAGTGAGTATCCTTATAAGAAGAGACCCCACAGCACTTGCTTGCTGTCCATGTGAGCCTGGGGAGGCCCCGACGGGGAGCCAAGAAGCGGGTTCTCACCAGCAACCGCATCTGCTGGCCCCTTGATCTGGGCCGCCCAGACCCCAGAGCTATGGGAAATGAATGCGTAGGGTTTAAGCCCCCAGTCTGTGGCCCTTTGTTCTGGCTGCCTGAGTTGACTGAGCTCTCAGGATAGCGAGCGTCTTTAGTCCCGGAGGCCGCCCACCAGGGCAAGATTGTGCAGGCCACTGCTTTCTCTGCCCTGGCCTGTCCAGAGCCCTGGTCGTTCTGTGCCCGCTCCCTGTCCAGCCCCTGCCTCTGTCTTGCCCTCACCTCCACACCCTGTCTGTCCTGCTCAGCACAGGGGACATTTTCTCCAGGTGGAACGGCCATCCAGTGCTCACCGGTGTGCCCGGGTAGGTGCCAGGGTGGAGGATGGGCTGGGACACGGGTGGGGAGGGGGATCTGGCCTGCCTTAGGATGCAGACTTAGGCCTCTCGGAGGAGCCCCGGTCCTATCCAGCTCAGGAAGGGGGCTGCTGGGCTGAAACAAGCAACTGGGGAGTCTGGGGACCCAGAAACACCTTGGGGCTCTGGGCTCACACCCTGCTAGCTGCAGGGCTGGCCCCGTGAGCCATCAGAGGAGCCAACAGCGCACCTGCGCTGAACGCTGCACCATGAGCTGACCCCGGGCCCCTGCCACCCTGCCGGCCATACCACATTCAGAGTGGGGCAGCATGCAGTAGGCGCTTATAAAGGCCTCGGCCAGAGTGGCCCAGCAACAAGTCTGCAGCAGGGCAGTCATGGGATGGGCCCCAGCTGTGGCCTGGGGGTTCTGTCCAGGGCCCACTGCAGCAACGGGCTGCTCCTGGAGGTGGGGCATTCTCTGTGCTCAGCCTCAGAGGTCCCTGGTGGATGCCAGGTCACCTGACTGTCCAAAAGTTCCAGCAAAAGGGCCCCTGTCTTGGGAAGGCCCAGGCTGAGGAGGGGAGGATGGCCCGACCTTAGGGGACATAGTCAGAGACTATGCTTTCAAGCCTCCATGGCCTCCCTTGCACGGCAGAGAAGTGGGTATAGAAAGTATGGTCAGGGAGCCCAGTGGAGACGGAGCTGGCCAGCCAGGAAGGACCTAGGTATTCTGGGCAGGAGGGTGAGAAGGGCTCCCTCCTCCAGGCCTGCCCAGGCCGCCTCCTGCTCCAGGCTCCGCTAGCTGCCCCGGGCTCCGCTAGCTGCCCTGTTCCCCGCACCACCACGTCCCCTCACGCCTGCGGCAGGGAAACAGGAGATGCTGTGGTTTTGTGACGTCTGCCCTCATGTCCCCAGCTGGAGGCCCTCTGCGGGTCAGCCTGTCTGACTCTCACCCACTCCTGGTTGTCCCTGTCTGCAGGTGCTGGCTGTGCTGGACAAAGGGCTGTGCCTTGGCTGGCAGTCCTCTAGGCCATTGGTCTGTGGCTGTCTGTCTGTGGTGGTCAACCTGCCCAGGGCAGACAGTGAGCTATGCCAGCCAGGCCCTGGCTCCCACTGCTCAGCTCAGAAGGTCCGGGGCTAGGTATGTCTGTGAGGGCTGTGCTGTGCCGACTTCGGACACCCAGGCGCGAGACCCTGCAGGCACAGGTGACTTTTGGTGCTGGAACAGTTGTATTCCCAGCCAGTAGCCAGGCCTAGCGCTAGTTAAAGGAGGGATGCTGGCCCTGTGGAGGCGAGAGGCCCAGCACCAGGTGGCCTCGTCTTGCTGTCCACCAGAACTGGGACGACATGGGGCTGGGCTGGCCTGTGAATGACCACATGGCAGGCCCAGCTCCTAGTTCTGTGGAGCAGGGGCCACGACCCCTTCCCTGCCAGTGGCTGTGAGGACAGGATCCTGGAGGGGGAAGGGATGCACCCGACATCCCTGGGGTGGGTTTTGAGGAGGAGCCCTCCTGATCCCAGGTGAAGATACTGGCCAGGCCTGGTCCCTGGACAGCCCCTAGAAAGGTGCCGCCTGCCAGGTCTCTGGGTCCTTGAGGTGGGCTCAAGGCCACCTCAGCAGACGACTCATGCCATGTCCCCACCCCGACGTGCATGCCAAGTCCAGTGACTGTGGGGACTCCAGGGGCCCCCACTGGCCCCCTCCTCTGTCCCCTGAGCTGGGCTTTGCCCTGGGAGAAAGGAAGCAGCGAGGTCCTGAGTGGGATGGCACAGGGCACGTGGGGTGTGGGTGATGGAGGACGTTGAGCTGGGTGGGGAGGGGTGGGGCATGTGTGCGGCCTGGCCATGTGGATCCTCCCAGGGGAGCTGAAGCCCAGGGGCCAAGATGCCCCGGCAGTTGGTGCCTGGTTAGGGAGCTGGGGTTGCGGACCGGCCCCCGTTTGTCACTTGCTGGCCTCTCCCCTGCTACCCTGCAGGCTGGGCTGTGGTGCCACACGGTGGTCTCTTTCTGGGCTGGGGTGTGATTCTTTCCTTTCTCCTGTGGTGTAAGAGTGCACAGCTGTGCAGGAGGCCGCCGAGGGCGTGTGTGTGACTGTGTGTGCTGCGCGTAGGGCCGTGTGTGCTGGCATCTGCGCACGCGTGTTTGCAGGGCCCGCAAGTGTGTGTGTGCATGTGTGGTGTGTGGCATGCGACGTGCCTGTAGAGAAAGTGTGTCTGGGGGCCCCACGTCCTCAGGCCTGGCGCCCATTGACCCCCGTTAAGCCCAAGCCCCATGGCTAGATTGTAGGCGGGACTGAGTTGCTTCGGAGACCTCTGCACTCGACTGTGGGAGTCTTATGGGGGCCTCCTGGGACGTGAGCAACCCCTGCCCTGCCTGGCAGTGTCAGCACCTCGGGCGGCCCACGCCTGGCCCCGCCACCCTTCCCCTGCCCCACTCCTGTGGCAGTCACGGTTGAGCCGCACCTCCTGCGGTCCTGTCCCTCCCTCGGGGTCCTGGGGACCAGCCTGGTTCCCTGAGAGCAATCTGATGGAGACCCCCTGAGTCCCACCCCAGCTCCCCTTTCCTGACCCCTTCCCAGCCCCTCTCCTCCTTGAGGAACCAGCACCCTCCTCCTGCAGCCCGGCCACCTGGACATGGGACGAGGGCCCCACCGTGTGGCCACCTGGACACCCTGCAGGGCGGCTCCTCGGCCTGACTTCTGCCTTCAGCACCCAGGGCTCCTCCTCCTCTCCGACTGTACATGTGAGATGGGAGACAGAGACACGGGGACGGGGACACAGAGACAGGGAGACAGAGATGCAGAGAGATGGAGGCGGGGAGACAGAGACGCAGAGAGACAGAGACAGAGAGACAGGGAGACAGAGACACAGAGAGACAGAGATGAGGAGACAGAGGCGCAGAGACAGGGACACAGAGATGGGGAGACAGAGATGCAGAGAGACAGAAGAGAGATGGAGGTGGGGAGACAGAGATGCAGAGATGGAGACAGAGACAGGGAGACAGAGACACAGAGAGACAAAGACAGGGAGACAGAGACACAGAGAGACAGAGAGATGGAGAAGGGGAGACAGAGACATAGAGATGAAGACAGAGATGAGGAGACAGAGACACAGAGACAAGGACACAGAGATGGGGAGACAGAGATGCAGAGAGACAGAAGAGAGATGGAGGCGGGGAGACAGAGACACAGAGATGGAGACAGAGAGACAGAAACAGAGAGACAGGGAGACAGAGACACAGAGAGACAGAGGGATGGAGACGGGGAGACAGAGACGCGGAGACGAAGACAGAGATGAGGAGACAGAGACGCAGGGAGACAGAAGAGAGATGGAGGCGGGGAGACAGAGATGCAGAGATGGAGACAGAGACGGGGAGACAGAGACACAGGGAGACAAAGACAGAGAGACAGGGAGACAGAGGGAAGGAGACGGGGAGACAGAGGCACAGAGATGAAGACAGAGACAAGCAGACGGAGATGCAGAGACAGGGACACAGACACGGGGAGATAGACAGACAGAAACAGAGAGACGGGGGAACAGAGACGCAGAGACAGGGAGACACAGATGGGGAGACAGAGATGCAGAAATGGAGAAAGAGATGGAGATACAAAGACAGAATTAGAGAGAGACAGAGATGGGAAGAGAAACAGAGACAGAGACAGAAGCAGAGAAATAGAGACGCAAAGATAGAGACAGATGGGGAAGAGACAGATAGAGATGGAGACAGACAGACAGAGACACAGATAGAGATAGACAGAGATGGGGAGAGAGGCAGGTAGAGACAGAGGCAAACAGAGAAACAGAGACTGATGAGGCCACACACCCATCCTTCTGTTCACCTCAAACCCTCTACCCCTCTCCCTGCTACAGATGGAGACCCCCATGACCTGTGTGGTCCAGAACCCAGGTCTTCACCTCCCCCCAGTGTTCCTGGGCCCACCGGTTTCTCGAGGATAATAGTGAGCATGGCGGTGGCTGGAGCCCAGAGCCAGCTGGGCCACAGCACAGCCCAGGGACGGCCCACCCTCTACCAGGCCAGATTCAGCCCCCTGATGCCAAGACCCCAGATCCAGCCCAGGCCCAAGCTGACCCCTGCCACATCTGCCCCTGTGAGTGGTGCCCACGAGATCTGATGCCCTGACTCACAGGCAGGGGTGGGCACCGGCCCCCCATCTTGGCAGGCCAGGACGCCCTCCTCCCAAGATGCCTCTTCCTCAAGGAGGTGGAAGCAGCCTGGCTCCCCTAGTCTGAAGGCCTGGGCCCCGCTGCCACTCACTGTCCACAGGCTTCCGTTTTCCCACCTGTGGAATGGGGGTGATGGAAATACAGCCCCAGGGCGTCGTGGTGCTGCACAAATTTGCGAGGCCACCAGTGCCCTGCAAAGCTGGGGGGTGCCCCATTGCGAATACCTCAGCGCAACCCTCCCCGGGGGCGGGAAGCGGGGAGCAGCCTTGCTCAGGGCTGGGGTCTGAACTTGGAGCCGCGTGGCCCCCCAGAACAAGCCAGGGCCTGACTGCATGAGTGCTCACTGCATGGCCGGTTTGCTAAGGGTGGGCTGGCCAATTCAGAAGGGAGGAAAGAGCCCTTGGTGGGAGTCAGTGAGGGGCAGAGGTCCTCTCAGGCCTCCAGAGACCTTTCGAGAAGCCCCCTGCTCCTACCTGGGTGTCTGGGAGCTGTGTGGAAGTGTCCCTAGAAAATTCTACCCCTGACTGACCATGTCAGGGACTTGGGGAGCCCAGAGGCATCTGGGAAATTGGGGCCCATGGGCACCCACCTTCAGTGCACCCGATGCCAGCTGGCCCGGGGGCCCCTGAGGTGCCCACAAATGTCCCCACAGACTGCCCTGTCAGGTTTGCCTGCCAGGCCCCTCCCCGGGCAGGGAGGGGGCTTTGTGGACCCCCAGCCTCTTTCCGGCACAGGCGGCCGGGAGCGAGGTTATGCCGCAGATGGCCGCAAGGGGGTGCCAGCCTCAGGGAACACCAGGGAAGGGGCTGGGCCTCAGTCTGCAAGGACAGAGATGGCCCAGCATGCCTGCCACCTGCCACCCACCAAGAAGTGTGCACCCCAGGCAGCAAGAGAGAGGATGACAGCTGCAGAGAAGAGGAGCGGTGGCCAGCGGAGCTTAGCTGGGGCATGGGCTTGAGTGTGGCTGCAGCCATCCCCATCCACGGAGCTAGAGGGTGTGGACAAGTGGGAGTGGGGCAGGCGCCGGAGCCCCTGGGAGCAAGCATGCTGGAGGGTCCCTGGGGTGAGCTCAGGGTGCAGGGGCCAGGGAAGCTGCAGGACCCAGGACCCCACCCCATCCATATCCCAGATCAACATGATCCAGGGAGAAACATACTTGCAACTTCTCAGCCCACAGATGCACGCAGTCACATACAAACGCACACACACTCAGCCCATCTGCAGCAAACTCACGTCCATGCCCTGCAGAAGCACCCGTGCACACCATGGAGACCCTTGTGCCCAGGAAGGGCGCACAGCCTGCTCAGGTTTGTCCCTGTCCCTGCAGGCAGGTCCCAGATCCAGCTGGGCGGCAGGACCAGGACCCAACGCCTCCCCATCTGCTGTCCCCTCCCTCCCTGTCCCCGCTTGCAGCCACCATCACCGCTCTCAGCAGGCTAAGCTGGCCTTCACAGGTGGCCTGGTCTTCCATTGACCCTCGGCATGCACACACGGGTGCACACAGGGCCAGGTTCACACACTCTGACTCTCACATGTGTGCACACAGGGCCGGGCTCACACACTCTGACTCTCACATGTGTGCACACAGGGCCGGGCTCACACACTCTGACTCTCACATGTGTGCACACAGGGCCGGGCTCACACACTCTGACTCTCACATGTGTGCACACAGGGCCAGGTTCACACACTCTGACTCTCACATGTGTGCACACAGGGCCGGGCTCACACACTCTGACTCTCACATGTGTGTGCACACAGGGCCGGGCTCACACGCTCTGACTCTCCCATGTGTGCGCACAAATCGCAGCTGTTTCAACACCAGCACTACTCTGATAAGTCCCCGGGCACAGGCCCCAGCTCCCCACCCCCCGGGTTTGGAGTCTGGGGTCTTGAGGGAGAAGAACGTGGGGCCGAGGGTACAGAGGGCTAGGCCTCGAGTATGGGGTTTCAGGTGGGGTGTCCCTGTGGGTGGATTCCCAGGGGCCTGCCCTCCATGGGGTTCATAGCAGCCCCCAGCGAGGGTGGACCGGACAGTAAACAGGAGCTTCCCTGCAGGCCTGTAGCTGAGGCCCTTCCAAGAACAAGGGTGGGGCTGGGCCCCTGCTGGGCACTGTGCCGAGCTCCCGCCCCGTGCTCCACCCTGTACTCCCTGCTCCAGGCCGGCCCGATGGTGCCTCCATTCCTGCCCCTGCTTTTCCCCTCCCTGTGTCCACTTGGGCCCCTGCTGCCCTCATGGACGGTCTCTCCTTAATTGACCCCCAGCCCGCATCCTGACAGAGCTGTGCCTTCCTCGGTCTCCCCGCTGCTGAGGACAGCACACGGCACACCCTGCCCCTGCCTGGAGCCTCTGCCTACCTCCCAGTGGAGCGGAGCAATGGTGTCACCTGTCACAGTGACACAGACCAGGGCCACTGTGTCGCAGAGCAGAGCAGCTCAGCGGTGCCCGCAGGCAAGGTCAGGATGCACATCCTGGGAGAGAACATCTTGTGCCACAGCCAGCAGGACCGTCTGGGGCTGGTGCACCCACCAGGCCCTGTGACGCCACTGTATCTGCCTGAGCCATCATTGCACCCTGTCACTCCGCTGATTCCCACCGTAGCCCACGGGGTTGGTATAAGGACACATGCCACCCAGGTGGGGACACTGAGGCCCACCGGAGAGTGGCCAAATGAGGCCTCGAGCCTGGGCCTCCTCTTTTTTTTGAGGAGACGGAGTCTCACTCTGTGGCCCAGGCTGGAGTGCGGTGGCACAATCTCGGCTCACTGCAAACTCTGACTCCCTGGTTCAAGCTATTCTCCTGCCTCAGCCTCCTGAGTGGCCGGGATTACAGGCATGCGCCACCAAGCTGGGCCTCGTTTTTACACAGCAACCTCCCCAGGGCCAACCCTGTTCTGGCCTCTGAGCTGCCCCCAGGCAGCCTCTCTCCTGTTTACCTAGACACTGTCAGACCCTGCACCAGTGCCTGATGCCCAGGACAACACTGGCCCCTCAGTGGGCAGGGCTGTAGCCAGCCTTACCCCTGGAAACAGGGGAGAAAGGGAGGGAGGGGGGCCCACATGCAGTGGTCGGCCGCTGTGCACCCCCCTGCAGAGTCAGCTCAAGACACCGGGCTCTGCCTTCTGGGGTTCCCAAGGCTGCTCCCCTGAAGAAGACTGCTCAGTCCCAGCTGCCCCAGACCAGGCCCTTGGTGGGGGGTCCCTGAGCCTCCACTCCCTCCGGGAATGGCTGATCCTCCTTGGAGCCGAGTTTTTGTGCTGTGGGGAGAGCACCCAACCATGGGGGGCACCCTGGTAGCTCACGACATGGACCCCTGCCCACGGGCATGCCCTCGGCCAGCCTGGAGACAGCTGCTCTATTGACTGCCGGGCCAGGAGTGTCCCAGGTTAAGCCAACAAGCCCCCGCTTTCTGAGAGAAAAATCACCTCCTTTGGGTGTGGAATATGGGGGGGCGGGGAGCTGGGAGGTCGGGAGCCCTGGCTGGACCACAGGGCCTATGGCTGGGGACCTCTCGCTGCCGAGGTCACAGTGAACTGAGACCCCCTCGGGTCTCAGCCTGGAGGGGGTGACCCAGGAGGGTGCATTTCTGCTTCCCCCCTGAGAAGTCACACCACACCTAGCAGGGGCCCCTCCAGGGTGTACCCCAGGGGTCTAGGGGATGTTAATGATTGGCCGTCTCGGTTCACAAAGATAGTCATCACCAGCACCATGGAGTGGCCACCGCCCAGCTCTGTCAAACCTGGACTTAGCCTCATGTGCACCTTGATTTAAAGAACAAGAAACCAGCCCTGCCCACGCCCCTGGCTCACTGTGCTTCCCTCCCTCCTTCCCTCCTTCCCCAGACATAGCCACCACTTTGAATCTCGTGTCCCATGGGGTGTCCACACAGGGCACCTGATTTATCCAGGCTCGGGGAGGAGGGGTCACAGATTGTTCCCCAGGGGACTTTACCTAGTCCGTGTGTTTGCTTTAGGAGTTCTGAGGCCATTTGGTTTCTTTATGCATTTCTGTATCTTTTGCATTTTTCTAGTGAGCGTGGGGTTACTCTTTTAATCGTAAATATATATATACCTATTTTTTCAGTTAAAAAACTGTGGTTTCAGGCCAGGTGTGGTGGCTCAAGCCTGTAATCCCAATGCTTTGGGTGGTCAAGGCAGGGGCATCGCTTAAGCCCAGGAGTTTGAGACTAGCCTGGGCAACACAGTGAGACCCCGTCTCTACAAAAAATTGTTTTCAAATTCGCAGGGCATGGTGGCGTGTACCTGTAGTCCCAGCTACTCAGGAGGCTGAGGTCGGAGGATTGATTGAGGCCATGGAGATTGCAGTGAGCCATGATCCTGCCACTGCACTCCAGCCTGGGTGACAGAGAGAGACCTGTCTCAAAACGAAAACAAAAATCTGTGCTTCCTCAATAACAAATTGAAGCCACCAACACCCTCGTCCACCGAAAGGTTAGCATGTGCCTGGTGACAAAGTCAACAGACAAAGGGGACTGGGGAACAGTTCTGTTCCTCTTCCTCAGAGTCCTAGGCCCCAGGCCCCTCCCTGAGACAGCCTCAGGGCCTCCTCCTTCCCCTCCCTCATCCTCCTCCTTCCCTCTCTCTCCTTCCTCCTTTGCTTTCTCCCTCTGCAATCTCAGCCACCTGCATCCGCTTCCTCCACCCCGACCTTCCCGCCAGGCAGGTGCCCTGGGCTTGCTCAGCATGGGCAGCCCCCGGCTCTGCCCCCTGCACACTGGGAGGCTGCTCCACTCTCAGGGGTCTCTGGCTTTCCGTGTCCCTGCAATTAGCCTCCGCGTGCGTGCAAGAAGTCAACACAATTTGGCTCCACGTGGCCCCGGTGCCGATTGTGGACAGATAAAAGACAAACTAACGTCCTGCCCTGAGGATTAAGATGCAGCTGTTTCCCTGGATACCGGATCAGGCGTAATTAGACAAAGGGAGTGCTTTCCAAACCTACTCAGCCGAAGGCCCAGGGGCAGGCAGCCCTCACCCCCAGGCAGCTGGCACGGGCTCGGGCCCTTCCTTCCTCCTTGTTAAAAGCGGATTGATACAGACGCCATGGAAAAGGTTTCTGACACGCAGCGGGATGATGGCAGCAAGGCCACCTGCGGTGACAGCGAAACAAGATGCTCAGAGCCCCATTAGCAGGGCGGCCACGTGTGCGTTCGCCTTCGCCTCTGCCCCTGTTTTCTCCAGTTTTGTTCACTTTGCTGTATCATGGACGATAACACATCTTAGCAAGAAATCAATAAACGGTCCCGAGGCTTTTAATGGAGAAGAAATAAATAGCAACCGCGCTTGGCAGTCTGGAGGAACCAGCGCTTTCTGCCTGGACCCTGAGCCTCAGGCTTCACCGCCAACACGGCCATCCCTGTGGGGCGGGAGCAGCCTGGAACGGGAAGGGTCCACCCTTCTTTCCCGGCTTCCTGCAGAGGGCGGGGAGAGGCTCTGTCACCGTGCCCCTCGGAAGCCGGCCTGGGCTGTGTAACTGGGGACTTGTGGACAACAAGCCAGAGGGGGTCCTGCCAGGCTCTGGATGCCCACTCTGCCCATGAGGAGGGCACAGGCAGCGCAGTGCCGTGGCAGGCAGGCTGCCGACCTTATGCCCCAGGGGCGGCCTTAGTGCTGTGTAGACCCAGAGGGGACACGCCCCAGGGCTCCCTGAGGTGCTGCCTCAGTGGCTGTGCACTCCCAGCACCCGGGGGGTGTGCCCACCAGCTGCCCGGCCCCTGAGTGGGCCTGTGTCCAGTGCCCCCCTGGCCTCCCGGGAGGAGCTGCTTGCTCTGCCCCAGGGTTGCTGAGAGACAGCCTTGCCACTGACCCGGCCGGTCTCTGCCTCCAGCCCAGGCCTCTGTGCACGCTGACTGCGGTGGAAACTCCAGGCCTGGCAAAGAAAAACACGTGAGGCAGCCCGCCATCCAGCAGAAGAGTTCGCTCTGGGGTCTCTTTGTCAACATGCTTTTCTCCCTTTATTTGTGTTATACTTTTTCCAGTTTTTTGTGGTCAAATACACATAACACAAAACTTCTCATCTGAACCACTTCCAGTGCACGGTTCGGCAGCATTAAGCACATTCACGTTGCCGGGCAGCCATCACCACCGTCATCTCCAGAACTCTGTCATCTTCCCAAACCGAACTCTGTCCCCTGAAACACTCACGCCCCATCCCCTCCGCCAGCCCCCCGCAGCCCCATTCTCCTCTCCATCCTGACAGATTTGACGTCTTTAGGGACCACGTGGGAGTGGACTCGGGCAGCATTTGTCCTGTTGTGACTGGCTCCTCTCCCTGATTGTAAGGTTCTCGAGGTTCATCCACGGTGTAGCGGATGTAAGAATGTCCTTCCTGGGCCGGGCGCCGTGGCTCATGCCTGTAATCCCAGCACTTTGGGCGGCCGAGGCGGGTGGATCACAAGGTCAGGAGATCGAGACCATCCTGGCTAACACGGTAAAACCCCGTCTCTACTAAAAATACAAAAAATTAGCCGGGCCTGGTGGTGGGTACCTGTAGTCCCAGCTACTCGGGAGGCTGCGGCAGGAGAATGGCGTGAACACGGGAGGCGGAGCTTGCAGTGAGCCGAGATCGCCCCACTGCACTCCAGCCTGGGTGACAGAGCGAGACTCCGCCTCAAAAAAAAAAAAAAAAAAAAAGAATGTCCTTCCTTTTTGAGGCTGAATCTGAATCGTGCCCCGTTGTATGCGTGGACCACATTTTGCTCTTAGCCGGCGGACACTGGGTTGGTTCCACTTTCCAGCAATAGTGAATAACACTGTTGTGAGCAGTCACACACACGTTCCTGGGTGGACATAGGTTTCATTTCTTCTGGGCATCCACGTAGGAACAGGATTGCGGCAGCCTGTAGTGCCTCTTTAACCCGCGGGGGAGCTGCCAGGGTGCTGTCCGCAGCGGCTGCCCTGCGGCACGACCCACCGCAGGGGCTCTGATTTCTCCACATTCTCGTGAGCACTTGCTATTTTGTGTTCTGCATTGTTTGGGTTTGTTGACGGTGGCCACCCTAACGGGTGTGGAATCCTGTCGCGCCGTGATTTTGATTGGCATTGCCCTAATGATTCGTGGCATTGAGCACCTTTCCCTGCGGCTGCTGTCCTGGATACACCTTCCCTGGAGAGGCGCCCGTCTACGTCCTTCGCCCACTTTTGAATCTGGTGTTTGGCGGTTGTGTTTTAGGGGTTCTCTGTGGGTTCCGGGTACTACTCCCCGATCAGGTGTGTGATTTGCGGCATTTTCTCCTGTTCTGGGAGTTGCCTTTTTACGGTTGATGATGTCCTCTGATGCACAAAGTTGTTTGTTTGTTTGTTTGTTTGTTTTAATTTTCAAGCCCAATTTATCTCTTTGTTGCTTGCACCTTTGGTGTCACATCTGGGAAATCACTGCCAGGTGTGAGGCCATGAAGCTTTTGCCCTGTGTGTTCTCTCTACCGTCTCAGGCCCTACGTCCAGGCCGTTGACCTGTTTGGGGGTAATTTTTGGATGGGAAGGGAGGGTTCCAGCGTCACACTTCTGCATGTGGGCATCCCGGTTTCCCAGCCCCGTCTGTGGAGGAGGCTGTCCTTTCCCCACTGAATGGCCTTGGCACCTGTGCCAAAGATCACGGGACTGCATTTGCCAGGGGGATTGCCAGTCTCTCCTCTACGTATTTGTGAATAGGGATCTATACACATTCCACGAACACACAACAGGGCCACGGGACAGCCCTGTGCCAGGTTCCTACCTCCCCGCCCAGAGGCTGTGTGGATAGAGCACACGTGTGTGGGTATGGCATGTGTAGTATGTGGTGTGTTCATGTGTGTGACATGTGGAGTTGTGTGGGGTGAGTGTGCTGTGTGTATGATGTGTGTTTGTGATGTGTGTGGTATATGGTGTGTGTGGTATGTGTGGAGTGTGTGGGGTGTGTGTGGTTGTGTGTGTGGTGTGTAGCGTGTGGTGTGTATGTGTGTGGTGTGTATGTAGGTAAGTGTGTTGTGTGTGCGGTGTGTATTGTGTGTAGTGTATGTGGTGTGTGGTGTGTGTGGTGTGTGTGTATGATTGGTGTAGTTTGTGTGGCATGTGTGTGGCGTGTATGTAGGTGTGTGTGTTGTGTGGTGTGTGTGGTGTGTATGTGTGGTGTGTGTGTAGTGTCTGGTGTGTGTGTGGTGTGTGGTTTATGTGTGTTGCATGTGGCATGTGGTTTGTGTCTATGTGGTATGTATGTAGGCGTGTGTGGTATGTGCGGTGTGTGTGGTTTGTGTGTGTTGTGTGTGGCGTGTAGCTTGTGTGTATGTGGGGCATGGTATGTATGTAGGTGTGTGTGGTGTTTGTGTGTGGTGTGTGTATGGTGTGTGTGGCATGTAGCTTGTGTGTATGTGGTGTGTGGTGTGTGTGTGTGGTGTGTATGTGGCATGTGGTGTTTGTGTGTGTGGTGTGCATGTGCGTATGTGTGCGTATGTGGCGTGTGGTGTTTGTGTGTATGGTGTGTATATGTGTGGTTTGTGTGTGGTGTGTTTGTATGTGATGTGGTGTGGTGTGTGTGGTGTGCATGTGTGTGGTGTGTATGTGGTGTGTGTGGTTTGTGTGTGTTGTATGTGGCGTGTGGTGTGTGTATGGTGTGGTGTGCATCTGTGTGTGTGTGTGGTGTGTGGTGTGTGGTGTGTATGTGGTGTGTGGTGTGTTTGTGTGTGTGTGTGTCTGTGTGTGTGCACGCACTTAGATATCTTGTGTTCGCAGCTTGTCATGGAGAGCAGTCAGTCCCTGGCTGCCTGGCGCCGCTTCCTTCTCGGGCTGCCATCCTGGGAAGGGCCCCCTTCGCCCGGCCGTGCCTCCTGCTCCTGCCTCTGCTGCCCTTCGAATGCAGCCGCCCTTTTCAGCAGCCTCTCCAGGGAGGCCTGGGTGGGCCGCCCTCATCTTTTGTCTCCTCAGCGGGGGTTGCAGTGGCTTCACCTGGAGGCTCCGAGGGAGCACACGTGCGTCCTCTGGGTGAAGGCTGCCCAAGTGCTTGCGTCTGGGCGCCATCCTGTGGTGCCCACAGGGATATCAGGCTGAGAAGGCCTTTGTGCTGGGGTCCTTTATAAAATAAGCTTACCGGGGCATCTACGGCAGGTCAGAGTCAATATTCAAACGTGTTGTTGTCTAAAAATGCCTGGAAATTTTACTCCTAATGTCAAAGGAGGCCCCTCCCATGGGCTCTGAGACTGGAGCGTGGGGGTTGTGAGCAGAAGGACGCAGAGGAGGGGAAGTGCTAGAGAGTGGGGGGTCCGGCCCACCAGGGGCCCTGCGTTGGCAAGACCTGAGGTCATGCCATCATTTTCAGGCAGTGGGAGCCATTGAAAGTGCTTGAGTAAGAGAGTGGCCAAGGCAACGTGCGTTTGATGAAATCAATGAAGCACCTGTATTGGGAGGTGTTTGCTGGAAAGAGATAGAGTGAGGGTGGCTGGGAAGAACCGTGAGGCCTGTGTACACATTTCAGGGGTCCTCACTAAGCCTGGGTGTCTCATGGAGCTGTGGCAGGCTGCATGGACCGTGGGATTTGTTTGGACTCCCAGCTCTCCGTGGGGATGTGGAGAAGGTGAGAGGCCCTGGGGCTGAGGGGGCAATAGCCTGGATCGGAGAAGGTGGCAAGCAGAGGTCAGATGGGGAGGGACTGGAACGCCCCAAACCACAGCCATTTACACCTGGGTGCCAGGTGGGAGCCAGGAAGAGGGGCCAGGATGTTGGACGCCAGCTCCACCCCGTGACTGCTCCCTGCCCAGGCGGACAGTGGGGAGGGGGCATACAGCACTCTGAGGATCATAAGGGTGGGGACCCCAGGAGCTGAATCTAGAAGGAAAGGGCTCCTTCCAGAGGAGGTCATTTGGAGATCCTGCCATCCCCACCCCCTTCCAAACAGCCAAACCCGCTCTGGCACCACCGCCTTCCCTATGCCCCCACCCCAGCTCCAGCTGAACGCCCTCGCCCAGCTTCCTTGGGAGACTGCCAATCTAGGCTGAGTTTTGCAGCTCCTTCTCTGGAGCGCGAGCCAGGCGCAGGCTCTGACACTGTCAGGGCAGCGGTAATGACATCGGCCTCGAGTCCAGGGCCAGCCCAGGCCCCCTGTGCCCGTAGACGAACCCTCAGAGGATGCAAGCCTGAGGGTCCCCATTCTGGTCCGAATGGGAAGCCACTCCAGAGGCGCGCTGGCGCAGGGGGCGGGGATCCCGAGGTGGCCTGGACAGAGTCAGCCTCCTCATGTCGCCCAGCCCTGGCGCCCAGGCCCTCCCCAAGGAAGGTGGGGTGCATGGCCTGCCTGCTCCCTCCGCAGGGCTCCCTGCGGCATCTCAGTGCTTGTGGAGCTGACAGCTCTCTCTGCCTTCCTAACCCTTGATCCCTTTGATAAACATCAAAACCTCAGCATCAGCATTGCCTGGAGGCCATGCCCTCCATGCTGCCTCCCCTGCACAGGCACTCACAGATACATTCACCCCAATTCAGAAGATTCTGCCCAGCCCACCATCTGTGGTTTGTAAAAGAGAAACAATAGACCATCGGTTGCTATTGCTTCTAAATGCAAAACTGCGCTATGACATTACATGTGCTTTTCTGGGAACACAGTCCCCTACCCCAGTGTGCACGAGAAAGGTGCTGGTGCTTCCCTTCTTTGGGGGAACATTGCTGTTTTTGGGGTAGGTTGTTGGACAAGATCCGGATGGCAGAAACCACAAAGGAGACGGTTGACAAGCGTGGCTCCCCGAAGCCACATCATTGCCAAGCCTTCTTGATGACCACAGTCTCCATAAACACGGTAAAGGGTGGACCAGGCTCTGGGAGATGATACTTCCTGCCGAAAAGGATTCATGTCGGGAATGCGTAAAGAATTCCCACATCTCATCAGGAAAAGTGTAAGCTCCAAAGGGAAGATGAGGGGAGGAAGTGAAGGGATCGTTCGAGAGAGGGAGAAGTAGAGATGCTCGGGAAGCAAGCGGACCTGAGATGCCGCTGAAGTGTCATTCAAGCTTTGTAATGTCGGGCGTGGATGATGACCTGGAAGACAGACGCTGTTGGGTCGCGCTGGCGGAGTGTGACGGGAGAGGTGCTGGGGCATTCCTAAGAACATGAATGTGGGCTCCCAGAGCTCATAAGCTCATGATTTCCCTCCTCCCCAAAGGGGCTCACCCTCCAGTATCCAGGCTGGGGGGCCAGGAGCACACGCACCTTTTTATATTTGTGTTTGTGCACGTGTGTATGTGTGTGTTCAAAGGAGAATCTGTTGCTCATGTAACTAAAATTAAAAATAATATAGATGTAGAGAAATTGGAAGTCTTGTGCTCTGTTGGGGGGAGTGTGTAATGGTCCAACATGGCCCAACAATGCCACCTCTAGGTCTAGCCCCAAAAGAATTGAAAGAAGGCTGGGTGCAGTGACTCATGCCTATAATTCCAACACTTTAGGAGGCCAAGGCAGGAGGATCACCCAGGCCAGGAGTCCAACACCAGCCTGGGCAACATATGGAGATCCCCTATCTCTACAAGAAATTAAAACATTAGCTGGGCGTGGTGGTGCGCACCTGCATTCCCAGCTCCTTGGGAGGCTGAGGTGGGAGGATTGCTTGAGCCCAGGAGTTTGAAGCTGCAGTGAGCTATGATGGTGCCACTGCACTCCTGGGTGACAGAGTGAGGCCCCATCTCTTAAAAAACGTATGTGTGTGTGTATGTGTATACAGAAAGGGGGGTCTCAGCTGGGCGCGGTGGCTCACTCCTGTAATCCCAGCACTTTGGGATGCCGAGGCAGGTGAATCATGAGGTCAGGAGTTCCAGACCAGCCTGGCCAATATGGTGAAACCCTGTCTCTACTAAAAATATAAAAATTAGCCAGGCATGGTGGCGCATGCCTGTAATTCCAGCTACTCGGGAGGCTGAGGCAGGAGAATCGTTTGAACCCGGGAGACAGAGGTTGCAGTGAGTCGAGATCACGCCACTGCACTCCAGCCTGGACAGAGCGAGACTTCATCTCAAAAAAAAAAAAAAAAAAAAAAAAAAAAAAAGAGGGGGAGTCTCAAGGAGATGCTTGTATGCTCACGTTCATAGGTTCAGAACTCACAAGAGCCAAAAAGCGGAAGCAACCCAAGTGTGTGTTGACAGGTGAATGAATGGACAAAAGATGGCCCATCCTAGAGAGGAAGAAAATTCTGACACTGCTGCATAGGGATGACCCCGAGGGCATCGTGCTGAGTGAAATAAGCCTCAGAAGCACAGGTACTGCAGCATCCCACTTAGACACAGTCCCTAAGGCAGTCACAGGCGTAGAGACAGAGAGCCATTGTCGGTACCAGGAGCTGAAGAACGAGTGTTTAATGGGGAACAGAGTTTCAGTTTTAGAAGATGAAAAGAGTCCTGGAGATGGCAGTGGTGACGGTTTTGCAACCATGTGAATGTACTTAATGCCACTGAACTGGACAATGAACAGTGGTTAAAATGGTAAAATTTAGCCAGGCGCAGTGGCTCACGCCTGCAAGCCTAGCACTCTAGGAGGCTGAGGTGCTGGGAGGTGTGAGGGTCACTTGAGTGCCAGGGTTCAAGACCAGCATGGGCAACACAGAGAAACCTCATCTCTACAAAAAAGCCGGATGTGGTGGCACCTGCTTATAGTCCCAGCTACTTGGGGGGCTGAGGTGGGGGGATTGCTTGAACCCAGGTGTTCGAGGCTGCAGTAAGCCAAAATTGTGCCACTGCACTGCAGCCTGGGGGACAGACTGAAACCCTGCCTCAAAAAAAAAAAATCAAAAACGAAAACAAACAAACAAACAAAAAAAACAGGTAAATCTTATATTATGTACATCTTACCACAGCAAAACAATAATCATTTTACAAGCCCAGTAATAGAAAGCAGTCAGAACAGAGGAGGGTGGCGACAGCCTCGGAGGTCCTCGGGGCTCCAAGTGCACCCCGGCCTGCGGGGAGTGGGCAGGGACGGGGGTGGAGAAGGGAGCGGGCTTCGGGGAAAGGGCCGGAGGGAAGCAGCCCCTGCTCCGAGCCGCCTGGGCCCATGCTGGAGAACCCAAGTCCCGGGTCCACTGGCCGTGGCAGGGAGAGCTGGCCCATGGCTTTGCCATGTGGCGGCTGATCCACCCTCTCTTCTCATCTCTGAGCCGGGTGTTCCCAAACTTCCCTCCTGGTCTGTTCATCCACCAGGCTCTGAGGGCCAGCCCTGCCTGGCAAGGGGGGAACCAAGGGGCCAACTTTAGTTTTCCAGAAGCCTCTGTCCAGGGGAGGAGTCGACGTGAACGAATCGGTCACACACACGCAGAAAGGTGCCGCTGCTGGGGACCTGTGGGGCGGGGGCGGGGCAGAAGGAAGGTCCCCTGTTTGGGGGACCCTTTATTAAAAACAGGCGGCAAGCTGAGGCGTCCAGCTGAGTTCATCCCAGGCCCCAAAGTAATCGCACGGCCAATAAGCCCTGCCTAAGATGAGGACGGGTGGGTCTGGACCGAGGCCCTGGCGGGAGGGAGGGTCCTGGGCGTGCCACCAGCTCTCCGGTCGGAAGCTTCTGCATGGGCCGTGCCCTGCGCTGGGAGACTCCTGCCCGGGCAGCCTTGCTCCAAGGTCGGCTCCACAGAGGGTGCCCGCCCTCTCAGCCCTGGCCTGTGGCACCTGCCCACAGCCCTTTCTTCCCTGGATGCAGTTTTTGCCCCCTCTGTGTCCTCGGCTGCACGAGTAGGGGCTTTCTTGGGTTGGCTGCCCGCCTGGCCCGGACTGACCCGGACTGGCTGAGGCTGAGGCTGACAGTGCAGGGAAGGAGCCAGAAGCCACTATGGCTGCTGTGCAGAGACCAAGGTGTCTCCCTACACCTGTGGCCCCCAGGGCCCCAGGGACACAGGGTCCACACCCTGCCCCACCTGCTCCATCTCCGGGACGCCCTCGCTCCCCAATCTGATTGCACAGGGTGGGGGGCCCAGCAGCCTTGGTGACAGTTCTTCATCCCAAGGGCCCGCCCAGTTTCTCCTGGCTCCTGGGGATGGGAGTGGCCTGGGTTGTGGCCCCACCAGCTCTGTGACAGGGCTCTTGATGCTTCTCAGGCCCTAGTTTTCCTGAGACCTGCTGGCCAGGAGCTCAGGCCTCCTGGTTTCTGGTTACTTTTCCTCCCCTAGAAAGCAGCCTTGGCAGACAGAACAGAGGCCCAGAAGATCCCGGGAGGCTCCCCAGGCCCAGAATCTGGGGAACTTGCAAGGATTTGGAATCCTGGCCGGGTGTGGTAGCCGAGCCTGTAATCCCAGAATTTGGGGAGGCTAAGGTGGGAGGATTACTTGAGGCCAGGAGATTGAGACCAGCCTGGGCAACACAGTGAGACCCCCTCTCTACAAAAAAATTTTTAAAAATAGCCAGGCGTGCTGGTGTGCCCCTGCAGCTCCAGCTACTTGGGAGGCTGAAATGGGAGGATGGCTTGAGCCCGGGAGGTCAAGGCTTCAGTGAGCCATGATCAAGCCACTGCACTTCAGCCTGGGTGACAAAGACCCTGTCTCTCAAAATAAACATTTAAAAAATAGAAGTTAAATCCTCTTTTGGAGACTGTGGGGTGAGGGGAGTGTGGCCACACCACAGCCCTTCCACCTCCCCATTGTGTGCCCCGAACTGTGCTGTGCTGGCCACTGGCCTCACCCTCCCTGAAGCATGGCAGGTCCCCCACCCCCA